>NC_000016.10:20001637-20304667 GCF_000001405.40 Homo sapiens
ACACATTCTCCTTCAAGTGTCTCAAAGAGGACTTCCCTTACCAGCCTGGCTAATGCAGGGCTGTCTGTTCTCAGCCATTCTTCTATCCTATCCTGTTATTTCCTTCAGAGCACCATTCTGTGCTAAACTTATCTAATTGGTTTGCATGCTTGCTTTCTCTCTCCTCCACCAAAATATAAGCTTTACAAGGGCAAAGACTTAGTCTAAGTGGTTCATCCATGTTTTCTGAGCAGGAACTGTACCTGACACATGGTAATTGCTCAATACGTGTTTGTCCAATAAATGAATTATCCTAAGAATAATGGCTAAAATTTATCAAGCACCCGCTACGTGACAGGTGTTGGCAGAGCACATTAGATATGTCATTTCACCCAATCCTGCAAATGTTATTGCCTTGAGCCTTACAGCTGAGGAAACTCAAAGAGCACACGGGACCTGCCCCAAGTTGCACAGCCAATGACGTTACAGCTTCATTCTGAGCCCTGGGTCCTGCCTTTCAAAACCCTCTGCTCTCAACCACCATGCTATGTATTCTGCCTCTTAGGGCATCAGGAAAATGTCTGGACCCTTCTCTTCCCACCCTCAGCCCTAGGGGGCTCTTGAGAAGATTAATTACAAAACTCCAGACTGTACTCAGCCTTGTGCAGGAAGCTCTGTTTCCACAGCGGGAGCAGCACTTGGGAGGGGCACCCAGGGATCTGCCAGGACTGGCTGTATCTCGAGCCCCAGAGCCCCCGAATGTGCACGCTGCTTGTGCCTCTGCTGCCTGCATGACAGCCTCGCCGTCACGTAGCGCTGGACCGCAGGTGTTCTGCACCAGACCCTCTTTCAGAGAGGAAATGCAATTAGGGCTGTACAGTTGGCAGACTTCATCTCCATTTCGGCCTTGGGAGAGGGATCAAAGGGCAGCAGGCAGGGCTGTGTGTGCATGTGCATGTACATGTGAATGACTGTGTGTCTTGGGTTAACCCCTGCGGGCCTGAAAACAGCTTTCAGGACTCACAGGGCATTGTTAGGAAGGGGAAAATGAATACTTTTCATTCCTGCCAGTGACTGTTGCCTCATCCTTCACCAATCATAGTTATATTTCTTGAGAACTTACTGTGTGCCGGGTACTATGTTGAGGACTTCATGTATATAATCTCATTTAAAGCTTATAACCACTGTATGAGCTTAGTGTTGGTGTCAATCTCATGTTTCCGATGAGAAAATGGGCTCAGGGAGGCTAACAGTTAGTTGGTGAAAGTCCAAGACAGGAATTAAACTCAGGTTGTTCAGACTCCACTTACCCACCACATTGTACTGCCATTCCAATAGCCTTGATGTTGCTTTTTCATTTTTAAAGCAGACTGAAAAACCTCTTTCTTTGATATGACACTCACAAATAGTTTCTTCTATGCAAACATTCTGTCCTACATTTCATTTTGTATAGGTGCCGCTGCTTTGTAACTCTTTCATAGTCATTATTGTATTAGGCAGGGTAGGACAAGTTATGCTGCATTAACAAATATCACCAAATTATAGTTGCTTAACATAAATTTCTTTCTTACTCATTTCAGATTCACTGCAGGTATGGTCAACTGGCCTTCACGTATTGGCTTAGCCCAATTATTTCAACAATTGCTTGGCAGGGAAGGAAAGCACAGAAAATCACTTAGTGGTTCTTAAATGCCTCTGCCCCAAAAGTGATGGTGTCACTTGTGCTCACATTTCATTGGCCAAAGAAATTCGCATGGCCATGCCTCACCTTAAGAGGGTGTATGACAGAAAGAGGCTAGGCATGGTGTCTCATGCTCATAATCTCAGCACTTAGGGAGACTGGGAGGGATGGATCACTTGAGGTCAGGAGTTCAAGACAAGCCTGGCCAACATAGTGAAACCCTGTCTCGACTAAAAATAGAAAAATTAGCCGGGTGTGGTGGCGGGCACCTGTAGTCCCAGCTACTTGAGAGGCTGAGGCAGAAGAATCGCTGGAACCCAGGAGAGGGAGGTTGCAGTGAGCTGAGATAGCACTACTGTGCTCCAGCCTGGGCAACAGAATGAGAGACTCAGTCACCAAAAAAAAAAAAAAAAGAGTATGACAGAAAGGACAGAAAGAGAGGAGACCTTCAAATCTTGTAGAGTCCTAGTAATGCCTCCCACACTCCCACAATCGTCTCTTTCCTCTCTCATCCCCTTCCCACTTTCTGTGACTGATTAACTCTTCTTGAACATCCACCAAGCCTACCCACCCTTCTTGGTGTCATATTGTTAAGCACAGTTCTATAAGGCACAGACCCCAGACTTTAGGTACACATAGACCTGGATGAGAGTCATCAATCCACCATTGTCTTTATTAGCTGAGCGATCTTAAGCAAGATACTTGACCTCTCGGAGTTTCAGTTATTTAGCTGTAAAATGGGGTTTATACAAGATTCTGTCTTCAGGAATAATGAGGATTACAAGAGATAATCTCTGTAAAGCTCCTAGCACCATGCTTGGTACTCAGTAAGATTATAATAGTAGCAACAGTTAACACCACCTACATCCATTGAATGCTTAGAGTAGGTGCTCAATAAATGCTATCTGTAAGAATTATTTTGGCCACTCCCACTTTTAAATTGTAATATGGTTATGAGTGTTTATTATCTCTCTTCTATTCATTTGTTCATTTATTCAAAAGGTATTTATTGAGAGTCCTTTATGTGCCATGTACTGTCCCGCAAGTTGGAGAAATATTAGAGAAGAGTTAGACAGTTTCTACCTCCATGAAGATTTCTTTCTTCTTTCCTTTCTCGTTTGTGTTTCTCTCTCTTGCTCTCTCTCTCTTCCTTTTTCTCTGACTCAAGGTTCACCCTCATTAGACATGTAACAGAGTTTCACTGAGTGTCTACTATGAGCCAGGACAATGGGAAAACATAGCAAACAAAGCAAGCATCATTCATGTTCAATAGCACAGCAGCAATTTTCACTCAGGAATTGGACAGTGCGGGCAGTGCCTGTAGGTTCTGACTGGGCCTGAACCCTTGGTCTCCAGAAGCCACCACTGTCTGTCTTAAGTCCCCCTGCTCCCCCGACCCTCAGCATCCTCCCCCAAGCTCTCCTATGCATTCTCACCAGAGCCAGTGGCTGCTGGGGCTGCCTGATTCTGCAGAAGGCTTTGAGGATGGAGCAGGCACACAGCTCTTTGAGTCCCAGCCTCTGACCGGCTACTTTCTCAGGCATGTCGGGGCTCTGCTCCACTCGCCTGCATGAAAAGCCAGAGCTGATGGACAAGGCTGCTATCTCCACCATGCTGACAGGAGACTCTCTGCACCTTGCAAGGTGCACCTCTGTGAAGAGAGACGAAAAGGGTCACTGATGGGGTTTAACCTTGGGCTATACAATGCAAATAAATGGAAACTTCTGAGTCAGAGCAAGGCCTGGTTTACATCAGAAAGACTAAAGGGCTGAGAATGGAGAGACCTGGCATTGGATTCCAGCTCAACCTCTAGCACTGCTTGAGTTGGGAGAAATTCCTGTCCTCTTCTGGCATCACTCCCCCTATCTGTGGTGTCTGATTCCTACAACACCTCCACTATTTGGCTTTGTATACTGCCTGGAGATTATTCACTGTCTTTCTTTTAAAGTGCCTCGCTTTAAATTTCCTTTAAAAATGTGTATTTTTTCATTTGTATAGATTTAAAGGGTACAAGTGCAATTTTGTTATGTCGATATATTACTTAGTGTTGAAGTCTGGGCTTTTAATGTATCCGTCACCTGAATAATGTATGCTGTACCCATTAAATAATTTCTCGGCTGGGTGTGATAACTCACGCCTGTAATCCCACACTTTGGGAGACCGAGGCAGGTGGATTGCCTGAGCTCAGGAGTTTGCGACCAGCCTGGGCAACACGGTGAAACCCCATCTCTCCTAAAATATAAAAAATTAGCCGGGCATGGCGGTGTGCGCCTGCAGTCCCAGCTACTTGGGAGGCTGAGGCAGGAGAATTGCTTGAACCCAGGAGGCGGAGGTTGCAGTGAGCCGAGATTGTGTCACTGCACTCCAGCCTGAGTGACAGAGCGAGATTCCATCTCAAAAAAGAAAAAAAATTCTCATTATCCACTTCCCTCTTATCCCTTACCCTTCACAGTCTCCAGTGTCTATTATTCTATTCCCCATGTCCATGTGTACACATTATTTAGCTTCCACTTGTAAGTGAGAACATGTGGTATTTGTCTGTTTTTGAGTTGTTTCACTTAAGATAATGGCCTCTGGTTCCATCCTTGTTGCTGCAAACGACATGATTTTGTTCTTTTTTAATGGCTAAATAGTATTCCATTTTGCGTATATACCATATTTTCTTTATCTATTCATTGGTCAATGGACACGTAGGTTGAGTCCAAATCTTTGCTATTGTGAATAGTGCTGCAATAATCATAAATGCAGGTATCTTTTTGATATAATGATTTCTTTCCCTTTGGGTAGGTATGATATTGTATCATACATTTATATTATGAATAAAAAGCCTATTATCAATGACTATAAATAGAAAACAGCCATGAAAATAAGTAGGAGGACAACAAACCCATGACATTAAATTATATGCAGTTTCTTTCCTGTTGGAAGGTCTGTCTGACTTGTTATATGTGAAAATGGCATGTTTTAGAGAGGTGTTACAGACATACCTGTGCCAGATGGAGACTTTTATGTGAGGCAATCAGAAAGATAGAAAGAAAATGGAGAATAAAGCACTGCCCAATTATGTGAATTGATATTATTTAATGTCATGTCTGAGTGCCACATAAAAACCAATCTCAACTCTCATCAGTGATAGTCATTCCTTATTTTTGGAAGCCTTGATGATTCTAAGGTTTCTTCCTGCTCACACATTTCAGGGTTCTTAAATACCGTGGTGAACTGGCTTTATTTTCTCAACACTCACCACCGCCTGGTGAGCAGGTGGCTTTGTTTCCTTTTTAAAATGAGTTAATTAAAGCCTCAATGAGGTTGGTCTCCATGCCTTCCATTGCTCAGCTTTCTTGCTTATTGTCCAAAAAGGCAATTTCAAACCTTTTCCATTCTCATGCCTCCTGATATTTACCATTCTCTCAGCAGATGGTAATGGACACCATCAGTCAAATGTGTGCCATCTTTTCCAGGCCACCCTCTCATCATTCCGCTTCTATGGCCTAAGAGACCTCTCACCTGTTCTTTGGAATCCCCCTCTTGGGTTCTCAGGGTCTTTATTCCATCAGTCATCCCCAATATCTCCAGCATTTTCAACTTCTCTCCTGTATTGGATCATTCCCACCTACATTTATGAGTATATAAACTTTTTTCACTATAAATGTACAATTTATTCGGCAATAAACAAGACTCTAAGGAACCAAGGTTATTTGGCAAAATACCTCCTACTTCTTTTTTGAGGACAGTTACCTATGTTTTGACAAATAGTTCAATCTGCTGGAGCAGGGGTCAGCAAACTATAGTCTATGGCCCAAATCTGGCCCACTGTCTGTTTTTGTAAATAAAGTTTTATTGGAACACAGCCAGGATCATTCAATTTATGCAGCATCCATGGCTGCTTTTGTGCTACAATGATAGGGATTGAGTAGTTGCAACAGAAAGAGTACAGCCTGCAAAGCCAAAATTATTTGTGGCTCTCTGCAGAAAGAATTTGCAGACCCTCATGCTAGAGAAGAACCAGTTGTGTATGTCAAGGTGAGGAATCCATCTGGGCTGCTCCAAATTTGTCACATGTCTAGAACTATCACCTCAATAGAAATGTGACCACTGATCAGAACAAACCATAGCTTGATGGTTCAAGAGCGGAATTGCACACTGGATGAGACAAAATTTGACCCATTCAACTCTTAGATTTTTGCCTGTGTTGAAGCAGTTTGGTGAGCTGAGCATTGTTATATTGGAGTAGCATGTGTTTTTGGAGGAGCAAAACTGGGTGGCGATGATGATATTTCATAAGAGTGTACATCCACTCCACATGGCAATCACAGCACAGTTATGTGATATGACATCCAAGTGAAAGCCCCCCAAAGTTTTACACACCATCACCTTCTCCCCCAGGAAATGCTTTGATGCCATCAGTCCCCAGCCTGAGCTCACCTGTCCTTTCCATGTGACACATCCATCTACTCATGCTTTTTTCCTGGAAGAAGCACATGCATTTAAATTACAATTTGGTTATCACGCATTTGGGATGCTGTAGTTAGTCAACACAAGATGAAACAGATATTTTAGGATGTTACAACTAGAGTATTCTTGTCTTAGAATTTTGGATAAGTCCCCAGACCTGTGAGTAATAGAGGCCAAGGATTCCCATATTCTAAATGGAGGTGCTAGACGGTTTTGGTAACTTTTGTAGGCCCCCAAATTGCGTTTTTCAGCATTAGCCCATCCCCAGTCTCCAGACTATGGGGGAGAAGGCTAAAGATTCATTTGTGAGTAAAAGTGTCTTTAGAAGTGTGTGTGTGTGTGTGTGTGTGTGTGTGTGTGTGTGTGTGTGTTGGACTTAAAGATATCTGCTTGAAAGGTTGAATTCTATCCTTTGAAACTCAAGGAATAGAGTAACTGTTACCTGTTGCACACCTAAACATTCAAAACCAAGATGCTGGCTAGAAGTAGATGGTGAGACAAGGTTGCCTGAAAGCAGTTTGCATTCGGCAAGGTTGCCTCAGAGTTACCCATGGGAGGGGGATGGCTGCGGTTTATCCTCAAATGTATGCCACACACGAGGATCATCTAGAGAATTAAGGCTATGCTAGGGTGAACTGCCAGGAGCCAGGACTGAGGGACAAATGAGTTGACAAAAGTTTGTTTCATGGGGCAATGGTGAAAAAAAAGTTTTCCATTAATTCCTATTCCTACCTTCAATCCCAGATAACCATTAATCTACTTTCTGTTTCTATAGAATTGCTTTTAAAAAACATTTCATATAAATGGAACAACATAGTAGTGGCCTTTTGCACCTGGTTTCTTTCGCTGAGCGTAATATTTTTGGGGCTTATCCATGTGGTAGCATGTATTGGTATTTTTGTTTCTTTTTTTTTTCTAGAGCATGATAGTTTTATTTATTTTTAAAAATTTTTGAAGTTTTAATTTTTGTGGGTACATAGTAGGTGTATACATTTATGGAGTACATGAGATGTTTTGATACAGGCATGCAATGTGAAATAATCAAATCATGGAGAATGGGGTATCCATCTCCTCAAGCATTTATCCTATGAGTTAAAATCAATCCAATACACTCTTTTATTTTATTTTATTTTAAAATGTAGACTTAAGTTATTATTGACTATAGTCACTTTGTTGGGCTATCAAGTAGTAGGTCTTATTCATTCTTTCTAACTATTTTTTGCACCCCTTAACTATACCATATCCCTGTCAGGCCCCCCAACTACCCTTCCCAGCCTCTGGTAACCATCCTTCTACTCTTGATGTCCATGAGTTCAGTTGTTTTGATTTTTAGATCCCACAAATAAGTGAGAACATATGATGTTTGTCTTTCTTTGCCTGGCTTATTTCACCTAACATAATGATCTCTAGTTCCATCCCTGTTGTTATAAAGGTACTACATTTGTATTGGTATTTCTTTCTTTTTATTGCTGAATAGTTTCAATTGCATGGATATGCTGTGTATGGGGACTATTTGAAAGTTCCTCAGGTGATTATAATGTGCAGACTGGGTTGAGAACCATTGAACTAAACCATTCTGTTATGAATAAGAACATTTGAGACACCCAAGCAAACATTTTTAAGTTTCTCCTGGTTTATAAAAAATCAGTGAAACTCCCCCAGCCTTATACCTCCATGCAGCGAGTGGCTTTTTCCTTGAACCTTCCTTCTTGATAAACTTCTTGGCTAGCGTCCCCAGTTTCTCTCTCCTACTTACTTCTCAGCCTTCTAGCACCAAGCTTCTGACATGACCACTGCTTGAAAACTGCTAAAGCTGAAGGAGATATTTCTGTCAACCTTGGTCTTAGCCTTGGGAGCATTTGTTCCAGGAATTGCTTCCTCCTTCTTGAAACTTGGACACTACATCATCAAAATTTTATGTTTTTCCTCTGAATTCCTGTTTCTTTTCATAAATATTTTATTTGTATTAGTTTTCTACTATTGTGTAACAAATTACCACACAGTGACTTAAAACAACACACATTTATGATCTCAGTTTCTGTGGATCAGGAGTGCAGGCACAGCTTACCTGGGTCTTCTGCTAGCATCTGTGAAGGCTGCAATTAAAGGGTTGGCCATACTTGGGCTGTGTTCTCATCTGGAGTCTTGACTGGGGAAAAATTCCATCCCAAACTCAGTGAGGTTGCTGCCAGAATTCATTTCCTTGTAGCTATATGACTGAGGGTCAGGCTTCTTGTTGAGTGTCAGCTGGGGGTGGCTATTAGGTCTTAGAGGGTCACTCATGGTTTTCTGCCATCTGGCCTTCTCACAACAAGGCAGTTTATTTCTCCAAGCCTGTAAGAGTCTCTCACTCTAGTCAGTTAAGGCAGAAAATTATATAATATAAAGTAATCACAAGAGTGGCATCCATCGCCTTTGCCGTATTCTATTGGTTTGAATCAAGTTACAGGTTCTACCTGCACTCGAGGGGAGGGAATTATGTAAGAACATGGTTTACTTTGGTGTTACTTTATGGTGTATCTACCATATCATTATAACATATTTTAAGGCACAGAAACCCATAGGAGATAACAGGAAGGATACTCATCTGTAAAATTTCTTGACACTTTGCCTTGTGTGTTTCAGAATTTTCTAAAGTAATAAAACCCATCAGATAGAGTTGCAGTCCCTTGTGTTTGTCCCCTTCTTATTTCTCCCTCTTGTCCAGGAAGTAACCACTATAAAAAATTTGGAATTGCACATTTTTATTCATGTTTTTATACTATTTCTATAAATGTATATATGCATGTATGGAAACTATATAAATGGAATCATACTGTACATGGGCTTCAACTTTCAATATTCCCTTTTTGAGGTTCATCCATGGTGACACATGTGGCTTTAGTCTATTCATTTGCTTTGTGTCCTAGTATTATCTCTCTCTCTTTTTGAGACAGAGTCTTCCTCTGTCACCCAGGCAGGAGTGGTATGATGTTGGCTTACTGCAGCCTCTGCCTCCTGGTTCAAGTGATTCTCCTGCCTCAGCCTCCCGAATAGCTGGGACTACAGGCACGTGCCACCACACCCTTCAACTTTTTTTTTTTTTTTTTTTTGTACTTTTAGTAGAGATGGCATTTCACCACATTGGCTAGGCTGGTCTTGCACTCCTGACCTCAAGTGATCCACCGCCCTGGCCTCCCAAAGTGCTAGGATTACCGGCATGAGCCACCATGCCTGGACATATTCCATTTATTTATTCATTCTCCTATTGATGGACATATAGATTGCTTCCAATTTCTTTTTGCTGATGCATCAATCATGCAAGAAACATTGTCATACCCATCTCTTTGAGCATGTGTGTGAGAATTTTTTTCCTAAAGGACACACCTGGAAATAGAATCGTTTGGTTGTGAGGTAATGCATCGGCAATTTTAAAATACATTTCCCAGTTTCTCTTCATAGTGGGTATAACCATTTTCACTCCCACCAAACACCCTTGTCTTTTTCATATCTGCCCAAGACTTGAGGTTGTCTGTTTCTTTTAATGATTATAAATCTGATAGGTGTAAAAATTGCTGATATGTTCAGTCACATTCCTGATTTTTAGTGAACTAGAACATAGTTTTTATTTTTATTCACCATCCAGGTTTCCTCTTCTAGGAATTGCCTATTCATAGACATAAAATTTATCCCTTTTTTTCAAACATGTGTCAAGGTGACCCGACCTGGAAGAGGGACCTGTTTCTACCTGTGGTTAGAATGTGGCACTGCTTTAGCCCCTCAGTGGCCTTTTCATGGTGGCTTTTGTCAGGAATGGCAGCAATGAGATCCTCTGAAGTTCTTCATAATCAAGAGATGTCAACAAGGAAGACCCGGGACAAGAGGGGAGGAATGGGGAGGACTCCACGTGGAGATGATAGCTGGACAGCTGAGGATGCATGAAATGCACGCAGAGACTCCCAGAAATATTGAACAGGGGACCTGCGTGAATACATGGAGGCAAGCCATGGAAAATGTAAGACACTGGGATGAATGGAGCATTTTCAAGGTAGCTCTTTCTGTGTTTATAGCAAGGTGAGGCAGGGGTATATTTGTTACACAGTTTAGCCTTTTCTGGACTTGGGGATACTATTGGCATCAGTTAGTTCCTTTTATAACTCTAGCAGCATATGTGTAAACCAAAAAGAAAAGTTAATCTTCCAAAAACAATGTTGCTTCCCCAGGCATGATCTCTCATATCATAAGGTCTCCTTCTGTCTCCTTGATTCATTTCTTCATTTCCTTCATGTCTACAGGAATAAATCACAGAAGGCTAGTTCTGGGATCATCACTTAGGGGTTATTTGGAACCCATGTATGGGAGAGTTTTGTCTTAAGCTAAGCAGAGCTCTTGTAAGCCTTGTCTGTCCACATCATCTGGATCCCTCATCAGGTGTTTGTGCGTAAGGACCAAACTCCAAAATCCATGGTAGCCAATAATCCTGACATTTTTGGAGGACCAGCTACTTCAGAGTGACTTTCAATCTTGGATTATTTAGGTCACTAATTAAAACAACAACAACAACAAACTGCCTTTGTGACCTCAATATCCATCCATCCATCTATACATCCATCCATTGATTTATTTATCTATTCATCCCCAAACTATTTAATGAGTACAACTACTAAGTACTGGGCTTAAGGTTTGCAGAAGAAAATATTTTGTATTCTCCTGAGTAATGTGAACTTATTCCAGGATTCAATACCCTCCTTTTCATACTTATGCATAAATCACCTATAAGAAAACCCTTTTGTTTTATTTTATGAAGTGTAAATGTTGTTTTCTGATAATAAAATTGATGTATAATTGTATTAGTTCATCCTTGCACTGCTGTGAAGAAATACCTGAGACTGGGTAATTTATAAATAAAAGAGGTTTAATCGGTTCACAGTATAGGAAGCACAGTGGCTTCTGCTTCTGGGGAGGCCTCAGGAAACTTACAATCACAGCAGAAGATGAAGTGGAAGCAGGCATGTCTTACATGGCTGGAGGGAGCAGGAGGAAGAGAGAGAATGGGGAGGTGCCACATGCTCTTAAACAGATCTCATATTAACTCACTCACTCACTCCCATGAGAACAGCACCAAGGGGATGGTGCTAAACCATTCGTGAAAGTTCCAATCACCTCCCACCAGGCCCCACCTTCAACATTGAGGCTTACAACTGACCATGGTATCCAAACCATAGCAATAATCGTTGAAAAACCTTCATTAAATCAGATATTTACAATTTAGATAGTGAAAATTCTTTTAAAACAAGATGGAATTATACTATACCTCCTATTTTCACTTAAAAATCTAAGGTAGATATCTTAGCCATGAGTCCATACAGATCTAACTCATTATTTTCAAATAGCTTCATAGTATTCCATTTTACGGAGGTACAATAATTTATTTAATACATTTCTTATTGATGAGCATTTAGAACAGTTCCAGTAATTTACTGTTATCAAACAAGGCTGCAATACCTTTGTTCAAATATATTTGTATGGTTTGTCAACAATTCAAAACATGATAAATGCCTAGAACTAGGATTGCTGAGTCAAATGGTAGGTGTATTAATAGCTATTGCTAACTTCCCTTCTAAAAAGTTTATGTGAATTTAAACTACTACTAGTAGTATGTACGAGTGTACACATTTCCCCACACTCTCACTCACACTGTGTGTCAGTGACATCTGGCAAGATAGAATAACCTCATGTTGTTTTACTTTGCATCTCTTGAAGTAATAATAAGCTTTAATATGTTTTCAGATGTTTATTATCATTAGTGGTTCTTATTTTATAAATTGCCTCTTCAAATTCTTTGCAAATTTTTACAGGGGTGTTCTTCTTTTTCTTTTTTCTTTTTAACTACTCTTTATAGATTGAGTATGGATAAGGTTTGGCTGTGTCCACACCCAAATCTCATCTTGAATTGTAGTTCCCATAATCCCCACGTATGTGGGAGGGACCGGGTGGGAGGTAATTGAATCATGGGGGCAGTTTCCCTCTTGCTGTTCTTGTGATAGTGAGTTCTCATGAGATCTGGTAGATTTATAAGGGGCTTTTCCCCCTTTTTGCTTGCACTTCTTTTTGCTGCCGCCATGTGAATAAGGACGTATTTACTTCCCCTTCCACCATGCTTGTAAGTTGCCTGAGGTATCCCCAGCCATGCTGAACTGTGAGTCAATTAAACCTCTTTCCTTTATAAATTACCCACTGTTGGGTATTTCTCCATAGCATCATGAGAATGGGCTAATACAGGCATGAACTCAGTATTTTGTGTGTGTGTTCATGTTTTTTACAGTATGCTTGCTTTAAATATATTGACAATGTCTTTTATCATGAAGGAGTTTAAACTGTTTGTATGATTAGGTCTGTAAGTCTTTTCATTCCTTTTCCTCCCTGGTTTTTGGTGTTATGCCAAGGAAAGCTATTGTTAAAGTAAATTAAAATGAAAACCAAGTGGGAAGAATCCCTGAGCAAACAAAGCCAGTTTGGTCTCAATAAGTGACCTTAACCTTGTTTGATTTGCAAACATAAGTGAAACTTAACTTGTGCTATTTCTTATAAAAGACTGTATTAAAGAATAACAGAACTGAAGCTCAACCAAACAGAAGCAGCCAACAAACTTATAATTATATAACTAGAAACTTTTCAACAGTATAGACTAAATAAGACAACTGTGTACTGTAACCAATCAAATATTCTTTGCTTTACTTTTATGTTTGTCCTATAAAAAGTCCCCCTTCCATTCCCTTGGCAGAGCTCCCAAACCTCTTCTGGTTTGGAGTTGTCCAATACATGAACTGCTGTTTGCTCAAATAAACTTTTAAAAATTTTGATTGTGACTCAGTTTACCATACCTACACTCAAGATAATAAACAGTGTCCCTTCTACTTTTCTACAAAGGAAAATATCCCTTTGGCATATTTTCCTTCTTATGTTTAAATAAATGTATCATGGATTTGTAATCCATTTTGATCATATCTTAAATTCCTACATATACATGAATCTATCTAGATTCAACCTCCTCATTTTACAGATGGAGAAACTCAACAGAGGATGGATTTAGTGACTTCACTCAGGCAGTTAATGGCAGGGCTACAATTAGAACCCAGGACTTTCTCTTTCTTAACCAGGGCTTTTTTCAACTTTACCCCTTTGCCATTAAGTGATTTGTATCATAAATGCCTTCTTATTTCTAGGACATGTATAGCAATATCTAACCCAGTGGTTTTCAGCTGGTATGCCAAAGAAAACTTCTTAGATCTTCCCTCAAACTGGAAGCAATGAATATAATTTTATTTCAGCTACAGTTGAAGACTCATACTGTAAATCAACGTCTATCAGGCTGGGCACAGTGGCTCATGCCTGTAAAATCCCAGCACTTTGGGAGGCCGAGGCAGGTGGATCACTTGAGGTCAGGAGTTTGAGACCAGCCTGGCCAACATGGTGAAACCCTATCTCTATTAAAAATACAAAAATTAGCCAGGCGTGGTGGCACACACCTGTAGTCCCAGCTACTGGGGAGGCTGAGGCAGGAGAATCGTTTGAACGCAGGAGGCGGAGGTTGCACTGAGCCGAGATTGTGCCACTGCACTCCAGCCTGGGTGACAGAGCGAGACTCCGTCTCAAAATAATAATAATAATAATAAAATCAATGTCTATCAGATGAGTGTGCATGGGATTTACTGTGGAGCAGGCATAACTTCCTGGAAGAAAGAAGTAAGAAGTATAGTGTAACATCATGCTGGTGACAAAGAAAGGCAATGCTTATAATGGTGTTGTATTTTACACTATCTGGAATCACTTTATTACAAATTCAACCAGAAGATCATTAAGTGAATTGTTCGTATTAAAACTCTCAAATAGGTAAAGGTTTTGTATGTTATGAATACAATATATCTTTAAAAAGAACTTAGTTTACTGTGGAGTCATTTACCTCAAATGGTAAAACTTAAAAAAATCATTGATTTCCCACACTAGTCATTATTTTCTGAGTGGAGTAATTATCCGAACAGTCTTTGAAAAGCTTTTTAAACAATCAGAGAAAAGGTGTTTAATGTCCATAATACAAAAGTAAAATGTGAAATCTATTAGTGTCAGGATAATTGCTATTTTCATCAAGAAAACTGTTAGTAGCTCAATCAACAATGCCTACTCTATGATGATGTTGGGAACATGTAAACATTTGAACTTGTTTACCATCTTTAAAGGAGAAATTAGTGTTTGTGATTTACATTCTGCATGAATTAAGAGGGACTTTAAAAATCTTCCCTTGATAGAGATAAGGTTCTAAAATTAACAAGTAAGGTGGAACTGAGTATAACAAAAAGTGCCATTGAAAGTCCATCAAATCATTAATGAGATAGAGTGTGGTATACAGCAGAAGCATCCTCTGGCATGGAAATGTCAGAGAGAAGCCCTCTAAAATAAAATGATATTTATTCAGCGCATTGCCATGAGAATACACATGCCACAGTAAACTAGGTGTGTATTCAAGGAGGTAAAGGAAGGCAAAGATTTTTAAAGGAAAACTGCAGGAGAACTATGTAATTGTTTTGAGATAATCATCCTTGGCTACAAGGGTCAATAACGAGGGTGATACTGGTCTGAGATTCGACAGACAGTTGCTGGGCAGACGTCCTCACAGAAGTATTTTTTGTGTAAGGCTGCAATGGCGTTTGTGCAAGATTGCAGATTTTGTGGGGTCTTTTGTCCCAGTTTTGTTGTCAGGAATACAAGCGTGAGAACCCTCTCTTCATAGCCTTCCCTGCCCTATTCGTCAGGATTTTTGTTTGTTTTTTTAAACACAAACGACTCCATTTTGATTCTTACAACTTTCACAAGAACAAATGTTTATTCAATTGAGGACCAATTGAAGTAGTTGGCTTGTGTTTAGGGGTCAATTACATGAAAAAACCCATGTTTTCAGGCATGAGATCACTCCAGGTCAGCTGAGGTGCTCACACTCTGAGAGGCATGTGGAAACAGAGACTGAATCAATTGTAGATTTGTGTGTCCCATTTCAAACTCATTCTCATGTTGCAGAATGCAGAGGGTGACTCTTACTATGTATATTGTTATGATTATCATTGCTGTGTCTCATTTTATTTCTTCCTTTGGTTCAGTTAAATATCGGTTTGTTGAAATTCCACTAACACAGATTTTATAAGAATTTTACTTTGAGAATAGGTAAGAAGGCACAGGTAGGCCAGTGAGTTTCTAGTAAAACACAGCTAGTGCTGAAGGGCCACTAAATAATGAGTTCAATAAATGCAAATGCTGTTTTAATTTTTATTTTGAGATGGAATCTCACTCTACTGCCCAGGCTGGAGTTCAGTTGCACCATCATAACTCACTGCAGCCTAGCACTCTTGTGCTAAAGTGATCCTCCCACTTCAGCCTCCCGAATAGCTGGGACTGCAGGCATGCACCACCACACTCTGCTATTAAAAAAAATTTTCTTTGGTAGAGATGGGGTCTCACTATGTTGTCCAGGCTGGTTTTAAACTCCTGGCCTCAGGCAATGTTTCTGCTTCAGCCTCCCAAAGTGCTGGAATTGTAGGCATGAGCCAACACAACCGGCTAGATGCTTTTGTAAAAGGACCAAAATATGACTGTTTTATAGCAGCAATTACATTGCAATTACTATTGACTTTTAAAGACTTGGTTTGATTCTGTTAATCCCTTCAAGCATGTTCCTGAAAGTTTGGGTATTTCAAAGTGGGCTGTAAACAAAAAGAAACTGAAAAATCTCTGCTTTAGATTTATTTTAATTAATTTAAAATTATCTAAATTAATCTGCAATTTTTCCCCCTGATTAAATTGTCTTCCTCACTCAGGAAGAATAGATAATAGAAACAGAGTACCAGTAATAAAGTTATCTGTGGGTTGTGGAGAGAGTATTGGTGCTTGCAGTATATTTGGAAAGAGGCACAATTGGAGAAAAAAAAAATGCTAGAGGAAATGTAAGAGTTACTGAAGTCATTTAGATTAGAGAAGAACTCCCTGTAAGTTTAGGCCAGATGCAGTAGCTCACACCTGCAATTGCAGCACTTTGGGAGGCCGAGGCGTGCAGATCACTTGAGGTCTGGAGTTCGAGACCAGCCTGGCCAACATGGTAAAACCCTGTCTCTACTAAAAATATAAAAATTAGCCTGGTGTGCATCAGAGTGAACAGGCAACCTACAGAATGGGAGAAAATTTCTTCAATCTACCCATCTAACAAAGGGCTAATATCCAAAATCTACAAAGAACTTAAATAAATTTATAAGAAAAAAACCAACCCCATAAAAAAGTGGGCAAAGGATATGAACAGACACTTCTCAAAAGAAGACATTTATGCAGCCAACAGACACATGAAAAAATGCTCATCATAACTGGTCATCAGAGAAATGCAAATCAAAACCACAATGAGATACCATCTCACGCCAGTTAGAATGGCGATCATTAAAAAGTCAGGAAACAACGGATGCTGGAGAGGATGTGGAGAAACAGGAATGCTTGTACACTGTTGGTGGGAGTGTAAACTAGTTCAACCATTGTGGAAGACAGTGTGGCGATTCCTCAAGGATCTAGAACTAGAAATACCATTTGTCCCAGTGATCCCATTACTGGGTATATACCTAAAGGATTATAAATCATGCTACTACAAAGACACATGCACACGTATGTTTATTGTGGCACTATTCACAATAGCAAAGGCTTGGAACCAATCCAAATGTCCATCAATGATAGACTGGATTAAGAAAAAGTGGCACATATACACCATGGAATACTACGCAGCCATAAAAAAGGATGAGTTCATGTCCTTTGCAGGGACATGGATGCAGCTGGAAACTATCATTCTGAGCAAACTATCACAAGGACAGAAAACCAAACACCACATGTTCTCACTCATAGGTGGCAATTGAACAATGAGAACACTTGGACACAGGGCATGGAACATCACACCCCAGGGCCTGTCATGGGGTGGGGGACAGGGGGAGGGATAGCATTAGGAGAAACACCTAATGTAAATGATGAGTTGATGGGTTCAGCAAACCCACATGGCACATGTGTACCTATGTAACAAACCTGCACGTTGTGCACATGTACCCTAGAACTTAAAGTATAATTTAAAAAAAGTTAGCCTGATGTGGTGGTGTGCACCTGTAATTCCAGCTACTTGGGAGGCTGAGGCACAAGAATAGCTTGAACCTGAGAGGTGGAGGTTGTAGTGAGCCGAGATTGCGCCACTGCACTCCAGCCTGGGCAACAGAGCAAGTCTCCATCTCAAACAAAAAAACAAAAAACAAAAAACAAAAATAACTCCCTGCAAGTTTAAAGAGGATTCTGAAATAAAGAGCAAGACTGTTTGTTGTTCTGTAGAAGAAGAAATAAAGAAGAAACAATTAGATGTTAATGAGCGAAGGTTGGTCTTGCTACTTGGAAGAATTTTTAAGTTCTCATCCTATTCTTCTACTTTCTTTCCTAATACCATTTATTAGTCATAGCATTGTTAAGTTTTTTTGGGTATTTGTAAGCTGAAATATTGTTCCACAAGCTTTGGGAGAGAACTGACATTGGCTCTGAAGGATGTGTTCACATGTGGTTAGTTAGGGAAGGGCAATGGGAGGAGAGATATTTCTTTGGGGTCTTCTCCAGCCACTTAGGAAAGTGACACATGACTAGTCAATCTTGAAATCCAATGACCAAGAGTCACTGGATAAATTTGGTAAAGCTTATCCATCTCAGAAGTATTTAAAGACTCTGCAAGATAATTCTCTCACTTTTGAGAGAGATAAGCCATTACATCTAAGAGTGCTCACAGATAGAATCTTTTGAGGAAAGAGTGATGGGACCGTGGGGTCTAACTCTGTGCTAGATTCACTTTCCCTTTTGGGGGGTTCCCACTTCAAGGTTGTTTTGGCTTTGGTTGGGGATACCCTCTTATTTAATATTTCAATTCAACCAGTACAAGATGGATTTTTTTTTTTTTGAGACAGGATCTTGCTCAGTCACCTAGGCTGGAGGACAGTGGAGCAATCACTGTGACCTCGACCTCCTGGGCTCAAGAGATTCTGCTGCCTCTGCCTCTTGAGTAGCTGGGACTATAGGCATGCACCACCATGCCCAGCTATTTTTTTAAAATTTTAATTTCTTTTTGTAGAGACAGGGTCTTGCTATGTTGCCCAGGCTGGTCTTCAACTCCTGACCTTGAGCAATCCTCCTACCTCTGCCTCCCAAAGTGCTGGGACTACAGATGTGAGCCACCACACCTGGCCCAAGATGGAATGTTTAAACAGGACTTTACTAAAGCTCTGGGTCTATGGCAGAAAACCAACAAAGAGAACCTTAAGGAGACAGTCAAATTAAAAGTAAAGTTGACTCATCAGTAGGGTTTCAAGAAAAACAGCCAGTTTTCTTTCAGCCCCACCTTTGTCTTATCCTCCCTAGGAAAACTAAAATAAGCAGATCCCTCTCTCCTACTTTCCAAGGCTCATTTCCCTTTCCCTGTTTGATGACCTGCCTTTTCTCTTTATGACAGATACTATGATGACCTCATTCTCTGGGAAAGACCCTGTACTTTCCCTCATGGAGATGGCCTTTCCCTTGCAGACCTGGCTGGGGCAGCCATGTCAGAGCATATCACCATGCCCCAGACAATCAAATACACTAAGAGGCACACACATTTAGCAACAGGGGGTCATTTCCTTACAGCGTCTTAGAAATCAGATATTTACAAGATTAATTTACAATAACAAGAAGCCCTTGTCTGCAACTGCAGAATATTTGTGGCCTCTCTCAGAGCCTGGGAGACACACTTGACATAGTGAGGACAGGTCACCTGTATCAACCCTCCCCCAGAATTAGGTTGCTATTAGTTGACTCCAGGGATATCACTTACCTCTATCTGATGAGATGAGCAAGTGGCCTTTATGCAGCTGCCATCACATCACCCTGAAGGCTGAAGTTTAGCTCCAGAGACTAGCAGTGGATGAAAATGGAGAGAGAGAACTAAGGTAAAATAGGGAGCCACATTTCATGGTATTGAAATTGAATATGGAGTGACTGATGATCTGCCTTCTTTCTTCCAAATTCTTGATGTTCTGTCTTTTTCAGGGACTCTCACTGGATGACTGAAATAAGTGATATGCTTTCTCTACTTTGGAAAAGAGGGACAGCTGGGAGCATGACATTGCTAAGCTCTTTCTTTCTGGGAGTGGCCTTGTCATCTCAAAGTAGATGCAGTTTCTCAGAGAAGTCCCAGAAGAGGCAAAGTTCTTCTTGTCCCTACTAGAGAGAACTAAATAATAAGAGAGTTTATTAATAATGTTTCAGATACTTAAAGTTATTATAAATAATTCCCACCACCCTGTTTTGAAGTCGGTACTATTGTTATCTCCATTTTACAGATGATGCAATAGTAGTAGCTCAGAGACTGGAAGTGACTTGTCCAACATCACTCAGGTGAAAAGTGGTGGCATCAGGATTTGAACTCAGACCTGCATGACCCACATCCTTTTCACATCAGGAGCCTGGTTTCAGGAGCTGCAATGCTTTGAATGTGTAACTACTTTGATTTTGGCACCAATTTTTTCACTTTTAGAAGTGCTATTTGGTGTCCGTATTGAGTCAATTACAATTATTATTATTATTTTTTATTTCAGAGCCTTTAGAGAACTGTGTGACAGCTGGGGGAGATGGGTAGGGTGGGACTGAAAATCTCTGACCCTGAAGATAGGAATAGGCTTTTACAGGCACCCAACACCCCTGCTTTAAGGACAGTGAGGTGCTGAGAGGACCAGGAGGATCTTTTCTTGCCTTGCTTCTTTAAGTATTTTAGTTGTACAGCACACCTGACTGTTTGCCTCCATGCGGGTTATGGAATTCCCTGAGCCACTTTTATAAATTCCCTAGGTCATGAAGAGGTGAATGTAGAAAGAGAACCATATTCTCTTTCTAGTAGTTCTACATTAGGAATTCTTGTTCTTAATCTTTCAGAAGCATTTGGAAGGTAACTTCTCTCAACTTTCCTCTTTTACTGTACTCCCAATGGAGAATGAAGGTCTTGACTGATTTGTAGAATCGGGAGAAGGTACACAATATATGTGAATAAACCTCCCTCCCTCCCTCCCTATTTCTCAGGCCAGCCTGACCCTAGGAGGCAGGAATTCTTCCTATGCTCCCGTCTTCCCTGTAGGACCCCCTAACTGGGTTGTGGTCCATGCCTGGCTTCCAAAGGAAGGTCTAGAGGCCCATCTCTAACTGTCTTCACCAACAAGGCTTGATTTGGAGACAGAAAATCTGCTTGCAACAGTCTGCATAACTGTTTTCTGTGCAGTCCCAGACTATCTCATGGGTGTCTGGCTGAAGACTGAAACTCACTGGGTGGGAAATCTGTTGGCCCTGGGTCCGGCTGAAGTTCTCCAATCCACCCTTACAGTAATAGAGCTTAAAATTGATATCTACCAACCAATTTCTTCATTTTATTTCTCAACTTGTTCCAAAGCCAGAGTGGGGGATAGATGGGTGGGATTTATCAGCCCCCTGAGACCTCAACAGTGAGATGTGCACACACTGTGGACTCTCAAGCAATTGTGAAGAGTCTGAATTTGTGAAATGGCCAAATGACGATTATCTGGGAGAGCTGTATGGTATTTTCCCAGTTAACCAAGTGTTACTAAGTAGCCAAGTGGTTCTCAATCCTGGCTGCATGTCAGAATTACCTGGGAATGTTTTTAAAAATTCTGATGACTTGGGCTCATTGCTGGAGGTTCTGACTTACTTCTTCTGGGAATAGTGTTTGAATATAGGTTTTAATAAAAACTCCAGGTGAGTCTAAAGTGCAGATAAGAGCTGCTGAAGCCTCCTTATTTAACAGATCAGTGTTTCCCAAAGTATAATGCTTGTAACACTCAGTGTGTGAGTCGGCTTAGATAGCACAAAGTTTGACTTTGAAAACACTAAAACATATTGTGAAAAAGTTTACCTTTCTAATTTTCTATTAGTTCTTCTGATTAGATTAAAAAGAATGTCTCAGTATGGCAGTAGTAGACGCCTAACACCTATCTTTTAAAAGAGTGTAGATATCAAGCTCACACAATAGTATGTATTGAAAATTATTGATAGTCTTTAATCTTTTTTTTACAATTTCTATCTATTTATGGTAGGTGATACTGGCTTTCCGTTTATGGTGGGGATATGAAGTTTTCTTTAAAAAATCAGTGGCTCTCCATCTTGGCTTCACATTGAAATCATTTTAGGAGCTTTAAAAAATAATGATACCTGGATTTCATCTTAGGCATTAGGATTTTCAAAAGCTCCCCAAAGGTGTAAAACTGCAGTTTTAAAGTGCGTCAGTTTAGTGCTCCTCAAACTTTAATATGAATTACCTGGAGATCTTATTAAAATTCAGATTCTGGTTCAGCAGGCTGGGGTGGGCACAGTGATTCTACATTTCTTGCAAGCTCCCAGGTGATGCTGATGCTGCTGATAGGTGGGCCATGATTTGAGGAGCAAGGCCCTCGTGGAACTTGCTTCTGTACTTTAAATATTTTCATAAAGTAAACAATGCTGTCTCAATTTATTTTTTATGGGAGGATTGCAAATCTTCTTAAAATGGGTATTAGTCTTCTTGTTCAAAAGTCATGGCCAAATAGTTTCAGCACCTTGGACAGAAGCACAGGCAATTATTTTAAAGGGCTAGTGCCTAAGCTGGAGAAGGAAAAAGAGTTAAAAATCTCTTGTGTATTAAAGCATTTGTAAAATAATGATGTTGAAAATATTATTGAAGATTGTGAAAGAAAGTTTAAAAATAATTATGCCTCTTTTTAAATGCCTACCCTGCTGGTAGACCCTGTATTGTTTTATCTGCCATCTTGTAGGGCTAATGCTCTGCCAGATATCATCAGACACATTAGTTGGGTTATGAAATAGAACCATACAGTATTATGCACTGATGATTTCTGACTCCTCATTAATTGAACTAGAAGATGGCTTTAGCCTAAATATCAACCTTGGATGATGAAAAGGCTAATGGGACCAAACTGCAAATTCAGGAGAGAGAGTGTGGAATGTCAACAACAGCATGTCAAAGTGGCCTGAAGTGAAGTGGCTCTTGGAGTCAGACAGAACTGAACTTGAATGCCAACTCATGAATTACTCACTGTGACCTTGAGTATGTTTAATTTAATCCCCATGAGATTCAGTGTTCTCCTCTGGATAATGGAGGTCACAACACGGTCTTTCAAGAATTGTGAAGATTAAGTGACATAAGAAGATCACATCAGTTTCTTACTTCAAACTTTTCAATGGCTTCCCACCAAATTCCTTTTTAGGGACCACAAAGCTCTACATGTGATATGGTTTGGCTCTGTGTCCCCACTCAAATCTCATCTTGTAGCTCCCATAATTCTCATGTGTTGTGGGAGGGACCCAGTGGGAGACAATTGAATTATGGGGGCAGATCTGTCCCATGCTGTTGTCATGATAGTGAATGGGTCCCATGAGATGGTTTTAAAAACGGGAATTGACCTGCACAAGCTCTCTTTTTGCCTGCCACCATCCATGTAAGATGTGACTTGCTCCTCCTTGCCTTCTGCCATGATTGTGAGACTTTCCCATCTATGTGGAACTGTGAGTTCTCCATTAAACTTCTTTCCTTTGTAAATTGCCCAGTCTCAGGTATGTCTTTATCGGCAGCATGAAAACTGACTAACACAACATGATTCAGCTCCTCCCTGTCCCTTCCTTCTTTTGTTCCATACCACTCTACCCCTGGATCACTAGGTTTCAGCAATATTAATCTTCTAATTGTTCCATGAGCACCCAAGGTTATTCCAATCTCAAGGCTTTTGTACTCTCTGACCCCTTTGCCTAGCATGCTCTTTTTATGACTGTCTGCTTTTAATGTGGATTTCAGTTCTGTTGTCACCTTCTCAAATAGACCTTCTTTGACTCATTTATCTATCTAGTGTTATTTCTGCCTGACCTTAGTCACTTACAATTATTTATTTCCAGCACTTATCACTACTTGAAATTATTTTATTTGCTTTCTTATGTACTGTCTTTCTCATTACAGTGTATGTGCCAAAAGGTCAGGGGTCTTATCTATCTTGTTCATTAATGAATCACTATGCCTAGAATACATCTTGACACATAGTGTATTTCAATAAGTATTAGTCAAATAAATAAATGACTAGAGAAGTGCCTGGGACTTGTTAAATGAGTGCCTACTCTCTTGACTCTTTCCATCTCCATCTCTAAAGGTGTTCAAGGTGACAGCCTGGTCATTGGAGATGCTAAGGAATAATATAAGAAACTTCTGGCCAGGCACGGTGGCTCATGCATGTAACCCTAGCACTTTCGGAGGCCAAGATGGGTGGATCACTTGAGGCCAGGAGCTTGAGACCAGCCTGGCCAATATGGTGAAACTCTGTCTCTACTTAAAAACAAAAACAAAAACAAAAACAAAAAAAACAGCCGGGCGTGATGGCGTGTGTCTGTAGTCCCAGCTACTTGGGAGGCTGAGGCAGGAGAATTGCTTGAACCTGGGAGGCAAAGGTTGCAGTGAGCTGTGGGCTGAGATCACATCACTGCCCTCTAGCCTAGGCAACAGAGCAAGACTCTGTCAAAAAAAAAAAAAAAAAAAAAGAAAAGAAGAATATAAGAAATTTCTAACCATGAAGATTTCTAACCATGAAAGTTTAAAGCAAGCTTGCAGAAGTATATAATCTTTCTACATTTCTGGGAACTGTACAGAAAGGTAATTGGAAAGAGGATCTACTAACATCTAGGTTGTGTAGCTTTGGCTCTCTTGGGCCTTAGCTTTCTTTTTTGACCTTTGAGTGAAACAGTCTCTAAGATCCTCTGTGACTTTCCAATGGTTCAGTGATAGTAAAAGAAGAATCTAACCTTTGTGGTTATTCTGCGTTTGCTTCCTGTCTCACTTTAGTCTTGATCTATTCTTTACTGCCTTATGCCCTGGGGTCTTCCCACTGTGGACTGCACCACCTGCTCTCCTTTTCTGGCTGGCTTCTGTTTGAACTTGGCCAGTGGGTGGCATCAGCATGATATCAGAGGTAAGGAAGAAAGAGGCATTCCTTCTGCTCTGGCATCATATCTCTGACTGTGATGTGGCCCCTTCTTGGTGGAAGGCCCCTCCTCCAAGGCTCTAGACCTCACTGAGGTCTACTAGGCTCTAGACCTCACTGAGGTCCACTAACATCCTTTCCTCTCATTGCTTCATTAGGAGAGGTAAAGCTTCCTGTTATCTCTAGTTCCAAGGTACCTCAACAGCTAATGGAAAGCTTCCTCACAGGAAGCTTCACCTCTCATAAGTTCCCCTAATCTTGCTCAAGCCATTGTTAGCAGTTTTTTGGTTAAAGTCATTTCATGAAACCATCTGATTGAGATTTGTTTCCCTGTAAGACTCTGATCGACAACCCATTTTGAAATATATCCAGAAAAGCAGATTCTAAGAACTCCCACTGAAAATCATTTGTGGTGTTAATAGACATTTCTGTAATGATTTCTTCTTTGGGTTTAATCTGGAACTCTCATACTGCAGTTGAAGTCTCACATCGTCTTGTTCCATCTCCAGTGGAGAGAAATGTCATGTTACTGCCATTCTCTCGGTAACAAAGCTCCAAAGACATGGCAACTCCTCAGGCAGAGTTGATGAGAAGACATCTTTCTTCCCTGTGGCCTTATTTACTCCTTCTAAATCAGAACATTCCCCCCATCTGCTTTTTTTTTTTTTTTTTTTGGCATGACAGTGACACATTCTGCCAATAAGCCCAGGAAATTCACAGTATCTATTTATCCCAGTAGACATGAGCCTCTTATCCCCCTTGTTGTGTCTGGCAAGTACTTGGGATTAATTGCACACTCTCCAAAGAGGCCGGACTATCACATTTAGCTGAGTGCACTAATAAAAGGATTATTATTTAATGGTTCAACCTCCTTCAACTCTCCTTTGTCCTGCCTCCCTGAATTGGAGAACAAAATTAATGAGGCTGCTGTGGCCATGCCCAAGAGCTTCTGTTTGCCACCCTTTCAGCAAATTCTTTGCTTTTCTGCACTTCCCCCTCAACTCCTAAGTCACTTTTATTCTCCAAGTTGATGCAAAGATGGATTGTGACAATAGTTTGTGGGTGGCTGTCAGAATTGATGGTGGTTTGTGTGGGAAAATGCATAGCAAGTTTGAGAGCTATGGTTAGGATTCCACATAGAGTCAATTAAAAAAAGTTCTACTCACAAGGAAAGGTCAAGCTGAGAGTTTTAATTATGAGGCTGTTATAATATATATCATGCCTGAATGATCTGGGTTTGAAGAGTTGCAAAATTATGCAATGCACCCAACTCTAAAATGGGCATAAAACCAATGTGATGTTTTGGGGGAATGACTTAGAATTTTGCAAAGAAGATAATGAGGTGAAGTGAAAAGGATGGAGTGTTGAGTGACCTGGGTTCCATTCAGGCCCAGATCATTGACCTCTTTGGGCCTAGCATCCTCACCTATAAAATGATGTACAATTGGAGGCTTTTTAAAAAACTCTGCTACTAATAATCACTTTATAAGTTACCTACTGGAATTATAATTAGCTCCATTTTATGGAGAGAAAATTGAGACTCAGAGAGAGAGAGATTGAGAACATTGCTCAAGTTCACATAGCCAGGAAAGTTATAGCCTGTAATAACTGACTCCAAATCTTGGGTTCCTGACTATAAGAGTTTCTACATACCTTGAAGACAACTGGAAAAAATTTAAATTATGCACCGTTTTCTAGATGAGGAAAGTCCTTAGGAAATCTCCAAGGACTTGCTCAAGGCCATTCATCTAGTAAATGGGGGAGCTGGGACATGAACTCGTGACTGTCTGACATCAAAGCCCAAGCTCTTAGACATGATGCTGGATTTCCAGTTATGATTATTAAAAAATCATCCTTCACTGTCTCAAAGATGTACAGAGGATGTGATCAGCAGAGAATTCAGATTTATACCCAGTAAACTACCTAAATGAGGATTGTAGGGAGCACAGTTCAGTGGTCTTAAATTCTGAACTATATCTGCTAACCAGGAGACAGATGGAACTCTGGTTTTATTCTAGCACCCAGCACAATGTATAAGAAAGATGTCCACTTAAATGTTAAATGTTTAAACCAGCATTCTGCAATTTGGAAGATATCATGCTTAGTGAAATGAGCCAGGCACAGAAAGACAAATACTATATGATTTCACTTATATGTGGAATCCAAAAGAGTCAAACTCATAGAAGTAGAGAGTAAAATGATGGTTACCAGAGGCTGGAAGTAGGTGAGAAGCAGGGAATGGGAGATGTTTGTCAAAGGGCACAAAGTTTGTTAGATGGAAGAAATAAATTTTGAGATCTATTGCATAGCAGGGTGAGTGGAGTCGGTAACAATGTATGTTTCAAAATAACAGATAATAAATTTCAAATTTCTCACCACAAAAAAAATGATAAGTGAAGTGACAGATGTGTTAATTTAGCTTGATTTAATTATTCCACATTGTATACATATATCAAAACATCACATTGTATCCCATAAATGTATACAATTATGATTTATCAATTAAAAATAATAGTAATAAAAATCAGCATACTGCAATTGCTTGAACATAGATGCAAATACCAAACACCAAGTGTGCACCATATTAGAATTTATTATAATACAAACAAGTCCAAACACAATATATAATCTAATTAAGAAAATATGAACATTTGCTTTTTTTCTATGGTAACTTTCTATTCCATTCTCTGAACTGGAATAGCCAACATTAGAGTCTTTTATTCACTTCGGGTAGGCTCCCCATGTTGAACCAGGAGGTACCAAATGTGCAAAGTGATCTTTTCCAATAGCAGGGTGTTTGCAACACACAAGTTCGTGCCCACTCCGGTCTGTCTTTTATGGTTTGTCTGTCATTCCCCTCATTTCCTTCCCCATGAGACATTTCAGCCGTCAAGTTGTTCAATAAAAAGACACAGCATGGTGGTGCGTATCATCATTGCAATGTCCAACCAAGGACACAAATCATATAGCAAGAGAGAAGCTAGTTAACTGTCTTTGAAAGAGGCACCACAAAAACCCACGATAAGGCAATTGCTTTAGTGCCACCAGCAGCAGCCATTTACATGACAGGCTTCAAAGTTCAAGGCTTTATTGTCAAAACTGGCCTGAAAGAAAAGGCTTACAAGTTTTTAAAGTTTTAAAGTTAAAAAAAACCCATTTCATGATGTCCATAATTATTACTATAAATAATAATAAAAGTCCTTAGATAGTTTGAAATAAATTTTAAGAGATATGAATCAACCTAACCCAATGGGCATTCATTTGCATTTTAAGCAGAAGACAGCAATTCACTACAGTGCCTTCAAGAATTGGACCTCTTTTAAATATCATGTAGCAAAATATAAAATATATTCGGAGGAAAAGAGATCACAATACCACGTGGTAGAGCCTCTATCATCGAGAAGTAATAAATTAAAGTGTCTGAGGAAAATGTTCCCAATGCACACCCAGTTTTTAAACATCAACAATTAATTGTTACACACAATTAAAAATATGGAGCAGAGAGCATGGAGAGTCACATACATATTTTCCATCTTATATACATTCTCAAAAAGGAATTGCTTAACCTTTGTAGATATTGCACTTTGACTCATTCATGTGTAGCTCAAACTAGCATTTTTCAGAGCTACATGTTTAAAAAATAAATAAATAAATATATATATATATATATATTCAGTATAGGTAGCCTTTGGTCAATGTCCATTCATAAGGGGGTGTAGTGGCGTTGCATCACACACACATTTAATGAACACATGTTCAATTACACGTGCTTGGCAAAAAAGAGACAGAGAGAAATGCAATTTAAGGGAGGTGAGGGAATCTGCTTACCATTCCACTCAATGAGCATACGCCCTGGGGAGCGTGGGAGATGGGAGATCTGTCCCTCAGTCAGACGACTTCCATGAACTTCTTTGAGTGGAAGCATCTTGATGCACCAGGGTGGTCCTAATGTTCTCAGATACATTAGAATCACACAATATGGTCCCTAAATGAGAGCCAATTCTGTCTTGTCATCAACCAGAGAAACAGCAACTTGTTCCAATGCTAGAGAAAAACTTAGCTGTGTTAGGTTTTGAAAGCAATGGAATATAATCTCCAACATGGCTCTTTTTTGAGGATCTTTTGCAAAGGTAACTTTGGCTCTGTAAGGTTTTATCTTTTGCACTGACTTTAGAATCTAATCCTTGGCTCTGATGAGATTCTATTGCGATCCTTTAAAAGGGGTAAGAATTAGGATCATCAGGACTAATATGACCTAAGTTTGTATTGAGTTAGTATTGAGAGCATTGGCTGAAGTTTAGGGTTTGTGTTGCCATGGGGCCTTTTCTTATCCCATTCATTTATTGCAAATTCCCTTAAAAAAGATAGACATGTCTTCCAACTTAGGGACAAAATGCAGTAAAAATCCAGCCTGAGGAACTAAATATTCCAGGTGGACTGTCTGCCGTTTTTTGGTCACCAAAAATGTCATGCAATTTCAAAGTCAGTTTGGCAAATTTATTCCAAAACAGGGATGAATTCGAATACTGGGAATCTGAGGGAGAAGTTAAAAAAAAAAGAAGAAAAAAGAAACACTAAATAAGACGAATATAATCATGTGTGTGTGTGTGCTGCACACATAAGTAGCAATTTCCAGGGATGCCCCTATTCATTACATCCTAGAAATGTTCTTGCCTTGGACAGGCAAGGGTAGAATAAATAAACACACTTATATTTTATCATTTTACAAAGGATCTGGGTTAAATAGCTTTACCAAGAACTGGCACCCCCTTTTGAGCCATGTGCGTCAAAGGGCAGACGAGGCGTCAGCATGGGCACCTTTTGTGTCTGCGTTTGTGGCGAAATGGCAGCGCCAGCTGGGCTGTGAGACAGAGCTGAGAACACCTCCTCTCATACCCGCAGAGCTGCAGTTCCTGACCCTTGAATATTAAATTCAGTTCGGAAGTCACTTCAAATAAAACAATTTGGTGAGGGCCTCAGCAAGCAAGGAGGCAGGGTTGGCAACTTGACACGTAAAAAGGCTTCTCTAGGAAGCTGGAGTGATACCATAACAAGAAGCAATTTTGAGTAACGGGATCGTATGCAGCTGACACAGGGATGGGTTGAAACAATGGCAAGTGTGGGCTTATTTTTTTGTTTTTCTGGGCTCGAGAATTCCTCCTTTCCCCCTGCGCACCAGGCAGGGTCTTTGTTTTGGAGGAGATAGAGAAAATCTATACATAATGATAAATAGAAAACTGCCTTTTAGACCCCAGGTTTGAGGTCACAGCTATGCGGGTTTGGAGATTTCCTGAAGAAGCTCTGGCCACAGTTTGGATGGGATCCAATACTCTTCTATTCCCACAGTGTCATTCTGAAGCTAGGAGTGCCAGAGCCAATTCAAGACCACAACCCTCTCTAGGACAAAGGGCACCTTGAAAAAAATCCTGAAATAGTCATTATTGTTAGCTCCTGGGAACAGCAGAGGGAAGTGATGAATGACCTCAGCTCTCGGAAGAAGAGTGCAGGCTCAGCTATGTGCTACTGGGGCTTGGTAAGTCCCATAAATGAAGGGTTCCCAGTGACTGTGGATGGTACCAGGGCGAAATCACAGACTACTTCTCTACTTTGTGTCCTAACTGGTCACAGGATGATGACACAAGCTCCAATGGCATCTTCAAACTGGTAGGAGCTTTTGCTGTCATTACGACTCTGTGGAAATAAATGCATAAGTAAAAACAAGCTTCATGCTCTCCTTTCTTCTCTTCCATCTCTTCTCATCTACCAGTCTGAGAATTGCCCAGTCTGCGGGAGACAGGAAATCGGATTAGCACTCTTAAGGAGAGCTGCTCAGCCATAGGATGGGACACCTTCCCATCTGGAAATGGATTAGACAGAGGCAGTAGTTGCCACACCTATGGAATCACGGGGATACTTTTATAGGTTTTCCATTTTTGTCATACTGGTACACCAGCATCTTGATGCAGTGTGAGTTTGCCGGCGAGATCCAGGGGCTACTTGTTATGGAAAAGTTATGATTGGTGTAGAACTGTACAGGTTGCTTCTGGCACTTGAAGAAAGCCTTGAGCGTGGCGGCTGCCATGGTGCGGAACCGCTTGCTGATGAAGCAGTAGAGGAAGAAGTTGATGGCTGTGTTCAGAAGGGCTAGCATGTTGGCAATGTCGGACATGATGTGTACCAGCCAGCGGTTCTGGATGGGCGCCCCATAGAGGTGGTAAAGAATCATGATGATGCGGGGGGCCCAAAGTGTGGCAAAGATGGAGGTAATGGTGAACAAGATGGCGGTGGTCTTCCCCGTGGAGTAGCCACGGAGACGAAAATTGCTCTTCCTCCTGAGCTTGTACACAATGATTGAGTTCAAGATGAAGAAGATGGAGCAGGGCACCAGGTAGACGGTGAAGCAGTGGATCCAGATGAGGACGTGATGCACAGAGGTGCTGATGTAGTCTTCAGTCCAGATGTTGGGCCACCAGTAATAGGGGATGCTGGTCAGGAAGCAGGTGATGTAAACACTTACAATGACTTTCCGGGTGCGGGCTGGGTATGAGACCGTGTGGTACTTGAGCGGGTGGCAGACAGCGATATACCTGTCAATGGTTAACGGTACAGTAATCCATATGGAGGTGTGGATGGATGAGAATTCCAGCACTTCTATGATCTTGTCGGGGACCTGAGGCATCTGCATGTTCAAGATGAAATCTTCCAACAGGAAGTCCACAAACACTATGAAAAAGAGGACCAAGATGTCGGCAGCAGCGAGTGCCAAGAGATAGTTGTAGGAGGACTTCTGTCTTCTTGCCACCAGCTGGGAGAGGATGATCACTGTCAAGATATTTGCTGTGGAGAGAAGAAAAACTGGTTTAGCTCTGAAGCAAAGATGACTTCGTTGGCTCCTATGGGGGCCCTAGGCATATGTTTATTTTGCACTCCCATGGAAGTGAAAATGATTGAATCAATGCTTTTGAGGGACAACCTCAGCATTACAAATAGCACCTCATACAATTAGTGGATACTATTTTAAAGTTATGCTTATATTCTAACACAACCATGAGAGGTGGTGCCTCCATTCTCCTCATCTTAGAAGTGAAACTGGGGCTCTGAGAGCCTCACACAGCCATGAGAGGTGGTGCCGCCATTCTCCTCACACAACCATGAGTGGTGTTGCCGCCATTCTCCTCACACAACAATGAGAGGTGGTGCCACCATTCTCCTCACACAACCGTGAGAGGCGATGCTGCCATTATCCTCATCTTAGGAATGAAGCTGGGGCTCTGAGAGCCTCACACAACCGTGGGAGGTGGTGTTGCCATTCTCCTCACACAACCATGGAAGGTGGTGTTGCCATTCTCCTCACACAACCATGAGAGGTGATGCCGCCATTCTCTTCACACAACCGTGAGAGGTGGTGCCGCCATTCTCCTCACACAACCGTGAGAGGCGATGCTGCCATTATCCTCATCTTAGGAATGAAGCTGGGGCTCTGAGAGCCTCACACAACCATGAGAGTTGGTGTTGCCATTCTCCTCATCTTAGAAATGAAACTGGGGCTCTGAGAGCTTAAGCAACTTGCTTAGAGCTACACAGTTAATAATTCATGGTGATAGGATCCCCTGATCCCAAATCTCATGCTTTTTCTTTTGTTCAGTTGCATGAAGAATATGGGGCTGAGGTGGCATTTCCTGCTATATGTGTTCAGGAAAGAGACGGGACTATATAACCTCTTAAGAACCTCTTCAGAGCTTGGATTTTAGGACCTTTCCTTTTTAAGTAGATTTAAAATTGGAGGTGCAGAGAAGATCATGACCTTCAGATTAATTTAAAAGTAAATTACATTTGTTTTTGGAATAGGTAATCTACGTACATGCTACATAATCAAAAATAATAGCAAGGAAAAGTACATTTTCCTTCTACTCTTATTCTCCAATCATCAAAGTTCCCCTCCCTCAGGGAAATTACAGTTAATAAATAATCTATGCTTATATATGTCCATATAGTGTGCCTGCATTAGGTTGGTGCAAAAGTAATTGGCAAAAACTGCAATTACTTTTGCACCAACCTAATACATAGTTTTTGCATAAACAGCAGCAATGTTTTATTTTTTGTGGGGTCAGATTTGTCTTGAAAATACATCTATATAATTTCTGATCAGTTTTTTTTTTAAAAAAAGTCTCCCTGAATTAAGCATATTTAGAAAGTCATTAGGGACTCACTCTGAAATGATATTCCAATGGATAATATCTAGAAGTCATTCTACACATTTATTTTCATTCATTCTCACAGTCAACCCTGAAATTTGAACACCGATAATGCTATTTTGCAACCTAAGTTCTCAGAAAGCTTACATTCCTTGTCTGAGGTCCAGTGGCAGAGCTAGAATCCAGATCTCTCTCTCAGTCTCTCTCTGTCTCTCTTCCTTTCTTGGTAGCCATTTAAAATGTCATACAATAGTTCACATGTAAAAATTCTTATAATAAACACACCTGCAAAACCTGGTGTGCTCATCACTCAGATTTAATACATTTTAACATTTTGCCATATTTACTTCAGCTCTCTTTAAAGAAAGAAATGACACTATAGATACAGTTGAAGTCTCCTCTGAAGAAGCTCTGTTCTCATTCTTTTCCATCTTCTTTCTCTAGAGGCAACCACCATGCTGCAGGCTGTGTGCAGTGTCCAGTGCCATGTCTGCATATTCTTTCTTTCTTTCTTTTTCAGAGACCCGGTCTTGCTATGTTGCCCAGGCTGGAGTGCAGTGGCTATTCACAGATGCAATCATGGTGCTTTACATCTTTGAACTCCAGGGCTCAAGTGACCCTTGCACCTTAGCCTCCTAAGTAGCTGGGACTACAGGTGCACATCACTGTGCCCAGCCTTTTGCTTTCTTTTATACTGAAACTGCCATTCTATATACTGCTTTTGTCATTCAACATTGTATTTTTGAGGCCCAGTTTTGTTGCTACGTGAAGATCTAGTTCACTCAATTGAATGACTACATAGCATTTTGCTGTAGGAACTTACTGATTTATTTATTTATTTATAATTTATTATATTAAATATGTTCATTCATTTAAATTGGTTCCAGGATTTTGCTGTTATAAACCAAAGTTAATATCTTGACATGACTCTCCATGAGAAGTACTTATATATGAAAATTTCTCTGGGGTAATGTATACATGGAAGTGTATTTATTATGTTTTAGAGTATGTGCATCCTCATCTTTAACAGACACTGCTGAATTGCTTTGTAAAATTTTACTAATTTAGATTCCCAATAGCAGAATATGAGAATTCCAGTTGCTCCATATCCTCTCAGTATTACCAGTTTTTTTTTAAAGTCTATACTGTTCTTGTTCTTGTCCAAATCACTTTGAAATAACATTTTGGAGTGGTGGAGAGTTAAGATACTGATTATATTAATTAGCCAGGATTCAATCCCAGGACCAACATCCATGCTCAAAACCAGTCTGCAATATTGGTACTTATTCCCAGTGGGCTGGGGGTACCATGAAGATATGCTATACTGCACACAATGTAGAGAAAAATGGTGAGTATGTCCTATTTAAGTCACTGCTTCAGAAAAGAGACCCACTAAAGGTCTTTATATTTGTAAACTTGGTATTTCAAAACTGCATTAATGCATTCATGCATTATGTACCTATTCTGAGCTGTGCCCTTGAAGGGGATGGTGAACAAAATAGACATGGTCTGTTTAGCCTGCATGGAGCTTAGATTCTGTTAGTCAAGAAAAACATCAGCTGAAGAGCCACGGAAGAAAATGCATTAACTGCAAGCTGTAGTGAACGCTATGAAGGAATGTTTTGGAGTAGGAATCAGAAAAATCTTTACTGAGATTTGGAAGACCAGGAAGAGGTTAAAAGGCAGAAAAGTTGGAAGGAGAAAGTGTTTCAAGCAAAGGAAACAGCATGTGCAAATGTTCTGAGGGGGAGAAGTATGAAGAGTTGGGTTTATTAAGACAAAGAATACTTATATTGAGTTCTGCTTGCTTTGTAAGCATCCTTGCATTTTATAGCTCTCTTTTATTAAACAGCCTTGCTGTGTTCTGTTGAAAAGCATTTCAAAATGTTTTATTCATCCAGAAATTTTTCCAAAAAGTATTTAGCATCTACTTTCTGTGGTCAAATACGTGTGCATAGGCCTAAGGTGGATATACATTGGGTACTCTTGTGGATACACATAAAGTCTGTACTCAGAGAGTAGAGAAACATCATATAAGTGGCTAAGTATTAAAGAGATAAATGAGAACACAGTATATAGGAGCTGCTGGTGAATAGATACAGAAAGAAGGACAAAACTTTGGTGAAGGGCCCTGATTAAAGGCTTGGTTTCCAATCCCTGCTCCTCTGACCTAATCATATATAGTCAGAGCTTCATGGAACCCAAGCTGTAAAGAGGTTGAGGTCTAAAGGTCTATTGAATCAAGGGTATAGGAGCTCAGTTGCTAAGAGTGCAGGATCTGGGGCTGGGCTGCCTGGCTGTTATTACCACCTTGACTTCAGACAAGTTTATTCAGTATTTCTGTGCCTCAGTTCCCTTCTTTATAAAATGGGGTTAATAGTCTCTTCTTACACTGCCAATAAAGAAGTTTCCAAGATTGGGTAATTTACAAAGGAAAGGGGTTTAATTGACTCACAGTTCCACCTGGCTGGGGAGGCGTCACAATCATGGCAAAAGGCTAATGAGGAGCAAAGTCACGTCTTACATGGTGGCCAGCAAGAGCTTGTGCAGGGGAACTCCCCTTTATAAAACCATCAGATCTCATGAGACTTATTCACTATCATGAGAACAGCATGGCAAAGACACGGCCCCATGATTCAACTACCTCCCACTGGGTCCCTCCTATGATACATGGGGATTATGGGAGCTACATTTCAAGATGAGATTTGGGTGGGAACACAGTGAAACCATATCATGTGGTTAATAAGACTATCTACCTCATAGGGTTGTTCTGAGGGTTAAGTGAGATAATTTTAATAAAGTGGTTTAAACAGTGTCTGGCACGTGAGAAGTGTGGAATGGATGGTAGCTATTGACTGAGAGTCCATTCATGCAGCAAATATTAACTGGGCATTGACTATGCCAGGCATTGGATGAGGCTTTGGAGATACAGGTATTAACAAAGTGGACAGGTTCCCTTTTGCCATGGAGTTTATAGTATAATGAGGGAGACAGACAATAAATAAACAGACACGCAAATGCACAACAGAATGTCAGATGTGATACTAGGAAGAATAACACCAAGGGATGAGACAAGTTTATGGGGTGGTAACTTTTAGATTAAAAGCGATATTTCGGTCCAATCAAGGATGAAGAGAAGGGAGGCCAGGCACTGTGGCTCACGCCTGTAATCCCAGCACTTTAGGAGGCTGAGGGTGGTGGATCGCTTGAGGTCAGGAGTTCCAGACCAGCCTGGCCAACATGGTGAAACCCCACCTCTACTAAAAATACAAAAATTAGCCAGGCGTGGTGGTGGGTGCCTATAATCGCAGCTACTCGGGAGGCTGAGGCAGGAGAATCACTTGAACTCGGGAGGTGGAAGTTACAGTGAGCCGAGATCGTACCACTGCACTCCAGCCCAGATTACAGAGTAAGACTCTGTCTCAGAAAAAAAAAAAAAAAAGAGAGAGAATAAAGAAGGGATCTAGGGATCTGTCGCAAGTATTTGTGGGAAAAGGATTCTAGGCAGTGGGATTGGCAAGTGCAACAGCCTTGTGGTGGGAATCAGCTTCTTATGTTCATAGAACAGAGAGACATGAGAACGATTTCCCATTTTACACATGAGGAAACCAAGGCTTGGATTTTTAGATAATTTGCTCAAAGTCACAAACAGAACAAGTAAGGGAGCCAGAGAAAAATGAAAATGGTGACCCCAGCTCTGTCTGACTTTCTGTCTTAATAGATTCTGCTTTGTTTATTTTCGGTCATAGAAAAGGGTTCTCAGCATAAAGAATGCGTTTCCTGTTCCTTGGGTTGCCCCTGACTTAGAAAAGTGCCATATTTTCTTGCAACCTCTTTTTTCCTTTTTGATGAGACTGAGTTTCGCTCTTGTCGGCCAGGCTAGAGTGCAATGATGCGATCTCGGCTCACTGCAACCTCCACCTCCCAGGTTCAAGCAATTCTCTTGCCTCAGCCTCCTGAGTAGCTGGGATTAGAGGCACGTGCCACCACACCCAGCTAATTTTTTTTTTTTTAAGTAGAGATGGGGTTTCACCATGTTGGCCAGGCTGGTCTCAAACTCCTGACCTCAAGTGATCCACCAGCCTCAGCCTCCCAAAGTGCTGGGATTACAGGCGTGAGCCATCATGCTCAGCCACAACCTCTTTTTCCCCCCCATCCATTAAACAATGCCCACTTTCCCTTTCACATCCCTGCTTCCCAAGGAGGCAGGATGTATAAATGGTGGGATGTCCCCAGAAAAAGTGCTATATATATACACACACACACATACATACAGGTTTAAGTTCCTGGATAATATATATATGTGTGTGTGTGTGTGTGTGTGTGTGTGTGTGTGTGTGTGTATTCTATAGAGAGTGACTCTCCCACTTTTTCTTCCTCCCCAGCTGAACCCTGTTTGAAGTGCGGTGCTAAAAATTCTCCATATCGAAGCTCTTTAAAAGTATTCCAACCCCATCTAATTAATGCTTTAAGTCAGGCAAGTCATCAACTCCAAGTGAAATTGCTAGGTATTCATATTTGACATTTCCTTAAGTTTCTAGTGATTGCCTCTCTTGAGAAACTAACCCGCAGACACTGAGTTTCCCATTTCTTTTGTACAGGTAGATTTTCCCCCAGGCAACATCAGGAACATGTAGGAGATCCCTGGGGTGGGGTGGGAGAAAGAAGTGTGAGCTGAGGAGACCCAGAGGGGAATGGTGCGGTTCCTGTGTATTGATTTTCTGAAAAAGAAATGAAAAGGTAGAGCCTTCAACTCTTAAAAGCTTGACATTTGCTATAACTCCCCATATTTAAAATTTCTTTCATTTCCACAGTGGCACATTTTCCCCAAAGGGAAAGAGTGATGTTGACAGGGTCTGTGTGTATTTATAAGGGGTGAGTAAATGAAGAAACCGAAGTTCTCACTGCCTGAAATTCCATTTCTGAGCTTTCCTGTCAAACTGATCCAAGGATTCCATTGTTGAGGAAACCCAACCAATCCCATCCAAGCAAGCCCCGCCGAACTTCACCACCAAAATGTCAATGCTTCTGAAAAGCAAATCCTTTCTGTCAATGGTGTCGTCAGACAGGTTTAAGTTCCTGGATAATAAAAAGCCCATGTTTTGTGACTGCAAAGCTTCTTGGTTATATTCTTGAGGGAATTCATTTCCCGTATTTTGCAGCTTACTGTGCTCAAGCTTGGGAGGATTTTGGGAAGTGGCTGAGAGAACAACACAGGTTTTGTTGTCAGACCACACCACTGAATCGTCTGCTGGCCCAGAGAGAAAGGGTCAAGGTCTTCTAGAGGTATTTTCTGTGTCTGTGATGACTAAGGGGTCTCTGCAGGTTCCTTGGAAGAAGCAGCTGGACTGGGAGTTCTGAGTTTATATCTTTTAGTTCTGCTACATTGCCTTTTTCTTGTCTTTAAAAACTGTTTTTTCAATTACAAAAGTAATACACACTTGTCAAAAATTAAACATTATATCAGTGTCTAATAATAATAGTAATAGAATTTGTCTACTTTTATTGTGTATCCACTGTGCTCAGGGCACTTCTAAGCATCTTACACACAATATCTCACTTAATCTTCACAACTACCCTGTGTAGTGGGTACCACGATTTAAAAGCCCTGAGGTTCAGAGAGGTTAAGTAACTTGTTTGAGATCACACAGCTAGGTAGTGAGCTAGGACAATAAACCAAACTGTTAAATGTATAAACTCAGGGGAGTTTATACATTTAATGACTACATTAGAAATTAGAAGGGGAAAGTCTGTCAAAACCCCGTCTTCCATGGATAATGTGTCAGCTAGCCTTATAGGTGAACCCTTGTGTACTATGCCCCCTGGTACACATGCCTCTAGGTAGTCTCCATGCCTTGAGTTGGAGCTGGCCCTGTAATTTACTTTTGACCAATACATTATGGCAGGACTGATACTGCATGACTTCTAAGGTTAGGTCATAAGTGGGTCTTTTGAACACATGCTCTTGGTATGCTCCTTCTTGGAACCCAGTTGCCTTTCTGTAAGAGGCACATGCCACTTAGGCCATGTGTAGGGCCTCTGGTTGAAAGCCTCAGTGAAGCTCATGGCCAATATCCAGCATCCACTGTCACCCGTGGGAATGAGCCATCGTGGATATCCAGCTCAATAAAGCTCCCAAGTGGGTGTAGTCCCACTGCTCACTGGCTGCAAATGCATGAGAGACCAGAAGCAAGAACCACCCAGCAGAGCCCAGTCAGCCCAGGAACCGTGACAAATAATCGTAAATTGTTGCTCCTAGCCTCTAAGTTTTGGGGTTTGCTATGCTGCAATAGATAACCAGAGGTTTCTTGGCCACTTGGTGTTTATATCTCCAGGATGCTTATATGCCCACAATAATAGTACAACTAGTAATAATAATTATCCCCACAAAACGAGATTATACAATAATATTGTTGTGCAACTTGATTTTTTTCACTTAGACATGAATAATAGATTTTTCCATATGTCAATGATATTCATGAAATATTCACCTATTGCTGGACGTTACTTATTATGACTATTTTTGTTACTACAAGCTTCAAGTTCATAAAGCATTTTTGTGCATTTCTTTTGGATAAATTCCCAAAAGTAGAAATCCTGGTTTAAAGGGTAACACACTTTTCTTCCGTCTTTCCCTTTCTTCCACTTCTCTCGTATTCTCACTCCCTCTCTCCCTCCCTCCTAAAGGCAGCTAAGAGAATTTGTAAGATGGAAAAGAGCTCACGTTGGAGGCTACAAAAGGATTTAGGTTAGATGTCAAGAAGAACTTTTTTGATTGCAATGGCAGTTATGTGAAGAAGAGCAGGCCACTCTTGAGCACAGTTGCTCAGTCCACAGGGGTCTTAAGAATAGGAAAGAGAATTGCTATTTGGGATCATTAGATTCCTGGAGTCACCTTCTACAAATCCTAGTTCTCTGCATCCTAAATTTCTGAAAAAAGAAGCCACTTACCCCTTTCAGTCACAATCCCCTGTGACTTAAAAGCATCTCTCCCTTTGCTTGAACCAGGGAGGCAGAGGTTGCAGTGAGCTGAGCTGGTTCCACTGCACTCCAGCCTGGGCGACAGAGTGAGACTCTGACCCAGAAAGGAAAGGAAAGGAAAGGAGAGGAGAGGAGAGGAGACGAGAGGGGAGGGGAGGGGAGGGGAGGGGAGGGGAGGGGAGGGGAGGGGAGGAGAGGAGAGGAGAGGAGAGGAGAGGAGAGGAGAGGAGAGGAGAGGAGAGGGAAGGAGAAAAGAAAAGCATCTCTCTCTGACAAAGTTGCCATCTTTTGCATCAGAAAAGTCAGCGCTTATGTTATGCAGACTCCTGGCATTGTGGACAATTGCAGCGGTGTTATTTTACCTGCTTCTGGGAGGTGCTCCAAGGATGGATTTTTAGGAAGATCAATTTCTAAGACTCCTACATAAGAAGTCAGCAATGCCGTTGTTTAGATCAGCTGAGGGGTAGAGACCGAATTGTATGATGGGGCACTGCCTCTGGTGGCTGCCACCTCCCTCACTGTTACCTGCCCCACTCTGGACCCTGGGATGGAGGAAGGGTAAATAAAAAGATGATGCTGACAAGACTCAGTGGTCAGTCTTTTAGCTTCTGCAGAAGGTGCTGGGAGGTCTCCAGGAGGTTCGGTGTTGAGTGGTCTCCTAGGAGAGAAGCAGGAAAAAGTTCCCCAGGGCTGCTGTCCCACCATATGTTTCCAGTATCAGGCACTGACAGGTGGCCAGTGGCCATCCTTGTTTTCTGTTGTTCCTCTTGCCCCAAGGCAGAAACCTGGGAATGTGGAGCTTTCTTCCTGCAGTTGGTTAGTAGAGGCACGAAGCTGGTTGTAGACTAGCCAGGTGGAGGTTAGGCAGTGGTACCCTCCTACCATGGGAAAGACAACCCCTTGGGAGGATGGCTTTCTGGTTCCCCAAAGGGCTATTTTTATTTTTTTGCTGGCTGACTCTTACCCAAAATATTTGGGTACCTAAGAACCTATCCTAGTTGGGAGCATAGTGGCTAAGAGTACGCTGTCTGGAGGCAGCCAGTCCAGGTTCAAATCCCAAGACAGCCATTTACCAACTGTGTGATGGTGAACAAGTGAGCTGATGTCTCTGAGCCTCAGTTCTTACATCTGTGAAATGGGCATCGTAATAAATAGTACCCACATAGGATATTATGAGGATATATGAAATAATATAGGCACAATAGGCACAGTTCCTGGTACATAGTAAGCACTCAGAAAACATTAGCTATCGTTACTTTTTAACATTTGGCTAGTTCAGTTCAGCAGACAATTACTGAGCATCTCCTAGAGGCGGGAATCTGCACTAGAAGCAAAGATGAGTAGGAGAGAGTCAAGCTCTCAAGGAATCCCAGCAAAGATTCTAGCTTCTCCCCATGGCACATTCCAGGCACTAACAACCCTGTTAACCTATCAGGAAATTCTTCATTGCCTCTACCCTAAGCCCTCTAGTTGCAGCTGCATTCCAAACCTTACCCTCAACTTTGTTTCTCTGCTTGGTGGAGAATAACATTGGTCATTATGTGTAGAATCAAACCCTTAAAACCCATTATTGCATGATGATTCAGTTGTCTCTTGCATCCTCTGAAATAGCCTTTGTTCTCTTAAAATTTTAGTTCCCATTTTGATAGCTCTTTAATTTTCTTTGTAGCTTCACTATCATCTCCTCTTTATTATTTTTCTTGTGAAGACCTCTTTTTGGTGTTTTTCTTTTTCTTTTTTTAAACTACATTTTAGCACTTGAATGGATCCTTTTCAAAGCTAGAATCAGCATTTTCTGTTTCTTTGTATCTCCCTTTATAAGGGATCATGTTTCATCTTCAGTCTATTGGTAATGGCTGTCTGGGTGCCATGTTGAAAAGTATTCTAACACCATGCCTGGGCTTAGTGGTGCTTTGATGGATTGGTAATGTCTGCCAAGATGGAACACATGTTGTGAATTTGTCATTGGGGTCCTGGGCCCTGGATCCATGGTGCAGCCTCCCTGGCTTCTCCCAGAAATTAGCAAAGCAATGGTTTCCAATGTAGACCAGAACAGTTGAGACCGAGCAAGTCTCCTCCTTGCTGATGAGTAGGCAGCAAGAGATAAGATGGCTGCTATTCCAGGACAGTCTGACTCAGGGCAATGGAGAAAGGTGAGTCAGCAGCCGGGCTGCAGGGCTGGAGTCAGCCTTGCCAACCAATTGACCTCCTCTTGACAGCAGAATTGGTTCTGGCTTTTTGACCATGGACAGCTTCATTGGGAACCATAATAACTGCCAGACCTCAATCACGAAACCACATCCAAGCCAGCCGACAGACCCAATGGTTTCCAAACTGTATATCTCAGTACCAAAGTTCATTTTCTAATGACTGTCCTATGTTGAGCAGCACCTACTATGTGCTGGGTGGCTTTGCGTAGATGAGATGATTTTACATGATTCACTGATGAACATATTTATTTTTAAAATTATGCATTTAGTTTTAATGGTATTAGAGGAATGTTATTTCTCCATGTAGGGTAGTGATAAAGACATGCTTATATAATAAGGTCAGTTTATTTTAAAAGTGAGTTGATTAAAATGGCAGTGCAGGTAGAATATAGGCTTCTGATCTTCATTTCACAAATGAGGAAACTGGTATTCAGAGAGGGTAAGCCACCTGCTGAAGATGGCACAGCTGGTAAGATGAAGTACCTTGAAAGGACTTGATGGCACTATCTTGGGTCAATTTCATACCAAGTGATGAATGCAGTGGTGTTTTCTCAGTTCTGGGAGTTTGTCACAAAGACAGATGGGGTCAGGGCTTTACAAGAACAAGTCCTGAACATGCAGGTGGCTCTCCAGCAAACAATGAGCAGAGGAGTTACTAGAGAGGAGAGGATACTTAAAACCGGAGACATGCAATTTGGAGCCTGACAGATCCAGATGAGCCTTCTAGATCTGCACTTTTCTAGCTGGTGCTTTTGGACAAGTTGTGTAAACATAATGAGATTTGGATTCCTTACCAATAAAATGGGAGTAAAAATGGTACCTGGTTCAAAGGGATGCTGTGAGGATTAGAGAGAATTGTGCACACAGACCTCTTAGCATGGAGCCTGGCCTGAAGAAACCACTCAATAAGCAGTCATGTTATTAAGGACACATAACAATCAGTCCTGCTAAGGTGATAAATTGAACCAGGCAAAGGCTCAATGAGAGGGAAGAAGCACTGGCAATTCTAGGAACAGTCTTCTGGTATATTTCTTGATTTGTGAGAACTAGCTCAAGAAAAGACCCTATTTCTCAGACTCAATCAATGAAAATGTCCTTAGACTTCTCAGGTTTGTCAGGAGATGCCACACTGTAGGTTGGGCTCTGATATAGACCCCTATCTGCTCCTGGACAAGCCATCTTCCTTCTTAAGACCTCAGTTTCCATATCTGTAAAATGAGTGAGTTCATAATAGGCAATAATAATGATAATGACAGCATCGTGGCTCACATCTAGGGAAGATGAGTAGGAGTTTAACAGGCAGATAAGACACAAGAGGGCTCTCCAGGGAGAGTGAATGGCAACGTGCAAAGGTAAAGAGGCGTGAAAGAAGAGATCCCTACTGTTCCCTCAGAGCAGCTAATAGCTATTGAGTGCTTATATCGTATTAGGCACTGAGCTCACATCTTCATATACACCAAGTATACTGCCTGTCTATAATATGATATATTACCTAACATTATAATACCAGGCAATACCTAATAACTACTGTGAAATATTTAGTACTTAATCCTTACTAGTAAAGTAGGTGCTATTTTCATCCCCTTACAGATAAAAAAGATTCAGGCTTGAAAGGGTTAGGAAGTTGACTAAAGTTGTATGCAATGGTATCAAATGCCTCTTCCAGCTTTCCCACTCTCCAACACCTGAGCAAGGCTGGTACATTTAACAATAACAGTTCCCTTTATTGAGCACTGACTGTATTTGGCTCACTTGCCAGAGGTTTCACTTGCACTATTTTTTTTTTTTTTTTTTTTTTTTAGACTGAGTCTTGCTCTGTCGCTCAGGCTGGAGAGCAGTGGTGCAATCGCGGCTCGCTGCAACCTCTGCCTCCCAGGGTCAAGCAATTCTCCTGCCTCAGCCTCCCGAGATGCTGGGATTACAGGCATCTGCCACCACGCTCAGCTAATTTTTATATTTTTAGTAGAGACAGGGTTTCACCATGTTGGCCAGGCTGCTCTCGAACTCCTGACCTCAGGTGATCCACCAGCCTCGGCCTCCCAAAGTGCTGGGATGACAGGTGTGAGAGATTGCGCCTGGCCACTTGCACTGAATTTTATCCTCATACGACATCATGAGATAGCTACTATTAATATCCTTATTTTAAAGACAGGAACACTGAGGTTCAGTGAGGTTAAGGAATTTGCCCAGATCAGACAGAAAGTATGTGCAAGACCCAGGATTCAAAAACAATTTGTTAGACTCTAGAGTGCATTTGATGCACTTACTTGTCCAGATACCTCCATAATCAGCTCAGGGAACTGACCATTAAATAGAAATGGGCCAGTTGTTTTCTTTTGTAACATATTATTATTAGTTTTAAACAGTGTCCATCAGCTGGCACCTATGAGGCATGAGGGAAGTTGAGAGAAGGATCAATTTCAGAGCAGTCATATGGCCTTTGAGAATGCTCGCCACTCCCAGCCCCTGGGAATCAGTGGGGATAAGGAGATCTGGGGAGCTAATCACCTCCTTGAAATCCAGGGCATACAACTGAGCTCCTGCCCATTGCCCCTTTTCAATAGCGAATGATGCTCCCCACTGGCTGATTCTCCATTGTTTTTGCCCCACGTGCTCAGCTTCTGCCAGTCCTGCCCATCTACTGATTTCCGGCTAGCGACTGCCTTGGCCAGGGGATACTTATTTGTTTTTGCTGTTTTGTGGACACAGGGGTGAAGGTTATTGGGTGCGAGGGGACCAACAGGAAATCAGAGGCTTCTGTGCTCTTCATCTGGAGTTCGCTGGGGTGTCAGAGGCTAATTGAGGCTCTGCCTTGGTTGTCGCTGTTTGATTAAACATCTTGTGCCAAGCATCATCCATCTGCTTCTCCCAATGGCTGCCAGGGGTAGGTATTTTTAGCTGTGGGCAAATAGCTTATCAATTGTGCATACAAAATGCAGCCAACACAAAGCCATCATTTTCCATTACCCTGCCTCATTCTCCTATGAAGACAAGGACAAAGGAAGAATTAAATAAGATGGGCATTCTCTTATTCATTCAACAAATGTTTACTGAGCTGCTCACTGTGAATCAGGCACTGTTCCAGACACAGAGATGCAGTGATAGACAAACACACAAGTGGTTTGCATCCACAGGGAGCTTACAGTCCATTCTGACTCAGTAGAATTCTGCTCTGCCGCCAACTAGCTCTGTGGCTTGGGTAAGTTTCTCATCTCTCTGAGACTTCTTTTATTCCCATAGCATGTGCTGAGCGTGTATTATGTGCCATTTTCTGTGCTGGGGCTGCAGGTGAGGGATGGCAGATCTATTTCACCCTCTAGTCAGGGAGGCAGACAGGGAAAGAGGCTACATGACCAAGTGGTAAGTGTAAGCCAGGAGGCCGAGACATTTTCTTGGGCACTTGGAGAGGAAGCAGCAATGAGTTCTGGGTTCTGAGTTTGTGGCGAGGGAAGGCTTCAGAGAAACATGCAGGGGGAGATTGAGGAGAACGGCACTCGAGGATCTGGGAATGGTAGGGACTGTGAGTAACACAGTGAAGAAACAGAAGCATTAAAACAAAGAAAAAAATGGCCAGGCTCAGTGGCTCACACCTACAATCCCAGCACTTTGGGAGGCTGAAGTGGGAGAATTTCTTGAGGCCAGGAGTTTGAGACCAGTCTGGGCAACATAGTGAGACCCCATATCTCTATAAAAAGTTAAAAAATCTGCTGAGTGTGGTGGTGCAAGCCTGTATTCTCAGCTACTTGGGAGGCTGAAGCAGGAGGATCACTTTAGCTCAGGAGTTAGAGGCCGCAGTGAGCTATGTTCATGCAAAACAAAAATAAAAACAAAACAAACTTTAGTCAGTGACTCAAGCTGTCTTTCTAGTCTTAAAACTTCTCTTCTTAGGGATTTTTTTTTTGTTTTTTTTGAGGTGGAGTCTCGCTTTTTCGCCCAGGCTGGAGTGCAGTGGCACCATCTCAGCTCACTGCAGGCTCCGTCTCCCAGGTTCAAGCAATTCTCCTGCCTCAGCCTCCCAAGTAGCTGGGATTACAAGCACCCACCACCATGCCTGGCTAAATTTTGTATTTTTAATAGAGATAGGGTTTCACTATGTTGGCCAGGCTGGTCTCGAACTCCTGACCTGGGAGGCCTGACCTGGCCTCCCAAAGTGCTGAGATTACAGGCGTGAGCCACTGTGCCCAGCCCTTAGGGATCATTTTTAAGGGACAGCTGACCTGCGTGTCCTGCAGCTAAGGCCATGTATAAACTGCAACCAGTAACTATTGACTTTGCATCCTCTAGCTCCTTCCTCATATTAGGTTTGCATCCAGTGTTTCCAATTTAAAAGAAGAAAAAACAATAACACGTGACATCGGGGGGAAAATGAACTAGTCTATATCAAGGTTCCAGAACATGTTTTATGGTTCATTTACATACCCAGGGTTCCATGGCAGCAGGTGTCATGAAAGCTGACCACAATTTTAATGATCACCACTTTAAGGATTTAGAAGGCATGTCCTAGCGTCATCTTAGAAAGACAGGTGGCAGAGTACAAATTCTGGAGCCAGATTGCTGGGTTTCAAATTGCCCCTGCAGCCTTCTAGCTGTGTGACCTTGAGCAATTTACTTAACCTCTCTGGGCCTTCAGTTTGCTCATCTATGAAAAGTATGCTGATATAGCACCTATCACAGGTTTTCATGAGGATTAAATAAATTAATACAGGGAAAGTGCCCGGTGCTAGGCATGCTATACACTTTTTATCATCTTTACTATTAGACAGGGTAAAAGTTTGGAAGGGCAGGAAGTGTGCCTGCTTTGCTGATTATTATTAATATATTGCCAAGCTCTTACATAGTTCCTGGCATACAGTAGGTTCTCAATAAATACCTGTTGAATGAATAAATGAATGAATAACTATGAATATAGATTAACTTAACATTGCAGAGAAGCAAAAGGCTGGTTAACAGTTTTGAATGTACTTAGGGTTTACTGCAGAAAATGAATCAGGTGATGTAATCCAGGGTAATTGGAAATTAATTTGGTGTTCAGTGTGTGGGAGAGATCTTTTTGGGACCATTAGCTGCCTGAGAAGAGGGTTTGTGCCAGAATCTTCCACATAAATCCAATTCAGTTCAACATAAATTTAGTGATGCCCAACCATGTACCAGAGCCTGGGTCAGGCTCCCAGAGTACAAGATCTGTTCCTTAGGCTCAAGGTGCTGAGAACTTGCTAAATAGATCATCCCAAGGCAGCATGAGGCATCATTTCAAAATCCCTGTTCCTTTCAATGGCACCGCGTTAGATTTTGCAAACTCAAATGATGACAGGGCCTGGGCAGGAAATATAAATGTGTGGGCATGCCATGTGGGCACTTCCGGTGAGCAGGATATCGCATGCCCCATTGCAGGAGGGTGGTCACCATTTAGCTCCACTTGGTAGTTTCCCATGAGAGAATGACAGCCAACTGTGGTCAGGTCTTCCAGTGTTTCAGGAGAGGCTTGCAAGCAACACAGTTACACACCCCATCCCAATACACAGGGTGGTCCATGGGTTGCAGGTTTGAGACCTCTGCTTTACCAGCCAACATCCAAAATCTTTGCACAACCCACAAGGTACCTCCCGCACCATCAGCTCCCTTCTGCAACCCCTGCAAATGCACCTTGCCACTTTATTTTAGGAGCCATTGCCTGAACGTGCAACACACTTTCCTACCTCCATAGCATTGCATGGGCTATTTCTTCTGCCTGAAATACCTTCCCCACCCACAATCCTTTGCCTAGAAGACTTTAGTTTTAAAGCCTTCTCTGATCTCAATGCATTGAGTTAAGCACCTCACTGGCCAGAGTATTTAACACATTTTTATGATGCTATTCTTCAAGATCTTTATCACCCATTCACTGGGAGCCCCTGGAAAGCAGGGACTGTATCTCTTTACTCTAAACCTTGAGGACTTATCACAGGGCTGTCAAAGAGTATGCACTCCATCAATGTTTGTGGGATGAAAGAGTGATGGATGGATGGATGAACGGATGGATAGATGGATGGATGGACTCCCCAAGGCTCTCTCTGTGTGACATCCATCTGTTTGCTGTCATTTTCATGGTGTTCCCTTATATGTGTGATGACTGTTCACACCCCTTTCCTCTGCTTTTTTCTCTCTAAATCCAGTGTCTATGTAGCTTCTTGGGCACTCCTTTCTGTTACCTTCTATAATAGCTATTGAATCAAATTCCCCACTTACTGACTTGGGCGTAACACTTAAGTCAGTTTTCTCATCTGTGCAATGGGGACATCTTTCCAAAGCGCTGTTAAGAAGACTGAGTAATTTAATGTGCGAAATCATCTGTACCATGCTTGGCATGGAGTAGATGCTCAGAAATAGAATTCATTTCCCTATTGAATGTGATTGACAGTTTCACTCTTAGAACACTTTTCCCTTGTTGAAATGAGGAAAGATTAAGAGCTCCGAGAGTGAAACCAGACTTCATGGGGTTGAATTCCAGGTTTGCTGATTCCTAGTCTTGTGACTGTGGCTAGGTTACTTAAACACTCCATGCCTCAATGTTCTTTATCTGTAAAGTGGGGATGGTAATGCCTATCTCATATGATTCTTGTGGGAATTAAATACATTAACACAAATAAAGTGCTTAGAAGAGCACCTGGCACATGGTGATGCTCAAATGTTATTTTGGTTGTTCACCAACCCAACCTAAGTGAGGAGCATTTTGCCTTATTCATCAAGCCCACTCAGGCCAGCTTCCTTCGCTTTCTTTCCATTGCAAATAGTGACTCCCTAATGTGTTCAGGCACCTTGCCACAGGTTGCAGATGTCAGTAAACCTGAAGAACCAGTTTCTGCCCTCCTGGAGGCTCTAGCCTGGCAGAGAAGCCAGATAGATACTCAGAGAGAAGCTCCATGAAGGAATAAGACAGTAAGCTATGGGAGCACTTAGGAAGAGGGAAGAAATCTAATATAGAGGATCATGGAAGGCTTCCTGGAGAAAGCAGCATGTGTGCAGTGATGGGAGCGGGCAATAGGAGCCAGTCGAGTGACTGGGAAGCAAAGCATGCCAATAGGAGGGAACGAAATGTGCAAAGGCCAAGAAGCAAGAGACGGGATGGCTGTTGAGCAGGTAGAAGTTCAGCATAGAATAGAGGTCACAGACCGACTGCTTGTGGGGTGCATTCTTTGCAGGGATGGGTGGGGCTAGGAGACAGATGCATCTGTAAGATTTCTGAATTAGTTGCTGTATTTATAAACTGGAGTATTTCATATCCAGTCCTGGATTTGAGCTTCTTGTGAAAATCAGAAGGGAAGGCCATGCTAGACTCACATTTCCACCTATGGCTTCCGTCCAGTTCACATCCCCACGAGGCTTCTCTCTTTTATGTCATCTGCTCACCCTCACCCAAGAGAGAGTAGGGAGGGAGGCCTGGCTGGAGACAAGGTAGAGAAGTAACAGTCCCTGATTTCAATGGCTTTGCAGCCCTATTTGAGTTGGATCTGTTGGGAGGCAATAGGCAGTCATTGAGGGGCATCAAACATTAAGGGGTTTTACTAACAAGAAACTTATTATTTGCCAAGTGCAGTGGCTCATGCCTGTAATCCCAGCACTTTGGGAGGCTGAGGTGGGCAGATAGCTTGAGTCCAGGAGTTCAAGACCAGCCTGGGCAACACGGGGAGACTCCATCTCTACAAAAATACAAAAAAATTAGCCAGGTGCAGTGTCAAGTGCCTGCTGTCCCAGCTACTTGGGAGTCTGAGGTGGGTGTATTGTTTGAGCCCAAGAGGTCAAGGCTGCAGTGAGTGGAGATCGTGCCACTGCTCACCAGCCTGGGCAACAGAGCAAGACCCTGTTTCAAAAAAAAAAAAAGAAAGAAAGAAAGAAGAAGGAAATAAAGAAAGAAACTTATTATTTTTCCCCCAAACCACAGACATCCCTGAAGGGACACAAGGTGGGAGGTGAAGAACAGAGGATTCTGTATACCTCAGTGAAACTCTCAAATAGGGATTGGTATGGGAGCTTTTTCATTTATAAAATTTTACAAGAGACAGCAGAAATGCTGAGAGGTAACAACCTCCCACACAATGCACACCCTCCTCCGCGTCTTGGGTTAGCAGAGGGAAGGTCCCACGGGATCTGGGTGTCCAAGAACATTAGAAAATTCTTTGGTGCAAATGGCCCAGCTGCCCGCTCCCCAAGGCTACCTCCCTAATGGACATTCTGTTCCACCATGGGACCCACGTTCTCTTGGCAGATGCAGGGTTGAAGTGGCAGCATCTGTACCAGGAGACGTGGACAGGCAGGGAACAGGCCATGCCCAGAGGACAACGTCTAATTACCCAGGGGCCTCGGGAAGCAATTTTCTGTGGTTGGAGAAATTGTTTTTTGTACCTCCAGCCCAAGCACACTGCCAAATGACATGTAGGTCAAGGAGGCGTAATTATATGGAAATGGAAATGGTTTTATGTTTGGGAACTTCTAAAAACCCACCTCTGCACCCTGGGAGGAGGCACAGAGAAAGCGGCTTCCAACCTGCTCCAGCTGAGTTCAGCGGGTGAAGGTAGTTTGCTTCCTCATGACTCTGGAGGAGTTTGCTTCTTTTCTGGTTTCAGGACACGTGCCTGCGTGTCACAGAGAAAAAGAAGCAATGCCTTCTCGGCTCAGTGGTAACGAACGTGGGCGCTGGATCCAGAGCTGATACATACTTGCTGTGTGATGTTGGGCAAGTTACCTACCTTCTCTGTGCCTGTTTCCTCACCTCTAAAATGAGACTAGTATTGGGGTACATAATAAGCACCACTGGAATCTTGGCCCCTTTGCCAGTCTCCATCCCATTTTACTCACCCCTCCTGCCCACCATATGTGGGCTGAAAGAAACCACGGTCTTTCAAGCTCCCTAAACAAACCACACTCACTCCAGCCCCTGGGCCTTTGCCTACGCAGTTCTCTCCTCTTCTAACACTTCCCCCATCCACTCTGTCTGGATGACTCTTGTCCATCATTTATGAACCAGCTTGTCCAGCCACCAGTGATGATAGGTTAATGCCTCCAGCCTTTGCCTGTAATCTTGCCTATGACAAAACACACTAACTTCCTTTTTCCTCTGCGATACCGTTTCCAAGACAGGACAGAGAAAGCGTCAGTAGAAAAAGCCAGCAGTTCTCTGCCCCACCTTAGAAATAAGAGAACATGGAAATCATAATAGCAGAAGCAGCACTCATAGTGATGATGCTGCTGCTGCTGATGAGACACGATTCTATAACTTTTTCTTCCAGAAGGGAAGTAATCTTTATAATAAAAAATAATAGCGGCTGGGCGCGGTGGCTCACGCCTGTAATCCCAGCACTTTGGGAGGCCGAGGTGGGCGGATCACGAGGTCAGGAGATCCAGACCATCCTGGCTAACACGGTGAAACCCCGCCTCTCCTAAAAATACAACAAATTAGCCGGGCGTGGTGGCGGGCACCAGTAGTCCCAGCCACTCGGGAGGCTGAGGCAGGAGAATGGCGTGAACCGGGGAGGCGGAGCTTGGGAGATCGCGCCACTGCACTCAAGCCTGGGTGACAGAGCAAGACTCCATCTCAAAAAAAAAAAAAAAAGCTTCCATTTAACAATCTCTTATTATAAGCTAGAAATGGGAATAAGTGTTTTTAAAAATTATTAATTTTAAGTTCCAGAGTACATGTGCAGGATGTGCAGGTTTGTTACGTAGATAAATGGTGCGTCACGGTGGTTTGCTGCACCTATCAATCCATCACCTAGGTATTAAGCCCAGTATGCATTAGCTATTTTTCCCAAAGCTCTCTCTCCCTCAAGTGTTTTATAAGCAATAGTCATTGCAGCTCCTCTTGCTTTGAAGGTAGATGTTAATGGACTCTATTTAGAAGGGGATTTAGGATTGGGTTTAGAGACTTGCCCAAGGTTACATAGCTGGTAAGTTAAGAGCTGAAATTTGAAGCCAAGTCTGATCAACTCTAACGGATCACTTGTTAGACTTCTATAAGAGGGGGCATGGGGAACATTGTTTTCACTGACACCCAAATCAGATGCAGGACAGAACTTGTGCCCACCGGCCTGCTGGTCTACCCCTGACATGGGCATCATTGTTGGGTGCTCCCTACTCAAAGGTGCCCAGACCTTCCTAGCTGCCCCAGGAGGAAGAGGATCTTCCCTGCCTGCCCAGGGTTTCCTTGAATAAATAGGACACTCCTTGGATGGGCAAGGATGGGTTTCTTTCTTGGCAGAGGGAGCCGCAAGTGAAAAATCAAGGAAGTGTGAAAGCATGCTGTGTTTGCAGAACTGTAAAACGACAGGCTTGGCTGGCGTGTGGACTGCAGGGAAATGAGGGATGAGAATTCAAGAATCCAGTGGATAACCTCAGTGAAATTGCTTTGCAAACTCCCAAGGTTGTTGTGGGGACCTAAGGAGATAACGCATGTGAAGTGGTTTTGCAGAGTGGATAAGCATTAGACAAATGTTAATCATTACGAGATATTTCAGAGGTATCCTGATTGGTATCAAGAGCAAGATAGCAGAAAATTAAAATATCTGCTAATTTCTCTTGAATCCGCATTCTCATAAGCATTCATAGATGAAGAATTCTAATTTCATTGCTCTCATCTTCTTTTTTTTTTTTCAGATGAATAGATTGTAATAGATTTCAGAAGCTAATAAAAATTTAGCCAATTTCCTGGTCATTATCAATTACACAACCAGGTTTTGAGACGTGGAGTAATATTTTGTTGCCTGCCTGTAAGATCACATCCAGAAAATTATTCATCAAACTACCTCTCAGATGCATTCTGTCTTGTTTCTTTGTGTGCTCATCCTGACTCTGGGGGCTTTGGGAGGGCAGATGTGTGTCAGTCTTGTTTAGGGCCACATTCTTAGTCCCTAGCACAGTACCTGACACACAGTAGGAACTTGACAAATATTTGTCTAAGGCAGCATCTGAGTCTAGATGTCATCATTTTATACTTGAGTCACTGCAGGGGCTTCTTAGCTCTGTGTTACCAAAGTCATTCTGTTTGTGCTGAAAAACTCAGTATGTGTTCCTTATTCTAGTAAAATACTATTGGTAAAATTAACTAATCCCAAATACTAATGCTGCTAGTAAAGAATCCAAACCTGCAGGTTAGCCAAAGTCATCAGGTGGGAAACTAAAATAAGAGGTGTAGAAATTGGAGAAGGCATAATTGTTCTTATCAGTTTTTTTTTTTCCAGACAATATAATTGTGTGCTTAGAAAACCCAAGAAAATTAACTGAAAAGTTATTAGAGCCAGCAAGAGCATCATCAAGAGGACCAAAGCCCAGACGTATCAGTAATGGCTAGTTAGAATATAGAATGGGAAGAAGATTCCGTTTTACAACGTTCTTTTTTTTTTAACTTTTATTTTAAGTTCAGGGGTACATCATGTGCAGGTTTGTTACATAGGTAAACTTGTCCTGGAGGGTTTATTGTACAGATTTCCTTCCTTCCTTCTTCCTTCCTTCCTTCCTTCCTCCCTCTTCCTTTCTTTCCTTCTTTTTTCTTTTTATTTTGGCAGAGTTTTGCTCTGTCACCCAGGCTGCAGTGCAGTAGTGCGATCTTGGCTCACTGCAGCCTCGACCTCCCAGGTTCCAGTGATTCTCGTGCCTCTGCTTCCCAAGTAGCTGGGACTACAGGTGCACACCATCATGCCAGGCTAATTTTTGTATTTTTAGTAGAGATGGGGTTTTGCCATGTTGGCTAGGCTGGTCTCGAACTCCTGGCCTCAAGTGATCCACCCACCTCAGCTTCCCAAAGTGCTGGGATTACAGGTGTGAACCACTGTGCCCAGCCCCAGATTATTTCATCACCCAGGTATTAAGCCTAGTATCTATCAGTTATTTTTTTTCTGATCCCCTACCTCCTCCCACCCTCCACCGTCTGATAGGCCCAATGTGTGTTGTTCCCTTGTATGTGTCAATGTGTTCTCATAATTTAGCTTCCACTTAGAAGCATGAACATGCAGTATTTGGTTTTCTGTTCCTGTGTTAGTTTGCTAAGGATGATGGTCTTTTCTTTGCAGGGACATGGATAGAGCTGAAGGCCATTATCTTTAGCAAACTAACACAGGAAGATTTACAACATTATTAATGCCCATAACCAAGGCAGGCTACATTTGGGGCAGAGGTGGGGAGAATGGTCACCTTTCCAACTCTGGGCTGTGCACTCTGTCTCCTGGGTCCCCAGACAGCTCTACATATGTCCGGAGTCTCACAAGATCTCCCACACAACTGTTCTACCAATTTCTGGCTCTTTCCAGTGTAAAAAACAGAGCTCAAACCTAGTCCACCCGATGGAGAATTAGATGCCACCCTCATTAACAATTTCAACCTCCTTTCAGAAAAAACAGTTACTACCTGGTTTGTGGAGATGTATCTTTATCTCCAACATGGACAGCCTTTACCATTCTATCTCCCAGAAGTGGGTGTCTCCACCCCACATCTCCATTTCAGAAGACAGAGATGACTGCTTTCATGGAAATACTCACTTGACTGAGCTTAGAACCAGAGAACTTCCTTCCCAAAAACACTATTAAAATCCTCACCTCTTGCCGCTGTTCAGCAGATGGGAGCATAGGCTCTAGCACCTGCTGCCTGGGTCTGAAGCTTGGCTTTGAGCCATTTAGTAATTTGCCATGTGCCTCAGTTTTCTCATCTGTAGAATTGGGTAATAGCATCTACTTCATAGGGTTAGAAGGATTAAATTAGTTAATTCAGGTAATGTGTTTAAAACAGTATCTAACATGTAGTAGGAACTCAATGTTAATTTTAACTATGGTAAATGACTATTAGTTTAGTGTCTATCATAAAGAAGTCAGCAATCTTACTATCCATGTTTCAGCCATGGATACTGTGAAATGAGGGGATGTGGTGGTGGAAAGGCATGAATGCAGTATTTGGCTACTGACTTGGGGCTATGCCATCATGCTGTCAACCCCACCCTTTCCCCAGCACTGCTCCCCAACCCAAGACTGGGGTTGATGAGCTTCCATTTTTGTTCCATGGTATGCTGGGCTTTCTTTTTGCACGTCATACATCAGTCTTCACAGTAATGTGATTTACTTCTGCATCTCTCCAACTAGACTCTGCCCTTCCTGAGGGTAGGAACCCAGATTTATTTTCCTTTATGGCACAAGTAGCTATCACAATTTACAAACGAAAGAACAATGGAAGGTCCCAGTAGGATTCAGAGGGGTAACTTCATTTTGGAGGTCATTCCTGCCTTTGACAGCTTTGTGTCTATATGGGAATGATGAGCCCTGGGTTTGAGATCCAAGAATGTAGCTTCGGTTTTCAGTCCTGCCTACCCGTAGTAGCTTGGGAGAGTCTCTTAACTCTTCTGAGCTTTCAGTTTCATAATGGATGAGCTCTTTGTAAATTTTAATTCACTTTGCACATTGGTCAGCACTTTATTAACATTAATGGTTATAATTGATGACTCTTTTTAAGCATTAGGAATAGAGTCTGGCACATAATAGGTGGTCAATAAACATTCACTATGTGAACTGGATTTGGAATTCTAAGTACTCGACTGAAATTGAGCCCACTTAAGGCTGAGAAAGCAAACCTTGGAAGGAAGGATCTGGAAGAGGAGAAATTTTTTTCAGGGGGATTGTTTCATCACAATATTCTTTTTAAGGAAGAGGGAACTCAATTTCCATTTTGTAAGTTAGGTGTGGGGTGTAGAGGAAATTCACCTACCTGTCCTTGATTAAAAATAATCTCAAGTAATTAAAACATCTACTTGGGGAGAGGGTAATGGGGATGATGTCGGGAGAATCTTCAATCAGGAAGGAAGACACAGTTCCTTGAAACAGCTGCAAAGACCATGCTGGGAGAATGAACAAGGCAGAGTGGTCTGTAGACACAGCATTTTTCTTGTCCTGTGCCCTGAATACCAATGTCTGCAGTGGGCCCAATGGCAAGCACAGAACATAAGCAGTGACGTGCAGGCCGGTCGCATCTCAGCTCTGCTGCTCACTGGCTGAATTACCTTGGGCAGGCCACTTTACTTCTCGAAGCCTTAGTTTCCCCATATGCCAAATGAGCATGATGGAAGTATCAATCTCACAGGCACTGCTGTAAAGATTAAATAAGGCAACATGGAGCAACATTTTGGTCTAGTGCTTGGCTCAGAGTAAGTACTCAAATGGTAATGGTGGTGATGATGGTGATGAAGATAGTTATGATCAAGACGTTGTCTTCAGTATTCTTGGAGGCTAGTATGAAGATTACATTTATGGGATTAAGAAGGTAGTCATCTATCCATCTATACCATCCATCCATCCATCCATCCATCCGTCCATCCATCCATCCCTTCCTCCCTCCCTCCCTTCCTCCATCCATCCTTCCATCCATCCCTCCACCCATCCCTCCATCCACTTATAAATCCACCCATCCATCCATCCAATACCTACCAGGCCCCCTACCATGTGCCAAGGCCCACCAGAGGACCCTGGAGTCAAGAGTTGACTTAGACTCCATGCCTACTGTCAAGAGTACACAGTCTAATTCAGCATCTTTTCAATGTTCCTATGCAGAGATAAGCCCTTCCTCCAGTCCCCACAGGAATTTAAATGCCCTCACCCCTCACCACCCTCATCTCATTGTAGAACTAGTCTAATTTTATTATGATGATCAATTTTCCTTTCTACCTAACTAGAGCGTGACTTCTTTTAGGGCAAAAGCCATTTCATGTGCATCTCTGTCTTTCCCTGCATCATTATCCCCTGTAGTCCCTGGCACAAAGTAGGGCCTCATGAAATGAAACCTGGTCCTTGATAATGCAGCCTAAAGGGCCCAGGGGAGGATCTACTAGGAAAGCCTTGTCAGTTTTTAAAAAAGGAACTCTTCTATTGGTTAAATGCCTACTATGTGCCAAGCACTCTATGTATATTACATTACATATTCCCTTCAATAAGATGGGCACTCATCCTTATTTTACGGATATGTAGAGGTTCAGAGGATTTAACTATACCCAGCAAAAACTCCAGGTGGAACTCAAATCCAGGTCTTACAGCCCTTCTTTCTTGCAGGAAAGGCATTTAGAATGGCTGGAGAGGAGATAAGACAAATAATGTGATGGTGTAAATGGATGTGGAGTGTGTGTGTGTGTGTGTGTGTGTGTATTGTATACATAGTCAAATTTGAGGAAGGCGTGAACATAGCAAACTCAAATTCCTACAGGGGCAAGGCAGGGAACAGAAGCGAGAGAAACAGATCAGGTGTAAGAAAAATCTTTGTGTTGGTGGAGGGAATAGGGAGAGGCAGAGCCATCCTTCTCTGGCCTGAAGGTCTGTTTTGAGAAGATCCAAGAAGCAACCACCTTTTTCTTCCCTCTTCTGCGAGCTATGTCTGCCATTTTCAAGATGTCCTTGGAATCTCCACCTTGGACTTGGGGTCATTATTCCCTTTTCCCTGCTAGACACTATGTTATCAGTACTGAATGCAGTCACAGTGACGATGTCCCTCCGTCACGCTGGCCAGAACTCAATCCCTTTTATTTGTCAAACGACAGTGCTGAAGGTGACCTTTTTCTTCTAGTTTGCCTCTGTCGGACAGCAGCCCAGCTCAGGCCCTTGTTTTCTCTCTGTTCAGGATTCTTACAGCTGACAGCTAGGTCATTAGCAGGATTCGCCCACTGCTACGACTGGGAGGATCACTCTCCACTGTGCCGCGGGCGCTTCCCACAGCCCTCGAGAGCCCGGCACAGACGTCCTTGGTGTCTGAGAACATCATTATCCTGCTCATTTCTCTGGGCTGTCTATATTTTATGTGGAGTCTGAAGGTGATGGTGGCTGGGGTGGGAGGAGGATGAGAGAGGGTGGGTGTGAACATGGCCTCTGAGCCGCACTCCTATTGGGTGCCAGGCCCTGTTCTGGGCACCCTGGTGATGATCCTCTCTCTGCCCAGCACCCATTAGAACCTCCCTCTCTTTGCTAAGCCCGTCTCATCTCTACCATTTACTCTTTTCATAGCAGCCAGAGAGACTTTTGGAAAACCCAAATTGGATCATGTCAACCCTTCAAAGGGCTCCTGTGCCTTCTTGCAGCATGTAAGAAGTCAAATCTCAATTCCCCACCATCACCCACCTAGCCCAGCCTGTGCCTATCTCTTCCCCATCATCTCCTGCCCCTTCTCCCACTTTTTCATTGTACTCTAACCTCACTGGTCTTTCGTGCCAGCTGATTCTCACCTCTGGGTTACCCTGGCTGTTCCCTCTACGCCTACCCTGGCTGATTCCACCTCATTATTTAGGTCTCTGCTCAAACATCACCACTTTGGAACACCCTTTCTTGACCACCCAACCTAATGGAGCTCCCTGTCACCTTACCTCGTATGGTCTCCATGGCACATGTCAGTATCTGAAATGGTTTTGTGTGTGCATTGGCTTCCCTGCCTGCTGCTTGTCTCCTTGCTCATGCAGGGACTTCTTCGTATTTTTCTTTGCTTTCTCCCACTGCCTAGAAGAGTGCTTGGCACATGACAGGGGCTCATGGATATGAGCTAAGTGAACACAGTTGATCTTATCACCCTCATTCCCAGATGAGGAAACTGAGGCTCGAAGAAGGGGAAATTACCTGCTCACAGTCTTGCAGCTAACAACGTTGCAGCACTGAACTCAAGCCCAGGTGTGCCCCATCCCTAAACCGTTGTTGCCTCCATGACGTCCTCTGCCGGGAAGAAGGGGTGTTCTGGAAGGGTCGTGGGTGCAGAGGGAGGACACAAGGTGGAACCACGGTCTGTGAGGGTCAGGAGTGTGGGTCCCTGATTCCTTTAAGGGATGCCCACCCCGACCCTCCTTATGACTCCAACCCTCTTGTGCTCTCTCTCCAACCACTGCCCATTCCACCACATTCCAGGGAAGACACTGCTTTCTTTCAGGAGGCAGATGATGGTTCTTGTCAGCAGCTCCGTGGAGCTGAACTGTGGTGAGGCTGGAATGCTAAAAGTTAAAAGCTGCAGCGAGAACAGAACCATGGCCATTCTACACCTTTGGCTGCAGGGTGTGTGTGTGTGTGTGCGTGTGTGTGTGTGGTGCATGTGTGCATCTGTGTGTCTATATGTGTATCTCTGTGTGTGGTGTGTATCTGCATGTATGTCTCTGTGTGTGCATCTCTATGTGTGCAAGTTGATGTGTACTTCTGTGTGTCTATATGTGTGTGTGTCTCTGCATGTGATGTGTGTCTGCATGTGTGTCTGTGTGGGTCTGCATCTGTGTGTCTGTGTATGCACGCCTGTGTGTGTGTCTGTGTGTCTGGGTAGAGTCCCCCAGTTGAAATGATGAGGCTGATCGCTTGCTTTGCACTTAGCTGAAAATAGGAAATGTCTGTGGCTGAAAAGCAATTCCCCCAGCTCTACCCATGTTTGTCAAACAAGTGGAGAAAGAAAAGAAGTCATTAGTGGACACATCAGTTCATACTCTGTATAATGTATTGTCCCAACTCAGGGTCAATTTACCTGCTTTTACAAGGTGCTGGCCTCCTGTTTCACTCTGCTTGCATCTGGCACCATGCATCCCCCTTCTCCTTTTTTGGTCACTCCAGACACTCTGACCCTCTTGCTGTCGTGATATGTGTGTACCAGTCCCCTCCTGCCTCAGGGTTATGGCACAGCCTGCTCCCTTTGTCCCCTCCGTTCCACTCTTTCCTTCCATGTCCTTCAGATTTCGATCACTCCTTCTTGAGGGGAGCTTTCCTTGAGTTCTCTTGTCTGGGTCAATTTCTTGAGTGATAGGCTCTCACAGCACCAAGTAGCTCTCTTTCATGACTTTTTCTCAGTTGAACTTTTACACTTATTTGGGTTTCTGATCATGCTAGTCTTTCCTCTGTGTGTGTGTGTGTGTGTGTGTTGTGTGTAAATGCCACAAGGGCAAAAAAATGGGTCTTTTTTGGTTCACCACGTACCTAGCATGGTGCCTGGTACCTAGCAATGCCAGGCCCAGAATGGATGGATGGATGGATGGATGGATGGATGGATGGATGGATGGATGTGTGGATGGATGGATGGATGGATGGATGGATGGATGGATGGATGGCTGTGTGGACAGATGGATGGACAGATGCATGGACATATGGATGGATAGATGCGTGGATGGATGGATGGGTGGATGGATAGATGAATCAATGGGTGGATGGATGGATGGATAGATGGATAGGTGGATGGATAGATGAATGGATGGGGGGATGGATGGATGGATGGATGTGTGGGCGGATGTATGTATGTATGTGTGAATGGATGGCTGGACAAATGAGTCAATGAATGCAGGTGCATTGTCTGATTGTGCTCTCTGATTTCTCTTCTCATCCTTTTTGCCATGGGGCAAAATGAAAGCACACATTTGAGGTTAAAATTCCTAGCTTCCTCTCAATGCAGTCCAGCAGGTCATGACCATCACTTAAGAAAAGCACAAGCCATTCTGCTTCCACTTTATAGAAAAACAAAGATCCTGGGTCACTCATACAGTAAAATTCCCTCCCTTTGAATTGTACTAGGATCCAAGGTAGTCACCTCCTCCCCACGCCTGACCCTACCATCTTTACATTTCCCTTGGTAGAGGTGGAGGCTGATCACTTGCTTTGCACTGCTGCACTGCTGCAATGGCCAAATTGCAGCAATGGCCAAAGCACACTGGATTTGGAATCCCAGAGATTTGGGGTCAAGGCCCAGCTCTGCTGCTAATTAGCTATGTATGCATCCCCGGGGAATTTCCTTTCCCTCTAAGCCTCAGTTTTTCCATCAAGGGCATTGTAGGCCAGGTGCAGGGTCTTGTGCCTGTAATCCCAGAGCTTTGGGAGACTGAAGCAGGAGAATTACTTAAGGCCAGGAGTTTGAGATCAGCCTGGGCAACATAGTGAGACCCCATCTCTAAATTAAATATACTTTTAAAAAAGGACATTGTATTAGAACAGTGTTCCCCAGACTTTAGTGACTGTCCTACTGCAAAGGATTGAATGTGTTCCCCACTGAACTTGTATTTTGAAGTCCTAACCCCCAATGTGATGGGACTAGGAAATGGGGTTTTTGGGAATTGATTAGGTCCTGAGATGGAGCCCTCATGAATGGAATTAGCGACTTTATAAAAGGGACTCCAGAGGGCTGTCTTCCTCTCTTTCTCCCGTGAGAGGATACAACAAGTCAGGAATCTGCAACCTGGAAGAGGGCCCTTCCCAGAGCCTGATTGCTCTGGCACCCTGATCTCAGACTTGAGGGGAAAGAAAAGAAGTCACTAGTTTATAAAGCCACTAATTTATAAAGCCTTCAGAACTGTGAGATGTAAATTTCTGTGGTACATAAGCCCCCTAGTCTATGGTACTTTGTTACAGCAGCCCAAACAGACCAAGACACCCACCAACTTTGTGATTTTTGCTGCATTCTTGTGTCACGAGTACTATCATTTATTTAGCATTTTGTTTGAAAGTGATTTGCCTTTTTTTCCTTAAATTTATACTTTATATAATCGTGCTGCCCAATATAAATGTGAGTCATATATACAATTAAAATTTTCCTAGTAGTCACGTTAATAAAGTAAAAAGAAGCAGGAGAAGATAATTTTAACAATATATTTTATTTAACTATATACATCCAAAATGTAATTTATGTAAACTATTGATGAGATATTTAACTTTTTTTCATGCTAAATCTTCAAAATCTGCTGTGTATTTCATGCTTCCAGCACACATATCCCTATGGATGACAAATTTTCATCGGAAGTCTCTGACCTCTATTTAGATGTCATAAAATGTGTGATTGAAAGAGTAGATTCACATACTCAAGTTGTTCCAAGTATACAGTTATTTTCTACTAACTGAATTGAGTATGTGATTTTAGTTGTAAATTAATTGAAATGAAATGAAATAAAAAATTCAGTTCCACAGTTGCACTAGTCAAATATCAAATGCTCAGTAGCTACATGCAGCTAGTGGTTATTCTATTGGACGGCACGTGTATATAACCACCCCAGATCACAAATCAGCCTCCCTTCCCTGTTGTAAACAGGAGGTAGTCTTAAATAGAAATACAATGACCATACAAGAGTCACATTAAACTCCAGCTAGGTGCTGCTGCCTGCCAAGGTCTGGGCCCAAGGCCTGCTCTGTGTCTATTCAAAAGAGAGATTTAAACTGAGTGCAGTGGCATGTGTCTGTAGTCCTAGCTACTCAGGAGGCTGAGATGGGAGGATCCCTTGAGCCCAGGAGTTCAAGGCTGCAGTGAGCTATGAGTGAGCACTTCACTGCACTTCAGCCTGGGTGATAGAGTGAGCCCCTGTCTAAAAAATAAAAGAGGGAGATTTACCACATATTTAAAAAGGTGTTAAACATACACTAGCACCAAGCTGAAACTTTCCCTTTGATGGAATCAGAAGGACTAAGACAGCTGAAAAGAGATTCAATGCTACAGACTTGTACCACCTAAAATAATCCTATATACCAACAAAACAAACCAAAAATATCTAAGCAATCGTTCTGAGCTCTAAAATCTCCCAGGCTCTTTTTCCTTTACTCCTTTTGCTTCCTCCTAAGAGACTGCTAGCAGTGTGATTTCGTGAAAAGTGAACTGAGACTTGGGAAAAGTAAGTTCTGGTTAAGACTCTGCTATTCTGTATTAGTACGTTCTCACACTGCTATAAAGACATACCTGAGACTAGGTAATTTATAAAGGAAAGAGATTTAATTGACTCACAGTTCCACATGGCTGGGGAGGCCTCAGGAAACTTACAATCATGGTGGAAGGTGAAGGGGAAGAAAAGACCTGCTTCACATGGTGGCAGGAAAGAGAGAGCTAGCAAAAGCAGGGAAAACTGCCTTATAAAATCATTGGATCTCATGAGAACTCACTTTCTATCATGAGAAAAGATTAAGCAACCCTTAATCTAATAATTTTCCACCAGGTCACTCCCTAATCCCTTGGGGATTACAATTCAAGATGAGATTTGGATGGGGACACAAACCTCAACCATATCACATTCCTAGCTCTGCAGATTCCTCATTTCATAAAATGGGGATGTTTGGACTCATAGAAAACACAGCGGCCATTACTGCTTATACCTGTAATCCCAGTACTTTGGGAAGCCGAGGTGGGTGGATCACTTGAGACCAGGAGCTCAAGACCAGCCTGGCCAACATGGTGAAACCCTGTCTCTACTAAAAACACAAAAAATTAGCTGGGGATGGTGGCTGTAATTCCAGCTACTCGGGAGGCTGAGGCAGGAGGATCACTTGAACCTGGGAGGTGGAGCTTTCAGTGAGCTGAAATTGGACCACTGCACTCCACACTCCAGCCTGGGCGACACACTGGGACTCTGCCTCAAACAACAACAACAAAAGTTAAATAAGTTAATGCATTTGAAGTGTTTTGAAGCATTCTTAGCACATAGTAATGGCTAGTACCAGACATTGTGCCCCAGGCAACCCTGAATTATCTCATTTCAGCTACACCATGAACCCTGTGAAAAAGGGATTCTTATACCCATTCTGCAGATAGGAACACTGAGGCTCCGAAAGGGTGAAGCCACTTGCCAGAGCCCCATTAACAGGAAACAACGAGGCGGGAATTTGAACCCAGGTCTGAGGAGTACAGAGCCTACATCCTGATCCACCATGCTGGCAGGTTCTAAGGACACTTCCTGTTCCAAAACAAAATGGTGGATTTGTGTTTCAAGATGTTGTTAGCATGCAATGTGTGGTATTTTTTGGAGCTCTTTATTCCAGCTTATCCCAAATCCCTGGTTTCATGGGTTGGCATGCTTTTCCACTTTAGCCACATATTTCTCTGTGTCTCCATCCCTGTTTTTCCTCGATCCTCCCTCTAGATTCTTCTTCTTTTTTTTTCTCCACTTGCTGTGACCCCATTGGTGTTTTTTGGTGCTTGTTGCAGCTTTCCCAACCCCTGAGTTTGTGAATTGGCAGCGTGCTGGGCCATATCAAGCCTGCAGATATGTTTGGTTTGGCTCACAAAGTGCTGGCTCACATAGTGTTTTTGAAATTTTTGAATTAGTTGCCAACATGTGAAACAATGGACATTTCATATAAAAATCTGGATTTCTAGATTTTTTGAACAACTTGGCAACACTAAACCACTGGCTGGAAAGCTGAGTGGCAGTGGCACTTTGTAGCTCCCTCAGTCCCTATCTTTCCTGTTGTGGTCACTCCCACTTCTCTCGACCTGGTCTGAATGTTGGTTATCATTGAGGAGCGTTTGCTGCTGTTTTCTTACATGAAAGCTGAGAAGCAGTACTGAATACTGCCCTGTCATTTCTTCACTGTGTGACCTTGGGGAAGTGTCTCAAAGTTCTCACCTGAAAAATGGGTATAATACATGCCTCAAAGAATCGTCAAAGAATCATAAGTTAAATGAGGCCAGGCGCATTGGTCACACCTGTAATCCCAGCACTTTGGGAAGCTGAGATGGGTGGATCATTTGAGGCCAGGAGTTTGCGAACTGCCTGGCCAAAATGGTGAAACCCCATCTCTACTAAAAACACAAAAAAATGAGCAGGGCATGGTGGTGCATGGCTGTAATTCCAGCTGCCCGGGAGGCTGAGGCAGAAGAATCGCTTGAACCTGGGAGATGGAGCTTGCAGTGAGCTGAAATCGCGCCACTGCACTCCACACTCCAGCACGGGTGACACAGTGAGACTATCTCAAAAAAAAAAAAAAAAAAGTTAAATAAGTTAATGCGTTTGAAGTGTTTTGAAGAATGCTTAGTACATAGTAAGCACTATAAGTGTGTCAGCAATTATTAAGAGAAATAGTTTGTTTTTTTGTTTGTTTTGTACATCTGTCTCTATAACTGAGAAAAAATAGAGATGAGGAGAGCCACAGCCTTTCAGAAAAACCGCAGAGAAGCATGATTCTTTGGGTAAGTGAAGCATTTCTTAAAAACTAGACTACTTTGTTCATTTACATTATCTGACTGCTCCGTTTAAATATTTGAATTGAAGACACCTGGCCACTATCATTTCATGGTGCCCTCTGCAGGGCTGGCATTGGCTATCACCATTTGCCAATATGTTTCAGATCCACACGGAGGTTCAGTGGCAGGACCCTTTCTGTTCATGATTCTGACTGCATTATCCAGGACAACCTTGCTGGTGGTGTTTGTCGGTCTCTGCCAGCTGTAGCTGAAGGCCATTTCATGTTCTGCACTGATATTATTTCTAGGAGTTTCACTGAATCACAGGCAACTCTTTTAGGGGGACAAATTCCCTAGGCTTATGATGGAATTGATTGCTTAATCTATTGGATCATTCTCTTGTAGTTTGCCAGGGCATGTTGTTTCATTTCCACTTTGAGTGAAATTGTGGATTCATGGAAAAGACCTATGCACAGAGTGATGTGTGGCTACAGGCCATTTATAAGGCTTGAGCACGTGGACATGTTAGACAATAAAACAATGCGAGTTACTATTTGCCGAGCTCCTACAATGTGTGAGGCACTGTGAGAAGCCTTTGCATATTTTATTTCTAATCGTCACAGCAACCAATCCAGGGCACAGAAGGTTAATAGCATTTATTGAACTCTTACTCTATGTGAGAGTGAACACGTGCCGAGAATAGTGCTAAGCATTCTTGTAATTTCATTTAATCCTCAAAACAGCCCAATGAGAGAAGTATTGTTATTCCATCTCACAGCTGAAGAAACTGAGGCTCAGAGAAGGTGAGAAATTTGCCCATGGTCACAGATTAGCAGTCAGGGGCACAGGATTCAAACCCAGTCAGTTTGACTTCAGAGACCACTGGGCTTAACTGCTAAACTCAACTGCCCACTTTCTTGCAGATGGGAAAACCGGGGCTCAGAGAGGTGAAGTGTTATACCTGCGATCACACAGCAAACATGGTTTAGAAACAGAATTTAAATCCACATCCAGTTCCAAAGCAATGTATTTTACACTCAATCTCACAAAGCAAAACTAACATGATCGTTACAGAAACTAAGCAGGAGCGAAAACTACAAAAATGCTGTACTGGATCCCAGCCCAAAGCCAGCCCAGGCAGCCTCCAGCATAGCTACATCATTGGTCTATGCTCATGTCCTGTCCATGGGGCCATGTCTCCAACTATAGCAACACAGCAGAACCTGGCTCTCCTGGGCCTTTGAGAGACCCATTAATAATAACTCGGCCAAGGTCACACAGTGAGTTATTGCCAGATCAAACCTGGAATGATGAAGTGCTCTTTTTCTCACTGCTATAACAGGAGTCCTATGGTCAAATGTGCCTAAGGACGAGTCATGCAGTATACAAAGGTCAATTAGGCACGCCATTAGAGACTATTCAGAATTGGAGTGCTGGCTGGGCACAGTGGCTCTTGCCTGTAATCCCAGCACTTTGGGAGGCTGAGGCAGGTGGATCAGCTGAGGTCGGGAGTTTGAGACCAGCCTGACCAATGTGGAGAAACCCCGTCTCTACTAAAAATACAAAATTAGCCAGGCATGGTGGCGCATGCCTGTAATCCCAGCTACTTGGGAGGCTGAGGAAGAAGAATCGCTTGAATCCAGGAGGCAGAAGTTGCGGTGAGCCGAGATTGCACCATTGCACTCCAGCCTGGGCAACTAGAGCAAAACTCCATCTCAAAAAAAAAAAAAAAAAAAAGCATTGGAGTGCCTATGTGCTTTTGAAAGGGGCAGTCAACCAAGAAACTATGATTCAAATACACAATAGAATGCAATACAGCTGTATAAAAGAATGAGAAAGCCATCGTGGATGATTAATATATTAAGTGGAAAAAGAGTAAATGTGGGACAGTGTGTATAATGTGCTCATTTTAGGGACAGTGAAAAAAAAGGGAGAGTTGAAATCCATAATTGATATTTTCTCGGATATGCATGAAGATACCCTGAAAGAATACATAAGAAACTAAAATACTAATAACAGTGGTTACCTCTGTGATGGTGGGTTTGAGAAGTGGTGAACAGGAGAAAGTGATGGAAGGGAGACTTTCCAATGTGTGCCTGTTTATATTTTTAGGCTTTGAGTCACATGAATATCATTATCTATTTAATGCAAAAAAAAAAAAAAAAAAAAAAGAAAGGAGAAATAAAATAAAGCAAGCAGCTATTCCTCAGCTCCAGAAAATTGCTGTCTTGTGGGCATGTGAATCTAATGTGAATTCTTCTGGTGTTTTTAAGGGAACTTGGAAATCTATTTTTTAAAATTTCCAGTTTTTAATTTCAAATTATTCACTGGTAGTATATAAAAATACAATAGGTTTTTACATACTAACCATGTATCTTGCAAACACGCTGAACTCATTTATTAGTTCTTAGGAGTTTTTGTGGTGTGGAGTCTTTGTGATTTTCTAGGAAGGCCATTGTATCATCTGTGAACCGAAACTACTGAATTCCTTCCTTTCTGTATAAATTTTATTTCTTTTTCTTGCCTTATTGCACTGGCTAGGACTTCTTCCAGTATGATGTTTAATAGGAGTGGTGAGAGCAGTCATCCTTGCCTTGTTCTAGATCTTAGGGAAAAAGCATTCAGTTTTTTCATCATTAAATGTGTTGTAAGACATAAGTTATTTATAGATGCCCTTTATCAAGTTAAAGAAGTTATTTTTCTTTTCCTAGTTTGATGAGTTTTTATCACAAATCGATGTTAAATTTTGTCAAGTGCTTTTTCTGCATCTATTGAGATGGATCACATGCCTTAAAATTTTTTTTTTTTTTAGTTTGTTAATATGATGAGTTATACTGAGTGATTTTCACATGTCGAACCAGTGTTGTATTCCTGGGATAAACTCAAGTTGATTCTGACATGTTATTCCTCTTATATATTGCTGGATTAGATTTGCTAATATTTTGTTGATGATTTTTGTGTCTATGTTCATGAGGAACATTGGGTTGTAGTTTTCTTTTTTTGTAATGTCTTTGTCCGGTTTTGATAAAGCTGGCGTCACAAAGTGAGTTGGGATTTTTTCCTAATTTTTAAATGATGAAAAAATAACGTATAGAGTGCTTACCATATTCCAGGCATTGTGCTCAGTGCTTAGCCCATTTAATCTTCACAGCAACCCTATGAACTGTAGACTATTCTTATAATCACTCCCAGTTAAAGTCACTTGCCCAAGGTCATATAACTTGTAAGCAGCACAGCCAGGACTCAGACCCCAGAGGTCCAGCTCCAGAGTGTGTCCTTTTAACCTGTTTATTCCATTTTCTCTCATTAAAGATGTTTACAAGGTAAAGAAAACATATCTGCAGGCCTCAGTCCAGCTGACAGATCACCAGTTTTCTACTTCTAGTTGACAACAATGGTAACTACCATGCGTCAGGCTTATTTACTATCTGCCAGGCTACAGACTCATCATCTGCCTTCATCTTGCACCAACTCTCAAAGGCACATGTTACAGATGTTATCATTCTCACTTGGCAGTGGTGGAAATGCACCCTTCTGCTGGGCGGCATGCAGTTTCAAGCTATCATCTCTTTCCTCACCTTGTCTTTCTGCACATCCCCGGCACTCTTTAGAAGGTAATTTTTTTTAAAATCTCTCAAATCTCAGTTTAATTTCACACTGCTCCTTCCTTATCAAGCTGGCCCACCCATCCTCCCTCTCACTGTCTTCCCCCAGGGGCTCAAGTTCATCATTTTCTCCTGCATTGCTGTCTCTTTTGTACTGTCTCATTCCAGTTGGTCCAATGAGTGTCCCAAATCCTTGCTTTTTGGCTCTGCTGACTTATTTTGTGTGTCTCGAGAAGTGAGAAACGTCTTTCTTACTTAAAAAGGAGGAGGAAAGGGGGAAAGAGATGGAGTTTTAGGAATAGGTGGGACACCGATTTTCTCCACAGAGCACAGAAAGGAGGGACAGAGGTTAGTTCAAACAACTGCCTGGCATTAATGAAGGTGAAGCCATACAACAAAATTGCACTGTTTGCCTTATTGCACTGTTTAATAAGGCAGCATGTTTGCATGCTGGCTTGACTGTGCGACAGTAGATAAGATGCTTCGTTTTTCTGAGTCTCAGTTTGTTCATTGTAAAATGAGTTCAAAGACAGGTATAGGTCGCAGAGGTGTGGCAGGGATTAAGTGTAATAATATAGGTGACAGAGATCCAGTGTGGAGAAGGCACTGAGTGAGGAATAAGTGCTTTTCTTGGACAAGGCACTGTGCTAAGCCATTTTTACATAGATGATCTTATTTCATATATACCACCTGTGTGGGTAAGAGGTACTACTGTTGCCCCCATTTTGCAGATGGGGAAAATTATGATGAAGAGAGGTGAAGAGTTCTTAAGTGGCAAAGCTGTACCCATATTTCACATTAGAATTTCTTCGATCCTACACCAACCAGTTAAAAATTAGACTGTCTGGGGCAATCCCCTAGCTCTTCCTCCCAACCTAGAGACCGAAGGTAGTCAGAGACATCCACCACTTTCCTGTGATACTAGCTCTGCTGTTGCTAAACATTCAGGCGCTCCCCATCCATCCCTCAGTTCCCACCCATGTCTCCAACAACTACTGCGAGAATTTGGGAAACTTGGGGTGAGTCCACTGCCAGGAATAGTGATTCAATTAAAATCTCAGTTTTCAACAATATGAGCAAGAGCTGTGGTCTGTTACTCCACACCCAGCAAAGCTGCGTCTCCCAGTCAGTGGTGGAGTAATGAGAGTTTGCTAATTGCTGGTGGCTGGGGAAGGGAGGTGATGGGTGGGGACCACTGTGGTGAGCTCAACACGCAGAGTTACATGCTGACCTGAATGCTTTCTTCTGTGTATCTCAGTCCCTCCTCTGGTCACTGGTGGGGCTGAGCAAGCAGACCGCCCTCCTTACAACTTGATCGGCTTCATGATATCTATGACCACAGCAGTGCAGTGTCAATAAATGAATGTCAGGCACCAAGGCGAGCATTTCGCTAGTGCCATCATCTGCAGCAACATCCTTACTTCTCAACACCACTCCAGGGGATAGCTACCCTCATAATTCCCATTTTACTGCTGTGGAAACTGAGGCACAGAGACATGAAAAGCTTGCAACCTCACCCCAGCAGAATCTGGATTAACATTCACTCTTCATTGCCAGGACATGCTTGTCTCCCCTTATGGTTTTAAGAGAATGACTTAAAGAATTCACCTTTGAACCAGCCTTGTGGGCTGTTAACAAAACTGCTAGCAGACCAAGACTTTTGGATAAGCCTGGCCTCCCCAGTCATTCTTCTTTAGGTTGCTTGGTCCTTACGCATCCATCTGCTGTCTTTGGAATCATGCGCTTGCATTTGGGAGCTCCTGGAACTCAGAGACTGCATCCTAGGACTTTGTGTCCTTTTGACACCCAGTTAATACTTAGCATACCATAGTGGCCAAAACTATTAGTTGAGGGTATGAAGACATCAACAACAGCTAAATCCTAATCCTAGCTTCATCCTTTTAAGTTCCCAAACTCTGGGCTAAGCCTGTGGCTAGCATAGTGCCTGGCATACAGTAGATGTCAATGCTGTGTGTCAGGAAGGCCCTAGCTGGCATAGGAGTTGGGATGTGAAGGTGCGAGGTACCTTGGCTTCCACCTTGAGGTCTTTAAAGGCCTAAGTTTTTCCTCATTTTCTCCATCCTCTTGTCCCTGCTTTGAACTCTTGAAGGGTCAACCTCTGCTTGTCTTTGTCTCTGTCCCTTAAATGGTTTCATTAGAAAAGCCTGGGATAGTGAGTGAGTGAGTGGCTATCTCACTCAGTAGAGGAGGTGCAAGGGTGGGTGGATTGTTGGGGGGACATTCTGATGGGAATGCTGAGGGGGAAAGAGGTTCTTACACTTTTCCAGTTCAGCAAGCATCATCAAATAACCAACCTTCTCAAAAACTCATTTCCCAAAACAGTGCTCTGGGGAGAGAAGCTCCGAAGGGCTGAAGGGGGGAGGTGGAACCTGGACTAAAATCAATCCCAGCTCAAGGTAATTACAGGACATGTGCTACCACCCCGGCAGGGCAAGTCAGAGGCTGAGCTGCTCTCCTAGGGCAGCCGTGGCGATTAGTTAGGAATAAAAGCCTCATCACTGGCTTGGGGAGAGAGGCTCACACATTAGTAAACTTGCGCTTTCTCATGCCTGCCAAATTTGGGAGGGGGGATTTATTGAAACAATCTCATCAGGGGCCCTGACTGCCAAGTTGAATGTTTGGGAAAGGAAATCTCAGCCAGGCTCTCAGAAATCCAGCTCCCAAGTTCCCAGGATCGCAAGATGCTAAGGTTCGCAGACTAAGAGATGACTAGGGAGATGATGCTAAGATTTCAGGCTGTACACTGGATTTTTTTTCTCTCTTTCTCTCTGCTTCTTTCAGTCCCTCTCTCCTCTCTGCATGCAAGTAATCTTTAGGGATCTATTTGTCACCAAGACTGCCTGCAAGGAGGGTCCACCCAAAGCTGGAGCCCCAGGAAAAAAGCTTTCTCTCTCTCTCGCTCTCTCTCGCACACGGCCCAGGCAAGCACTCCCTCCTTCTCGGCAGCTCAGCTCTCTTCAGGAATTCAGGACAAGTCTCAGCCACACTTTGGAAAGGACATTAAGATGTGGGACCAGCCAGACATCCACAGCAGCCGTGAGCTGCCCAGGGTGGGTAGACCTGGAGGCCAAGCCAGGGGGCCAGGCATGTCCTCAAGGAGACTGTGACCCCCTGAGGTGGCAGCCACCGCAGGCTGCCCTGTGTGTCTCTGCACCCTTGCCCTGGCCAGGGCATGGTCCCAGAGCCAACCCCTGATTCTCCTTAGCCAGCTGGGAGACCCTTTTCTTGCTAGGCATTCTTTCTCCATTCCAGTGCCCCCCGAGCAAGAGAGTGCTCAATGTCAGGGTCTCCAGCTTCATCTCGTGTCAGGCGGGGACACGCAGAGGGGCAGAGGTGCCCCAAGTGGGGTGGACGTGCAGGGGCCACGGGAGAAGGGAAGCCTCCACGAAGCCTTCTGTCCAGAACATGCAGTCAAGCCAAACACACACAAAGCCCTCTACGCCCCCACCCCATGAAAGCCGCCCCCTCCAGATGCGCGCACAAATGCACCTTCGAATCCATGCTCACATGCCCAGCCCATCGCCCGCCGTCACAGTCATCACACACACACACACACACACACACACGCTCGCGCGCGCACACACACACACACGGTCCCCAGCTAGGGCACAGCAACTTCCTTTCCCCCCGTGTGGAAATATCCATAGTTGCCCTTAAAGCTTAAACTTTTTCCGAGGGGGCGCCAGGGAACGCACGGGGGAGGACGGGGGATTCTGGGTAGGGTTGCCCGGCACTTGGGGTTCCTGGCTTCCCTCCCTCTCCCCCACGCCCCTCACCTGGTAAACCGAGGCACAGCAAGAGGCTGTAGTAGACCACGGGCACGAAACCCAAGCCGCAGGCCGAGCCGGGGGACCACCAAGACAGCGAGCTGTTGGCTGCGAGGTGGGCGTGCGTGTGCTCCATGAGCGCGCCCCTCGCTCCCCTTGCCGCTTCGCGCCCGGCCTGCCAGCCCGACTCTGGTCGCCGGCTCGGTGGTGGCGGCGGCGGAGGCAGCGGCAGCTGGAGCAGCAGCGCCTCTCTCCCCGCAGGACTGGCTCCTACCCTTGGCCGTGATCCCCTCTGCTCGCTCCGCACCTGCCCGCCTGGAGTCTTGGCTCAGCCCTCCCGCAGGGCGCGGGGCGCAGGGTGCGGGGCGCGCTGCGCGGGGCCTCGGGAGGGGCTCCCGGAGCCCGTCTGTGCGCCTCCCACCTCGGACCCGCTCCACTCCCGCCTCAAAGCCGGGGGGCTGGGACGCCGCTCCCCGCAGCCAATCAGCGGCTGCCTGGAAGCGGAGTGTGTGTGGGGTGGGAGGGATGCGGAAGAGGAGGGGGTCCCAGCCGCCTCGCTTGGCTCCACTTTCAGGGGAGAAGATGCAGTTAGACCTGGGAGCCCCGAAGGAAGACCGGAGTGGAAAACAGGCTATCCCCAATCTCCAACCCCGAGGGAGGGGCGTGGTGTGGGTAGGATCTGCCTCTCCCGCAGCGGCTCCTCACTCCTCCAGCGTGTCCTCAGTTTGCCTTTCTCCACTCTCCTCGCAGCCACCTCTCTTGCCCCTCTCCAATGCTTCCAGTCCATCTCCGGATAGAGGATTCTATACCTAGGGCAAAGAACGGGGGAAGGGGTGGGGCTGTTGGAGCAGCGAGGATGCTAAAGCGTTGTCGGTTTTCCTCGACAAGGGAAGCTGAGCTTGCTGGCTCTGGAAAGAGGGGTGCGTGCCTCCCTGTGCGTGTGTGTGGCGACTCTGGGGGTGGCCGCCGGTGAACTGTCCCCTAACTGGAGTGCGTTTGAAGAGGATACAGACTGGCTAAGAGAAGCCCCTCCTGCATGCCGCCCTTCAGTCAGGAATAAGGATGTTGCAGACACTCAAACACGCACTCGCCCACGCTCACACAAAGACACACAATACCCAGGCATGCGGTGTACTCACACGCTCACTCAGGCACGCGGATGCTCTCCCATCCCACACCCAGACCCTTGAAAACACGCAGGCATCCTCATCACCATGCACAAGACCACACTCACAGGGCGCTCCAAACATACGAAAACGCACGCGGGAGTCATGGGGGCTTGTCGAGAGTGCTTGAAGGTTGTGTGAAGGGTAGCATTTGTAAGGCAGGTGGGATCCAAGCAATGTGTGGGTGGGTGGTCCTTTCTCCTCAGGGCAGGCAGGTGGAGGGTTCCGGGTGTGGCCACCACAGACTTGAGGAGAAAGAGAGGAGAGAAAGAGAGAGAGAGAGAGAGAGAGGAGAGAGAGGAGAGAGAGAGAGAGAGAGAGAGGGACATAGTGTCTGTCTGGGGCTCAAGACAGTGAGTGTGAGAGAGTTAAAGATTCTGCAGGAACACCCAGGCCAGGCATCCCCAGGAGCAGACTGTAGCAGCTGCCTATGCAAAGAGCTGTGATGGGTCTGAGAAGCCTAAGACCCCCCGCCCTCAAACCCCCCACTCCCGCTGCTTCCCAACGCCCCTCACCCCTATATCACATCCATTCCTGGAGAGAAGGAACTGGCTAAGCTTTCCCCAGCCTCTTCCAGGTCTCCCAACGTGGAGCAGACCCCTGTCCCTCAAGACCAGCAAAGAGCATGTATCCAGTTCTTGTCTTTGTTAGAGGTTACCCCAGGCAGGGATGGGGGACACTCTAGGGCAGAGTGGAAATCTCCAAAGCATACAGAGTCAGGCAGTCTGCATAAGGGGGGCATCTACTGGATCTAGCTGGGTCTGTGGTAAGCAAGGAGGCACGTGGCCCCACAAAAGGGCAGATTAGAGTCACATGGACCCAGCCCAGTGAGGCCAGGTCTGAGATTTCAAGCCCCATTAGATACTGAAATTTTATTATGACCTCTCTCGATTAAATATGACTACTGCAAACACAAAGAAAACGAGAACACCGCTGCATTGATGAATAAAGCAGTGGCTGGCCATTGTAGAAGCTCAATAAATAATTGTTCAAAAACCTATAGATTGGATTGGTCTGCAGGCAGCTAGACTGAGATGAGAAGTTGGGGATAGCCAGGGGCGGGGGAAATGTATGTGATCTGACAAAGCCCTCCTAGTCTCTTCAAAGATGCCCTCTGCATTGGGAATGATGGATAAGGCTTCTGGGCTTTTGCACTGGCCATTCCCTTTGCCTGGAATGTTCTTCCTCTGCACAGCTACAGAAAGCTGTTTCCTCACCTTCTTAGGGTCTTTGCTTATCCGTCCTTTTCTCTTTGAAGCTTTCCCTTATAATCCTATTTACATTGAAATCTCTACTCCCCTCCCTATTGAAATCTCTATTCTTCTCCCACCTCAAAGTATTCACATCCTCTGTCCCTCGCTGCTTAATTTTTCTGCATAGTGTATAGCGCCATCAGCAGACCATACACGTTGTATTTATTTACTTTTCTTTCTCTTAGAAAGGCAGGGCCTTTTGTCTGTGTCGTTCCTGGTTGCGTCTCAGCTTCACACGGTGCCTGCATGCTGCAGACTCTCAACAGACATCGAAAGAATGAATGGACTCAGCACCCAGGGCCTGCAGGGAGATGAGTTTATCTTTGCTTGTCTTTGCAGGCCAGGGTCTCAGAATGCTGTTGGGGTTAGGGGGATTAAGCATATAATGATCATGTATGACAAGTCACTCCAAAAATGATTTGAGTGGTTTGAATTCACAGAACTACAAACTTGGCTAGGCAGAGGGACTGGACTGCATGGGAAATCTTGACGGACCTTATTGTGTCTGAATCTTTATTTCTCCGTGTAAAATGGGGATGAAAGAAATCAGGTATGCCTTTGTCCCAGGAATGCTGAGCTGGGAGAAAAAGAGGGGTGTGGTGCGTATGGTGCAGACTGCAGTTCTGGAGAATGGGGAATTGGATTGGGTCCTCTGCTGGCTCCATCAGGAACACTGGCAGTTTGTCAAGGTCCAAGTTTCCTGGAAAATGGATAGTTTGGATGAGAAGATTTTTTATTTTTTTGAAGAGATGGTCTCACTATGTTGCGTGGACTTGTCTCAAACTCCTGCCTCAGCCTCTCAAAGTGCTGGGATTATGGTGATGAGCCAATGCACCTGGCCTGGATGAGAAGATCTTTAAAGACTTAAGTCAAGCTTTGAGTGTTCCTGGGTCCCAGGGAATGGGCAGGATGAGTTAACAACAAAAGTCTGTTTAATTTTGCTTAAGGGGCTCATCCACTTGATTGGTTCTGTATGACAATGGCAGACTCAGTTCAACAACAGTGGTTGGCTGAATTCATTCATTTATTCATTCTTTCAACAGAATGTTACCGGACACGTAACATATGCTGGTCAGGACCAGCCACATAATTTGCAAGGCCCAGTGCAAAATAAAAATGCGAGGTCTCTTGTTCAAAAATTATTAAGAATTTCAAGACACCAAGAGTAGAGCATTAAACCAAGCATGGAGCCCTTTCAAGCATGGGACCTTGAGTGACTACATAGGTCACACATCCATGAGGCCAGTCCGGCTTAGGAGACACAGGTGAGTGATAAGAGTTAACATTTACTGAGGGTTTGTTAAGAGACAGCCACGACTTAACTCATTGCATCTTCATTATCACAATGGAAGGAAGGTATAATTATTAGCCCCATTTCACAGATGAGAAAACCAAGGCAGAGAGAAGTTTAGTAATTTGCCCAAGAACACCTGGTTGGAATTGAATCCAAGGCAGTTGGCTCCAGAGCCTGTGCTGAAACCATCAGGAGCTCAGACTAGTGGAAGGATAGGTAAGTGATAGGAAACGTCACACACTGTCACGTAGGCTCTTTGTAACATGAAGGCAGGATCTTCATCTGTCTTATCCTTCACTGTATCCTTAGTGCCAAGAGCAGTGCCAGGTAGGTGTCCAGAAGTAAAACTTAGATTAGTTAATAAATAAATATAATAGAAATATATACAGAATTTTAGAGGAGGAGTTTCACACTTGAATGCCTGTGAGCCTGGGCAGGTAATAAATATTCTTCACTGTCTTTTTCTTTTTCTTTTTTTTTTTGAGTCAGAATCTTGCTTTGTCGCCCAGGCTGTAGTGCAGTGGCATAATCTCGGCTCACTGCAAGCTCCGCCTCCCAGGTTCACGCCATTCTCCTGCCTCAGCCTCCCGAGTAGCTGGGACTACAGGCCTCTGCCACCATGCCCGGCTAATTTTTTTTTGTATTTTTAGTAGAGATGGGGTTTCACTGTGTTAGCCAGGATGGTCTTGATCTCCTGACCTCGTGACCCTCCTGCCTCAGCTTTTTTTTTTTTTTTTTTTTTTTTTTGAGACAGAGTCTTGCTCTTGTCACCCAGGCTGGAGTGCACTGCAACCTCTGCTTCCTGGGTTCAAGAGATTCTCCTGCCTCAGCTTCCCAAGTAGCTGGGATTATAGTCACCTGCCACCATGCCTGGCTAATTTTTGTATTTTTAGTAGAGATGGGGTTTCACCATATTGGTCAGGATGGTCTCAAACTCCTGATCTCAAGTGATCCACCTGCCTTGGCCTCCCAAAGTGCTGGGGTTACAGGCATGAGCCACTGTGCCCAGCCACATTCTTCACTTTCATAGGAAATATGCTATCTCCCATTTTTCCTGGAAACTCTTGGTCCTCTTGGTCTAGATTCTGTTTCTCCACCCTTTGATAGAGGTGGCGGTATGAAGGGATAATTCTTTAAGATAAACAACAACATAAACATAACTTAAATTGCAACTAACACTTTACTCAGAGTTTGGAAGGCAATAGGGAGTAGTGGGGACTGTAACAAACTAGATATGCGTACGCTAGTCACTGTATGGGATTCTGGGTATACAATTGTTTTTAAAAGTTGACGTGGTCTCTGCTTTCCTGGATCTTTAAGTCAAGTGCAAGATATAGGCATGAATCAATTCATACACACACACACACCCCCACGGATAATTTGCTCAAGGGGCTGATCCACTTGATTGGTTCTGTATGACAATGGCGCACTCAAGCCAACTGTGGTTGGGGCTTGGATATGGGCTGTAAAAAAAAGTGAAAGGAATGAGCCAGCATGCACCAAGGAGTCAAGGAAAATTCTATGTAGTCTGGTGGTCAGGGAAGGCTTCTCTGAGGAAGTGATATTTGAGCTGATATGTGAAGGATAAGTAAGGATTAAGAGATGAAGGATAAGTAGTGAAGGGATGTTGGTCTAGGGGTGAGGGGAGCATCCCAGGTGGAAGAAAGAGGCAGTGCAAAGGCCCTGGGGTGGGAGTGAGAAGAACTCTTTGAGGAGGTGGGAGACCAGGGACTGTGTGTGTGTGTGTGTGTGTGTGTTGGTGTGTGTGTGTGTGTAGGTGCAGTACAAGCAGATCCATGCAGTTAGGCAGTGAGTGGGGTCTTGTAGGCTACAGGGAGAAGTTAGGTCTTTATCCATGGTTTTAAGCAGGGGAGTGCTGTGATTATATTTGCATTTTCAAATACTTACTATGTCAGGGAGGTGGAGAATTGATGGAAAAGAGGCAAGAATAGAAGTGGGTAGACGAGTTTCGAGGTTGTCATGTTGGATATGTGAGAAATGATAGTGGCTTGGACTAGGGTGGTATTAATGATGGAGTGGGCTGCATTCCAGAAGTTAGGAGAGTGTGTGTGCAAAGAAAGAGGGAGAGGGAAAGGCAAAGTGAGAAAGGGAGTTAGGAGCGAAAGAGAGTAAAGAGTCAGCTAGAGAGAGAGGGAGAGACAGAGATGTGGAGAAAGACACAGAGAGACGGAGATAGATGAATAGACAGACAGATTGATAGGAAGTGAAAGGCAAATGCACAGTGATTATGATTAAGGTTGTTCTAGATGGAAGGGCAGATGAAATGGGGCTTGTAGCACCCTGGGTCCACTTGGCTGAATCCTCTGTCCTCCCACTTCCTACAGACTGTAGCTTGCCCTCTGGTTTCTCCCTGCTTTTCAGGACTCCTTTAAAGGATAACTTTGACCTCAAAATCTTTCCTGACCTGCACATCCCTGTTTACCTCCCACATGGACAGTCTTTCTCCTGAAACATCTCTTACCACATTGTGTTGGCACTCAAAGGTTATCTGTTATCTGCCCTTCCTGCATTAAGATCACCTCCTGGCGAGGGAAGTGTCCTTCATCCTGGAATGTTCAATGCAGAACCTAATTGCAGTGCAAGCAGTGTAACTGTCAACTGTTGAGGCTTACATCCAGACCTGGGTTTGAATCCCAGCTCAGCTCCCTTAGTAACTGTGTGTTCCCCAGGACTCTTTTTATTGAAATTGATGAAGAAAAACTTAAACTAGTTTAATTTTTAAAAAGGAATGTATCGGCTCTTAAAACTGAAAAGTATAGACGTTTGCCTGACTGCAGGCCTGGCTGATCAGGTGCAAATGCATACCTGGCTTTTTCCATCAATGGCTTCTGCTTTGCCTTGATTAGCTGCATTCTTAAGCAGGTTTTTACAATATAATAAAAAGATGGACACCATCATCCCTAGATTTATCCTATCAGATTAATAACCAGAGCTAAAAGAGAACTGGAACAAAAGCCCTGGGAAAGACCCCTGATGAACCAACCTGGGTGAGGGGCTCATCTCAATTAAACTCACAAGTTTGAGTTAGATTTCTATAGCCAACAACAAAAAAATACATATATATATACTGATTGCAACGTATGTCTCATGTGTCCAGTGACAAAGCCAAGAGAACGGGTAAGTTCTTTCCAAACCACACTGACTATGAGAGGAGGTGGACCATTTATTCAAAGAAAAGTTGGGATTCCATAACGGGAGGAATGGAAGTAAATGATGGCTAGGCTGCATGTTTGTGAGCTGAATTCAGCCCAAGGGATACCAGTTTGCTGGTCCTGTTAGATTTACGCTGGATGTTTTATTCTAAAAAATTAAATAGATTTTGGTTTTTAAAGATGTTTTAGATTTACAGCAACATTGAATTGAAGGTACAGAGATTTTCCAAATGCCCTCCATCCCCACACAGGCATAGCCTCCCCTATTATCAACATCCTGCCCAAGAGCAGTCCATTTGTTACAACTGGTGAGCCTATGTGAACACATCACTATCACCTAAAGTCCACGGTTTATGTTAGCATTAGAGTTTTCGGTGTTGTACATTCTATGGGTTTGGACAAATGTATAATAACATGTACCCACCATTATAGTATCATCCAGAGTAGTTTCACTGTCCTAAAAATCCTCCTTGCGTTACCTGTAGATCCCTTGCTCTGTCCCCCAACCCATGTGTTTTATTTCTGGGGGTCAAAAATATCTTCTGTGTGAACTGTAAACAAATAAAACTCTAGTTCATGCTGAAGTTTTGGGTTGAAGGGTACTAATGCCTGCCACTTTAAAATGTAACAAAAAATAGGCCAGGAGCGGTGGCTCACGCCTGTAATTCCAGCACTTTGGGAAGCTGAGGCAGGTGGATCATGAGGTCAGGAGTTCAAGACCAGCCTGGCCAACATGGTGAAACCCCGTCTCTACAAAAAATACAAAAATTAGCTGGGCATGGTGGTGTGTGCCTGTAATCCCAGCTACTCAGGAGGCTGTGGCAGGAGAATTGCTTGAACTGGGACCCAGGAGGCGGAGGTTGCAGTGAGCCAAGATTATGCCACTGCACTCAAGCCTGGGCTACAGAGCGAGACTCTGTCTCAAAAAAAAAAATAAAATTAAAAAATTAAAAAATTAAAAGGATTGATGGATAGCTAGAAGAATGGATAGAGGGGTAGATATACCTTAAAGCAAGGAGATGTTAGTGGTAGAATCTAGGTCATGGGTAGATGGGTTTTCAGTGGAAACATTTTTCAACTTTTATGTCTGCTTGAAAATTATCATAATAAAATGTAGGAAAACGTGTCTTGTGCAGTGTGTCTTGGCCAAATATGTTATTACAAGCAATTGTTGAAACTAACATCTCTTGGTGGTGTTGCAATTCTTTGGAAGCTCAGCCTTTGGAGTTGGTGCGGAAGACAATTGCTTCCCTGCGATTAGGCTGTCAAAATGGCTCCTGATATTTTCCTCTGATGCTCCCAGCTCTCCACTGACCTTGGTCTGCTCTGCTAGAGCTTTTACCAGTTTGTCTTTGACGGCGGGCTCTTGTTTGCTTTCCAATAAGAACTATAGCATCGTGTTTTTCTGCTGTTTGTTTTACTCCACACGTGTGGCTTCTTGTTGAGGATGTCTTGGTGAACAGCTGAGGATCTCTTGTAGCAATCACTCACAACAGTTCTTTGAGGTGCACGACAATTCTTACCGAGTTTGGATAGAGCCTTTTGTTGCTTGTCACTGACTTTTCAAGGTGGTCAGGGGCAGCTGCAGACAGGATGGGAATATTTCCACAATTGCTTGCCTGCCTGCCTCCTAAAGCCCAGCGAGGGGGAAAAGACAAAGAATCCAAGCTGCACCTGGGTAAATTTCATCAGGATATGAAGAATGATCGTAGACGAAGTGAAGGAAATAGGGTCCTGAGAGGAAGAGGAAGGCAAGGGTTAGGAGTATGTGTGTGTGTGTGTGTGCGTGTGTATGTTCATGTGCATGTATGTGTATGTGTATTATGAATATGTGTGCACACTTGTGCATGTATGTGTGTGCATGTGTGTGTATGCATGGTACAATAAAAGAGGAGTGTGATGACCAGGATGTTGATGTATCAGGAAAAGTCTTTTCTTTCTGGTTCAGAGAGACGTGAGAGGCCTCTGTGTATCCCTTAAGACTCAGTTTGCTCCGTAAAGTAACAGGAGTTGGTTGGAGAAGAAAGAAAAAAGGGGAAGGTAAGAAGGGGAGAAGAGAGGAGGGAAAAGAGAGGAAAGAAAGGAGGAGAGAAGGGAGAATAAGAAAGGAGAAGGGGAGAAGAGGGACTAGAAGAGGAAGAAGAAGAGGAAAGAAAAGACACAGCAATATGTGTCACCAAATTACCTGCTTCCCGTTGGATGGGGAAACAGTAATGATGAAGAGAAAAACAAACAAAAACCTTGTCTGAGGGTGACACATTGTGATTATTTAGCATTTAACTAGTCTCTGGGCAGTAGTTATTTTGCATGTAGGGGTTGCCCAGAATCTTCTTCCCCTTCCTAACAGATCATGGTTTCCCTTTACAGAGGAATTCTTCCCCACTGGGTGTGGTTTTGGATAAAGAGTATATTCAGGTGCCTGTCACCCCATTACAGAAGCCAAAGGGGAGAGATCCCTTGGCCCAGGGCAGTCAGAGGTGGATGGGCAGGTGTCCTGAGCTTGGTCAATTACAGGCTATCTCTTTTTTTTTTTTTTTTTTTTTTTGAGATGGAGTTTCACTCTTGTTGCCCAAGCTGGAGTGCAATGGTACAATCTCAGCTCACCACAACCTCCGCCTCCTGGGTTCAAGCGATTCTCCTGCCTCCACCTCCTCCCAAGTATCTGGGATTACAGGCATGTGCCACCACGCCTGGCTAATTTTGTATTTTTAGTAGAGACAGGGTTTCTCCATGTTGCTCAGGCTGGTCTTGAACTCCTGACTTCAGGTGATCCGCCCACATCAGCCTCCCAAAGTGCTGGAATTACAGGTGTGAGCCACCGCTCCTGGCACAGGCTGTCATGTTGAACTTAGAACCTTGAGTGAGGGACAAGGGCAGCAGAAGAGTTTGGATTTCCTTCATCTTGGTGGGGATGGCCGCACAGGACTCATCTGCTCCGGGGCTATTGCTGTGGTTCTTGCTTCCTGAGCATTTCCAAATCCATGGCTTCCTCTTCCTCTGTGAGCTCCATGTCCTCACTCCACATTCACTGCAGCGCTATGCACAATAGCCAAGACCCAGAAACAACCTAAATGTCCAGCAGTGGAAGAATGGATAAAGAAAATGTGGTATAGACACACAGTGGAAAATTATTCAGCTTTAAAGAAGAAAGAAATCCTGCCATGTGCAACAGTGTGGGTGAATCTGGAGGACATCACGCTACATGAAACATAAAGACAGTCACATAAAGATGAATATTGCGTGATTCCACTTATATGAGGTATCTAACATATCCAAACTCATAGAAGCTGAGAGTGGAATAGTGGTTGCCATGGGTTAGTGGGAGAAGGAAATGATTGGGTAGTTGCTAGTCAACAGACATACAATTTCAGTTATGCAAGATAAATAAGTTCTAGGAATATGTTGTACAACATTGTACCCAAAGTCAATAATACTGAATTGTACACTAAAAAATTTGTTTAAAGGATATATCTGAAGTTAAATGTCCTTACTACAATTTTTAAAAATCCATAAAATGAAAACAGAAAAGGACTGTCCAGAGAAGGGTCTGTAGAGATTTGAAGGGTACTTAAAAAAAAATCCATTTGTTTACATCAGTCAGGTCAGAGAAGGTTTCTGTTGCTAGCAACCCAAGGACATGCATTGATCAGCCAGTGATCCTTGTTCCATAGTAATACGTCACAACTGATAGAACTTTACTCTGAACAAAGTATAGCCATGTACACCATTTAATTTTAATCCTCATTGTTGCCGATGTGAAGTGGTCAGGGCTGGCATCATAAGCTTGTTTTATAGATGAGAAATTTACCGCACAGAAAAAGCCAGCCATGTGTCCATTATTCCCTAGTGTTTAAGAAATAGGGACTCACAGAGATTCCATTCAATCCCCCCATTTTACAGGTGAGAGAATTGAGTCCAAAAAAGTGAAGTGAAAAGTCTAAGGTCATACACAGTGTCAAACTGGAATGCAAATGCAGCTTTTTATAACTCAAAGTCTAATGCCAACCATTACATACATGAGAATTGGCCCCAAAAGAGATAATAACAGTAACCTATAGTTGACATCAGAGCCATGTTTGAATAAATAGTTATCAGATGTCATTTCCCCCTTAATTTGTACAGCATCAGAGGCCAAGAATTCTCACATTCTGTGTATTACACCTTAGAGCATTCCAGGCACTAAAGTTGTCAAGCTAGAAAAAGAGAGAAGGTTTGAATATTCTCTCCAACTAGATAATCATAAGAACATTCCCCTCATCCCTGAGCATTTTTTTTTCCAACCACTGTACTCCAACTGCCCAAAAGTTCAATTTTCTTTAAGAGCCTCAGAAATAGTCCTAAGAGGGCGGCATGAGGAATTAAGACCAATGAGAGTGAAGGTACTTACCAGAATCCTCCCTGCGGGGATAAAACACTGAAATGTACAGAAAGCATGACTCATCAATGTACAGATAAGGCTGGTTCCGCCAAGCAGCAACGATGACAAAAGCAGAATAGCCAGGAAGGCCAGCAGGTAGGCAATCCAGTGGCTGGGCCAGACTAAGTGAGGCAGAGCAATGAGCTGTCCTACTCAGGAAAGTTCCAGAATGTCCCTAATACCTGAGCACTGAAGGCTTCATTCTCTTTAACAGCCCTGTGTTCCTGGGGACTGTGTATCACTGATCTAAGAGACCAGTTTACAATGCAATGTGGGGTTATAGTACCACTCTGCCTCTCTCTGAAACCAACATTGTCAGGGGAGAAGCTATACGAGACTTACAAAGAGGCTTTAGGGCTTTGCTCAACGTTTGCAGGTGAAGGTTAACCATACACATGGCAGCAAATTCCTAAAGCCAGCAGGTCATTGGAGCCTTCTTAAGTGAGGCACATAAAGATTTTTAAAGTTGGATATTTTCAAATCTGGAAACAAACATTATGATTTGTCGGCATAAGATTCCAAACTCTAGAGCCTTGGGTTAAGAGGCCCGCGTGACCTTGACCAAGTCGCTTCTTGTCTCTGTGTCAGTGTTTCCTACCCGTAAACTAGAGATAAAAATGGCATTTACCTCTTAGGGTTGCTATTAGAGTAAAAAAAATAACGGTTCCTGAAGTTTAGCCATTTTGGTACCACGTGCATGATTTTTGTCACTTGTACTATTATTTACGGGATGTCTCTGTTTAAACTGCTTCATGTAAAAATCCCTCTATTTAAAAAAATTGTATATTTAACATTTGTTTAAAAATTAAAATTTACCATATATATGCAAACTAGCATCTCTTGCTGTATAAAGAAGGAAACCATTTTAAAAATCATGGGAGAGGTCGGGCGCAGTGGCTCATGCCTGTAATCCCAGCACTTTGGGAGTCTGAGGCCGGCAGATCACCTGAGGTTGGGAGTTGGAGACTAGCCTGAGCAACATGGAGAAACTCTGTCTCTACTAAAAATACAAAATTAGCCAGGCATGGTGGCGCATGCCTGTAATCCCAGTTACTCGGGAGGCTGAGGCAGGACAAGCGCTTGAACCTGCAAGGTGGAGGTTGCGGTGAGCCAAGATCGTGCCATTGCACTCCAATCTGGGCAACAAGAGTGAAACCCTGTACGAAAAAAAAGTGTAGGGGGAAAAAGCCAATGCCATTAAAATTCTAGCTAGCGCTGTTGCCTGCCAAGGCTCTGAGAGTGGGGCAGGTTCATTCTTTGCTGAAAGGAGGAATTAGACACCGTTAGAGAGGCGTTAAAGACGTGCTAGCACCCCCCTGAGACTTTCTCTTAATGTTTTTAGAATGACGGGAAAGAGATGACCTCTTTCACCAACTGCTTCAATATTATTTCATATAGGGTCTGAGAACCCTAAAAACAATCTCCTCTATGGTCCCTACTGACTATCTGGAGAGACATTGCATTATTGTATTACACAGAACTTGGCCCATTGAACACAATCAACATGTACTTTTTTCTTCCTTTTCTCTTTTTTCCTCCTTCTTGAGGGACCGCTGGAGGTTTAAATCTGGTAGCAACATCTCCATTGGGGACTACATTTGTTTTTAATCAACTGCCAGGGCTGATTTGGTTTGTGGACGGTGTATGGGAAATTTGTTCTCAGTTTAAAATGCAGGTCAACACCCATCTGTTATATTGTGTTTTCTGGTCTAAATGTGGCTTTAGAGGTCAAAATGTGTTGGAGCAGAAATGAGAAAGAAGTAACATTTTTGAGGACTTCCTACATTTTCTATTCTTTCCACATATTGTATAATTTATTTCTCACAACTCTTCGTTAATAGAAAGCATTGCCCTCATCTTAGAGGTAATAGCTATCAATTATGGAGAGCTTGTTTTGTGATACACACTCTGGTAAGAACTGTCCTGTTGAAAAACATCCACCAATGCCTTCCCTTCTGAAGTAGAGGAAAATAAAAAATACCAACAAGGGTGACAAGGCCTCCCAGGATTTAGTCCCAGATTGGCTCCAGGACTGTCCCTCCCTTTGTTCAGTATGTCCAGACACACTGGCCTTTTATTTGCTCCATGCACGCAATAAACTCTGTGTTTTTTTTCCTCAGGGCCTTTGCACTTGCTATTTTCCCTACTCAACCATCATGCTGGTCTGTGCTCAAACCTCACCATCTGCCTCCAAAGCAGCTCTAGTTTGATCACTGCTTGACATTATTTTGTGATTTTAATAATTGTTTATCCTCTATTTCTTCCTACTTTAATGTGAGGTCCATGACAACAGGGACCTTGTCTGTCTTGTCACCATCAGAGCATGCCTGGCTTATAGAAGGTTCTTAGTAATGTTCATTGAATGTATGACCTATATCATTTCATTTCCACCATCCTAACAGGTAGGTAAAACTGCCTTCTCCATGTTACAGATGAGGGGGCAGAGCCTCAGAGAGCTTATAAGTAGCTTACCTTAGGTTACACAGCTAATAAATGGCAGACCCAAGATTTAAACCTGGGTAGTCTGACTCCAGAACCATTATACTGAGGTCCCAATATTGAAGTTGTATGCTTAAGGTCACCTAGATACTAAGCATTCTAGGCCAGCCCTGTCTGATCCCAAATTTCCTACTGTAGCCACTAGATCATGTTGTTTCCTGGAATAAGAGAATCTGCGATTTCAGAGCATTGATTGCTCAAATGCTTGAGGTCAGTTCGTGCCCATGTTGGTTGATGAGGAGGTGACTGAACTGCAACCACTAGTCATACCTCATAGATTTTTGGTGACAAGTGTGCATAAGACAAGCCCTACTAGTTATCATTAATGAAACTACCTAGGTTTGCAATCCCATAGTTAGCCTCTGAGGGTTTGTCCCCAGAACCTAGCTGCATTTTTGTCTGTTGAGTTTCACCCACCTTGCAATCCCACCTTCTCTTGTTACCTACTGCCAACTCTAGACCATGCTGTAGCATCAATCTACCAATGTTAGTTTTTTTCTTCCACTCTATTACATATCTACAAACTGGAATTAATAATAGTATCTACTTTATGGGTTTGTTGTAGGAATAAGTTGTCAAATAAATTTCACCTTGGCTGACATGTTCCTCATGTTTCTTGGCAAAGCACAAAGAGTTCTTTATAATTTGTCCTTAATGCATTCTTCCATATCTCTGTCCCAGCCCCTGACCCAAATGGCCTAATTCTTTGCCAACTCTTTGAAACTCAAAGAAACATAGTTAGCTTTGAATCTCAGAACCCTTGCTTACTAACTGCAAGGAGTTTGGCAAGTAGTTTAACCTCTTTACACCTTAGTTTCCTCATTCATAAAAAATGGCAGCGATATTTCCTAACTTTGCAAAATTATGAGTATTACATTAAATCATGCACACAATATGTATTGGTTGAATGATCTCATTTCTTCTCAATAAGATGGGTGGATGCAGTTATCATGTCTATTTTAAAGATAAGGAAATGCCAGAAATTAAATCAGTTGAGCTCATGGGCATAGAGAGTAGAAGGATGGTTACTAGAGGCTGGAAGGGTAGTGGGGGGTTGTTGGGGAGGTGGAATGGTTAATAGGTACAAAAACTTAGAAAGAATGAATAAGACCTACTATTTGATAGCACAATAAGGTGACTATAATCAATAATAACTTAACTATATATTTTAAACTAGTTTAAAAAATATAATGGGAGGCCAGCTGCAGTGGCTCACGCCTGTAATCCCAGTATTTTGGGAGGCTGAGGTGGGCAGATCACCTGAGGTCAGGAGTTCGAGACTAGCCTGGACAACTGGTGAAACCTCATACCTACGAAAAAATACAAAAATTAGCTGGGCGTGGTGGTGCACGCCTGTAATCCCAGTTACTTGGGAGGCTGAGGCAGGAGAATCACTTGAATTCAGGAGGTTGCAGTGAGCCGAGATCATGCTACTGCATTCCAAGCTGGGCAACAGAGGGAGACTCAGTCTAAAAAAAACCAAATATATATATATATATAAAATTGGATCATTTAAAACTCAAACAATAAATGCTTGAGGAGAGGGATACCCCATTCTTTATGATGTAATTATTTCACATTGCATGCCTGTATCAAATCATCTCATGTATCCCATAAATATATAAGCCTATGTACCCCCCAAAATGTTTTAAAAAAATTAAAAGATGAGGAAATGGAGGTTCAAAGAGAATACCTTTAAGTACTTGCTTGAGGTTGCATGGACAATGGTAAAACTGGATTTGAGCATAGACAGTCTGACTCAAGAGGCTGCACTCTGAGCCATTTCATTGATGTACCAAGAAGTTAAATATCATCAAGCTACAAATAGCTTTCTTTCTTCTACTCTATCATTCATCTGTAAAATGGAATTAATAATAGTATCTACCATGTGGGTTTATTGTAGGGATAAAATATGAAGTGAAATATCAAATTTAAAGAGCTTAGTATGTTATTTGGAATGTAGTAATTATGCAATGAGTCCTATTAGTAGTTGTAATGGCATTACCATGCTTGACTGAATCAGGATGCATTTGACTGCAAGTAACAGAAAATCTGATTCAAATGGATGAAACAAAAAGGAAATTTATTTTTCACGTGACAAGAAGTCCTGAGGTTGAGCTGCTTAGGGTGTTAAGTCAGTGATTGAGTGTCAAGGGCCCAGATTTTTCTTTTTCTGTCTTCTGCTCTGTTATCTTTGATGTTTCAGTTTTCCTTTCTATCTTGTTCTTCTCATGGTTGCAAGATTGTGGCAGCTACTTCGTGCATATTGCACAGAAAAAAGGCCATTTCTTCTCTTGTTCATCTTTATTTATTTTTTTTCACTGAGGAGAAATTTTCCCCAAAGTTCCCCTATTCCCTAAGACTTCTTAGATTTTTATGGCCAGAGTTATGTCACCATCCCACACCTCAACCAGTTGCTAGAATTGCACAAGAATGAGTGGCAGAGTTTCACAACCACAAAACCAATAGTCCAACTCTACTCTCAATCTGAGTGATGGTGGGCAAGTGACTCTCTAAGTCTCAGATTTTTTCGTCTGTGAACTGGAGATACCATTGACTAATTCTCAATATTATAGTGAGATTAAGTAAGATGATGGCAAGTACCAGACATCTTAGTAGGTAGTCAGTCTTCATCCTCTTTGACACTCTCAGTCATCACAGAATGGTTAAATGGTACTGAATATTCAAACGTTGAATTTAAAGACCTGCCTCATCATTTACTCCCTGTGAGTCTGTGATTACATTGCTTAATTTTCATTTTTTCTTAGAATTTAAGTGATAGCAGGAATTACTATAATATATACTTGTTGCCTTTTATTGTGTGCTTCCTAAGTGATAGGTGTCATAATAGTTACTTTACATGCATTCTGCAATGTAATTCTTATGAAAACTTATATTACTTAAGCATTGACTCTATTTTACAGGTAAAGGGTTAAGTAACTTGACAAGATCAAATAACTAGTAAGTGGTGAAGCCAAGAATTGAAGCATGATTTATCTGTATTAAAAGCCCCACACTTTTAATGCCTATATTTCCTATTATGGATCTCAGTTTCTTCATCTGTAAGTGGGCATAACAAGATCTTTCCTTGCCCACTTCACAAGGTTTGGAAGACAATCAGATAATATTGAGTCTGTGAAATCCCAGAAAAATAACTGCATAACTAGAGATCACTCTTGTTAGTGTGGATAACAACTGGTGCTTTACCAAGGAAACACAGTCCAGCACCCTCAGGTTATAGCTGCTGATGCTGAATTACCACCATCCACCTCCTCTCTTAAGGAGTCTGGATTCTTAGTCTCTCCTTCTCTTTCCACACTCTGAGGTATCCATATATCTCATTCTGTTTCATATGCCCTGGGGCTCTAGCTCTTCTTCCAAGGTGAAAATGATATAATATGGTAAATTAATCAGTGCCAAGGGGCTAATGGGAGGATGATATAGGAGGTGCTGGAGGCACTATTAATATGGTCTCTACCCCTCTCTCCCTCCCTCTTCTCCCTCCCTCTATTCCTCTATGTTTTTCTGCTTATTCCTGGCACTCCTCAAGATGTCTACTTTGGTAATAGTTTCTGGATAAATGCCTTCTGTTCTCCCATCTCATCTTCCTCCACTGCAGTGGCTCTCAATCACAATCAATTTTGCTCCCCAGGTGACAATATCTGGAGATATTTTTGATCATTACAGCTGGGAGATGGAGCACTGCTACTGGCATCTAGTGGATAGAGACTGGGGTGCTGCTCAACACCCTACAATGCACAGGACACACCCCTATGACAAAGAATTATCTGATCCATAATGTCAGTAGTGCTAAAGCTGAGAAATCCTATTATCAAATTCCTTAAGGATTCTGTGTTATAAAGATTAAGTCATTGGAAGGAGATCAGTCAAGCCTTATTTTGGTTTTAGGTTTTAAAAGCAAATTCATGGGCATAAAGCATTGTTTTCCCAGGATCCAAAACTCTCTTTTGCGAATAGATTCCACCCCTGATCATAGGAATGAATATATATTATCTCACTAATACACCTGGTTTCAGAAATTGGTCAAAGGAGAAGAAAAGACCCACATGTGACCAATCAGAGTTCTTCCAGGGGATTTTTTTCAAGTGGGAGGTAGAGGAGAAAATTCTTTTTCTGTTCTGCACCCAGGGCTGTTCAAATGGAAACTGAGGGATACATGTAGCAGAAAAAGCCTAGATAGGAGATCATAAAATTGATGTTCAGAAAGAGACAGCACGGATGAGATAGAGATGTTGTCTTAGTTTGTTTTGTGTTGCTATAACAGAATACCACAGAGTGGGTAATTTATAAAGAAAAGAAATTTAATTCTCACAGTTCTAGAGGCTGAGAAGTTCAATATCAATGTGCTAGCATCTGGTGAGGGCCTTCTTGCTGTGTCATCCTGTGGGAGAAGGTGAGAGGGTGGAAGAGCATGTGAGAGAGCGAGAAAGCAACAAGGAGCTGAACTCACTTTTGTAACAAGCCCACTGTCATAATAACTAAACTACTACCACAATAACAAACCCACTCCCATGATAACAACATTAATCCATTCATGAGGGAAGAGCTCTCATTACCTAATCACCTCCTAATACGCTTTGCATTAGGGATTAAGTTTTCAACACATAAACTTTGGGGACACATTCAAACCACAGTAGATGTAGACAAACTGATGGCATTGGAGACCCTGGTTGTAGCCATTTCTTAGCACCAGCTCTGATCCTTTTTATATCTATTCTCTTTCTCCACTTATTTTGGGACTCCAGTAACATGAATGTTAGATCTTCTGTTCTAGTTCCCCTGAGGATTTGTTCACTTTTCTTTTTTTCAGTCTCCTTTCCCTGTGTTGTTCAGATTGGGTAATTTCTATTGTCCTATCTTCCAGTTCACTGATTGTTTCTTCTCTCCCATTCATTCTGCTGCTGAGCCTCTTGGCTGAGTTTTTAAAATGTTGGTTATTGTATTTTTAAGTTTTACAATTTTCATTTGGTTCTTCTTCCTGTCTCCTGTTTGTTTGCTGACACTTTCGGTTTATTTACTAAGGTTCTCTATTTTTTCATTTGTTTCAAGTGTGTTCGTATTTGCTCATTGAAGCATTTTTTTTACGATGGCTAATTTAAATTCCTTGGGAGATTGTTCCACTATCTCTGGCATCTTGATGTTGGCAGCTATTGATTGTCTTTTAAAAAAATTCAGTTTGAAATATTCCTGGCTGTTGGTATAAGGAGTGATTTTCTACTGAAGCCTAGACATTTTTGTATGTTAGGAGACTCTGGATCTCATGTAAGCCTTCTATTTTAGCTGGGATTCTCTAACACTGCGCTGGCATGGGAAAGCATGGTGGTGTCACCTGTTACTGTCAGATGGAGGTAGAAGTTGTATGTATATTTGCTTTACATGTAGTATGCAGGACTTTTAGTTGGACTTAGCAAAAGGTAAAAGTATATCTACTTAACTTTCTTGAAAATCAATTTCTTTTATTTATAAACATCTACTAAGGGGTATAATGTAATTCAAAGTGCATACATATTGCAGTCAGATCCAGCCAAGTCAGAATCCTGAATCTTCTACTAATAGAATGTTCTGAGAAGCAAAGACAATATACAGCACTTCTTGAAGTACTTTCCATACATTCTCACTTAACTTTCACATCAAATTGGTGAGTTGGTCTTATCAACATAGTTTTACAGATAGGAAAACAGACTTGGTGAGGCAAAGTAATTTTTTCACGAATATTTTGTTCTGAACTTTCCACCACATCGTGGATGAGATACAGATAAGGAGAAACCTGAAGAAGACTATGAGTGGCAGCTTAGTGAAAAGTAGCATGGAAAATTGAAGACTGGGCAGCATGGTAGGCTGGAAGCAAATTTGGGATAGGCACCACAAGACCTTGAATCTAGTCCCAACTTGGTCACCGGGTTAGTTGAGTACTCTTGGACAAGTCACTTATTCCATCTGGATCTTGCCTTCTGGCAAATGAAGAAGCATAGGGTTACATGGTATCTAAGACACTTTTCATTGTTATAATTTTATGATAAATCTGAGAGACATGAAGTGCCAAGGACATTCTAGACACTATATAGGAGAATGAAGATCTATTAAACTCAGAAAGAGACACAGAACATTAGCACATATAAACTCAGAAAGAGACACAGAACATTAGCACATAACTACAATGCTGAAAAATACTTTAGCAAAGACCTTGGTCAAGGGGAGAAAAAGGGTTATTATCCATGAAGACATTTTAAATGCCTCAAGGTCATCAAGTAATTCAGGCTGACTCTTCTCTTGGAGGAGATGCTTTTTTTTTTTTTTTTTTTTTTTTTTTTTTTGGTGAAAAGGAGCTGGAAACTACCTCTTTCTTGAGATTTGCCTTCATGCCCCAGGCTGACTTCAGCCACCTCCCACCGCTTTGTCCCTTATCAGATGTCTTACTTTATTACAGTGTTCCTCCCAAATACATTCTGAGTTCCTCTAGGGCAGGAACTGGTTTTATAATGGCAATGCCAACTAAGGGAGTTTAAACACTCACTAAGGGCTTTATCTTATCTTCACTTCACAACCCTATGAGTTATGCGCTACACTCTCCTCATTTTATATAGAAAGAAAGAGGCTTAGAAAAGCACAGGAATGTGTCCATCGTCTAAGTGGCAGAGCCTAGATGTTAACTTTGTTCTCTATGCCTACTGACCCTTATTCTTGACCCCTGTCTTATGTTGTATCCTGAGTCTTATTCATATTTTAACCCTAAAACCCACTAGTGTTGGGAAGAAAGTAGTTGGTCAATAAATGTTTGTTGAATGCATGTATACGAAGAAGGATTGAGAGAGGAAGGAAAGATTAGTAAAAGGGTAGATAAAAGAAAGAGTGCCAGGTGGCTAGATTGATTGATTGATAGATTAAAAAGAATGGGTGGATAGACAGATGCATGGATGGAACACCCTGAAATACACAGTAGGGGCATAAGATATGTGAGGGAGCCCAAGTCACACTTAGTAGAGAACTAATAGTCTCCAGTGTGTCCCTTTTTTCCTTCCCCCAACCACTTATGCAGCTAGAGAGCAGCAGAGCATTGGAGCCTGTTCTGCCTGACTCAGCAGCTCACACTCAGCCCCTCTGGTAGAATTCTGGAGAGTATCCCCCGCATCCAAGAGGCCTTCTCTAAAAGTGGAGCTTCCTTGAAAAAATCTTGGAGCAATGGGATTCTTGTAGTCAGATTGGGGAGGGTCGTGTTTTGGGATACGTGGAGAAAAGGATTCAGTCAGCTTGGGATGGATACAGAGACTGGGTCTCGTTCTCGGGGGAGGAAGCTGGCAAGTGTTAAGTAACTCAGAGATGACAAACTGACTATTTGAGAGTGAATAGCTAGGTAACCTTAGGCAAGTTAGTTTATCTAATTGAGCCTCTGTTTCAAAATGAGGGTATTATTGCAACCAGCTTACAAAGGTATTTCAAGAATTAAATGAAATAGTATATGTATAAAAGAGCCTGATATGAATTCTCAACACGTAGTGCTGGTATTGTTATTATTCCTAGTGAAAGGTCCTTGGATTTGGAACAGAAATTAAATGGCCTATCCACAGCCACAGAACTAGATAGTAACTCAAACACTGGTTGAGTCTTAAGTCAGGTAATTACTAGCTTGTCATGTGGTTGTGGATAGGCCATTTAACTTCTCATTCTTCTTTCTCCCTTTTTTTTTCATTCATCACATAGGTACTGTTCTAAGTGTGAGGCTCTCTGCTAGCTGGGGAGAGTGTTATGAATATGCCTTGGCCTTTGCCAGGAGGAGTTCACAATCCAGTAGAGGAGACAGACATAACAGATGCAACATACTGAGTGAAAAAAAGCTAATGAGTGTAATAGCAAACCAGTTAGCACCTTGGAGTCGGACAGAGAGGAGTTCACTTCCTGGCTCCATCTCTTACTACCTTACTGGCCTAAGCAAATCATTTAACTTTTAGGTCTCAGAGTCTGTCTTCCTTAGTAAATTGGGGACCAAGATAATAGAACATGCCTCACAGGGCTGTTTCTAACTCTTCCTGAAACAAATACACATCAAGTCCTAAGCATTGTGCCTGGCACGTGTAAAGCACAGTTCTAGAGCTTTTTGGATCTTATGGTATAATGAGGACATTAATCCCCATCCTGCCTGCATATGTCCCATGGATGTTTAAGAATGAAGTAATACAAGTGAATGGGACTTTTAAGATGTGATATAAAATACCAGTTTTACCATTCTACATTTCTGTACAAGAAGACATGGCACAGAAATTGCTCAGCATTCACTGTTACGCCTAAGCTGGTCATGTAATAAATATTTGATGATGTACAATTATGAAAAGATAGATTCTGTCCTATTCTTCCTCTTGTCTAGTGGAGCTCTGTTTCCAGAGAATTCCGCAGCCAAGAGAGAAGAGAGCAGAAGCAGGGATTGGGAGAGCAGCTTCCAGCAGATGAGATTAGAATGGAAATAGCAGGTGACTGCATGTAATTTATTTTCTAGACAGCTGCTTCAACTTCATGCTTGTCTCCTTATGCCAATTCCACCAGTCACTGTTTGCTGTCCTAAGCACAGGTGTGGGGAATGAGAGTGAAGGCGAGAAGGGAAGTCTGAAGCCATGTGGGGAGGATCTTCAGAGGATGAAGCTCTCCTGCAAAGGCTAGGGGGGTTGGTGATGGGTAGGAGCAATGCTGGAATCCACCAGGGTAGAGCTGTCATTACTTGCCTTGACTCTGCTTGCAGCTTATATGGATTCCATCTGTTCCTGCATTTCATTCATTCAATAAACATCTTTACGGGGATCCATTATGGGCTCAGCACTGTGCTAGGCACTGCATGCACATAAATGGATGAATGAGGCATCATCTCTGTCTTCCAAGAGCTTGTCCCAAAAGCAGGGGTCCCAAGTTTAAATGCCTATAGAGACTATGTTAGAGTAAAATTAGTTGCTATAATAAACAAAACCCAACGTTTCAGTGGTTTTAACACAGTACGAATGTTTTACTTGACAATGAAACGGTCCAATATGTGTGTTCCTGGTTGACAGAGGGCAGGTGGGAGGATCTCTACTCCATGCAATCATTCAGGAATCCAGGCTCAAGAAGGTTTTTCCATGTTCTAGGGTTGCCCTGGGCATCAATATTCAGCTGACAGACAAAGGAAGAGAGGGAGGACCTTTCATGGAAGTGTCTTTTTGTTGTTGTTTTGTTTTGTTTTGTTTTTTGAGATGAAGTCTCACTCTGTCACCCAGGCTGGAGTGCAGTGGAGGGATCTCAGCTCACTGCAACCTCCGCCTTCCGGGTTAAAGTGATTCTTCTGCTTCAATCTCCCAAGTAGCTGGGACTATAGGTGCGTGCCACCATGCGCAGCTAATTTTTTGTATTTTTAGTAGAGACGGAGTTTCACCGTATTAGCCAGGATGGTCTCAATCTCCTGACCTCGTGATCCATCCGCCTCGGCCTCCCAAAGTGCTGGGATTACAGGCGTGAGCCACCGCACCCAGCCACATGGAAGTTTTTTTTATGAGACTTCTTTTCTTTTCCCCCCAAAGATGAGGTCTCACTCAGTCACCTAGGCTAGAGTACAGTGGCATGATCATAGCTCACTGTAGCTTTGAACTCCTGGGCTCAAGTGATCTTCCTACCTCAGCTTCCCTAGTAGCTGGAACTACATGTGCACACCATCATGCCTGGCTCATATTTTAATTTTGCTTTTTAGAACTGAAGTCTTGCCGCATCGCTCAGACTGGGCTCAAACCCCTGGGCTCAAGTGATTCTCCCACTTCAGCCTCCTGAGTAGCTGGGATTACAGGTGTGAACAACCATGCCCAGCCCCACACTTCTTCCTTTTTAAAAAATCTGCATACAGCATCATATCTTTATTTATTCTTTTTCAACTTCTATTTAGATTCAGGGGGTACATGGGCAAATGTGTTACCTGGGTATATTGCACGGTGCTGAGGTTTGGGGTATGAATGATTCCATCACCCAGGTACTGAGCTTGGTACCCAACAGTTTTTCTAGCCTTGCCCTCCTCTCTGCCTCCTCCCTCTAGTAGTCCCCAGTGTCTACTGTTGCCATCTTTATGTCCACAAATACCTCATATTTAGCTCTCACTTATAAGTGAGAACACGCAGTGTTTGGTTTTCTGTCCCTGCGTTGATTTGGTTAAGATAATGGCCTTGGGCTACGCTGCAAAGGACGTGCTTTCATTTTTGTTTTCATGGCTACATAGCATTCCTTGGTGTATATGTACCATATTTTCTTTAATCAATCCACTATGATGGCCTCCTAGGTTGATTCCAATCTTTGCTATTGTGAATAGTGCTGCGATGAACATGGCCACACTTCTTTTTCAGAGATTGTTGGCTAGACCTTAGTTGCACGACCTTAGTTGATTGAATATTAGTTACTACTGTGGGAGTCCCACGGCAGTGTGTGATACAGGGTAAATCAGGACTGTGGTGGTTGGGACAATCAGCTTATTAAAAGGAGCACACGTGTCTCAGTTTTGGGGATTGTTGTCACATGGGAAGTGTTGCCAACTGTTTGACTTTTTCAAGAGAAATTGCAAATCTTGATTTTTAAGTGTCATTTCCAAGTTCTTAAATATTGGCAGTTCATTTAAAAAATTTAAAAAACCCCATAAAATTAAAAAAAAATGATATGGGCAATATTCTGCTGGCCAAACTAACCAAACTGCAGTCCACAAGTGGCCCATGGGTGCCAGCTTTTGGCCTCTAGCTCCTGGTCCATCTAGAGAGACTCACACAGGTAATTACAATTCAGTGTAATCAGAGCTGGCACTCTGAACTCTAGCATTTATGAAGTCACCTGGTATTCACTGAGCATCTACTATAAACTTGGTCTGTTCCAGGTGCTGGAGAAAAACGTGTGAACAAGGCAGACATAGTCCCTGCCTTCAAGGAGATTACAGTCTACTGAGGAAGGGAGATATTGGACAAACACATACAAAAGAGAAAAACAGGTGCAATGAATGTGCATGATAAGGGGTCCTAACCTGGCCAGGGGAATGAAGGAAGGCTTCCTAAAGGATAAGAAGTTCAAGGTAAGATGTGAGGTATGGGGAGGAGTTATCCAGGTGAAGGATGAAGCAGCATGTGCAAAGGCCCTGGGGTAAGAAAGAGGATGGTGCATTTGAGGAACTCGAGGAATTTCAACAGGATTGGAAGTGTAGAGCTGTCCTAATACCGATATTTCCACAGCCCGAGAGTACAAAGGGAGACCCACATACCTCATGCCTAAATATTTCTGATTATCTATTGAATTTAAAAAGCAAAATGCAAATTATAATAAATATCCAAATCCAAATTAAAGAAAACTGAAATTTATTTCAGTTTTAAGGACTTAATTTCAAACTCATTAAATAATTTTAGCAAAGTTCAGCTAGTTGTCAATGTGAAGAATAGGTAGCAGCCAGGCTCAGTGTCTCACATCTTTTTTTTTTAAAGACAGTCTTGCCCTGTCACCCAGGCTGGAGTGTAGTGGCACAATCTCGGCTCATCGCAATCTCCGCCTCCTGGGCTCAAGTGATTCTTGTGCCTCAGACTTCCAAGTAGCTGGGATTATAGGTGCACACCACCAGGCCCGGCTAATTTTTGTATTATAGTAGAGATGAGGTTTCACCATGTTGGCTAGGCTGGTCTTGAACTCCTGACCTCAAGTGATCCACCCATCTCGGTCTCCCAGAGTGCTGAGATTACAGGTGTGAGCACCATGTCGGGCCTGTGTCTAACATCTTTAATCCCAGCCTTTGGGAGGCTGAGCCCAGAGAAGATTGCATGAGGTCAGGAGTCGGAGACCATCCTGTGCAACACAGCAAGACCTTGTCTCTACTACTGATAATAACAATTAGCTCGGCATGGTGGCATGCACTTGTAGTCCCAGCTACTCAGGACACTGAGGTGGGAGGATCACTTGAGCCTAGATCAAGGCTCCAGGAAGCTATGATCACACCACTGCACTCCAGCCTGGGTGAAAGAGACCCTGTCTCTCTCTCTCTCTCTCTCTCTCTCTCTTTCTCTCTCTCTCTCTCTCACACACACACACACACACACACACACACACACACACACACACAGATATTATGCTTCACATTTGCCGTGAATGGAATCTAGACTTAAACGAATACAAGCTTCAGAGTAATATAAATCATTTAATATTGCAAAGTGTTTCTCAACTGCCATGTCCAACCATTGCAAATACTGTGCTAATTCGTGTGAGCCTCCTGACCTGTGAATTGAAACATGAAGGGAGGCAAGTAGATGGTTGCCTGGCATTACTAGAAAACAATGCTTCCTTTCATAAGTATATATTGCATTAATATGATCTGAGGGGAAGGATGTGACAAGTTAATTAATTTGTACTTTTCTTTATCAAAGTGTTTTCAATGGTGAAATTTTCTCTGCCTTCAGAAGCAGTGTTTGTTTCCAAAATCAGCGGGGCACTGCAGGGGATCCTTCATGACATTTGAATGCCATTGCCTTTTGCTTTAAAGGCACAGAGCAAAGGAAGCAGAGAATTTCCCTGGAGCTGGCCGGGCACGGTGGCTCATGCCTGTAATCCCAGCACTTATTGGGAGACTGAGGCAGGTGGATCACCTGAGGTCAGAAGTTCAAGACCAGCCTGGCCAACATGGTGAAATCCCGTCTCTACTAAAAATGCAAAAATCAGCCAGGTGTGGTGGCGCATGCCTATAATCCCAGCTACTTGGGAGGCTGAGACAGGAGAATTGCTTGACCCTTTGAGGCGGAGCTTGCAGTGAACCAAGATTGCACCACTGCACTCCAGCCTGGGCAACAGAGCGAGACTCTGTCTCAAAAAAAAAAAAAAAAAAAAAAAAGGAAATTTCCCTGGAGCTAATGGTGTCATTAGCAGTGTGCTCTGCACCCTGAACAATGGATGTTGAGGGTGCAGAGCACCCTGTACTGGCACTGAATGCCAGATCTCAAGAGTTTTCCTCACATTCTTTAATACATTGACTTATGTGTGTGTTCATGATATGTGGGGCTGTCTAAATTGTGGTGGACCCAGTATGGGCACTCCTCTTGCCCAGATCTAAGTGTGGTACTCACTTATAGAGTAAGGAGAGAGACGCTTGAGAGAATCTGCAAGATGTAGGCAGGAATCCAATCATGTAGATCATCATAGGCCTTATACAAGGGATTGGATTTTATCTTAAGTGCAATGGGAAGGCATCGGAAGGTTTTAAGCAGGACAACGATATAACAAGGTTTGGATTTAAAAAATATCACCCTGACAGTTGCATGTAGGATATTGAATGAGGCAATAGTGGATGTGAAGAGAACAATTATTAGACCATCACCGTAACTTTGTACATCCAAGATTCCTTGTTTCTGGGGAGGCACAGCCTTAACTGGGGTCTCTTACATGGGAAAAAATGCAGCATTCATTGTGGATTTGTTTTGAGTTGGAGATCAGCTTAACAAACACCTTCATGTGCTTGGGGAGAAGCTCTTCTTTAAATATCTTTCTCTGAAACCCTTTGAGATAGGGGTTTGTCTTAGTCCATTCAGACTGCTATAACAAGCCACCATACCATAGACTGAGTGGCTTATAAACAACAGAAATTTATTTCTCACAGTTCTGGAGGCTGGAAGTTTGAGATCCAGGTACCATTACGGTTGGGTTCTGGTGAAGACCCTCTTGCAGGTTGTGAATGGCCGACATCTTGTTGTATCCTTACATGGCAGAAAAAGGGTGAGAGAGCTCTCTGGGGAATCTTTTATAAGGGCACTAATCCCATTCATGAAGCTCCAATCTCATGACCTAATTACCTCCCAAAGTTCTCACCTCCTAGTACTGTCACTCTGGGGGTTAGGATTTCAACAAATAAATGTTGGACGAACACACACATTCAGTCTGTAACAGGATTCTTCAAATTTCCATGGGATAGAAGGATCCACAGAACCACAGTTTGGTCATCAGTTGGAGTGTTGGAAGGACATGCAAAAATATTTGGGCCAAAGGATTCTCTGACTTTGGAGGGGTTGGGAAGTAAGATGGAAGGAGTTGCCGTCCCTTCCCTTAAGTCCTCAGATAAATGGGCAGTTCCATGAGAGGGGGTGGACATAGAGAGGTGATAGAGAAAGAGGAAGGTGGGTGCAGATGTCACATGAGTACTGACATCAGCTGGGGGGCATTCCAGGCCTCTCCAATGGGTAGAGATGTTGCAGGTTCCTATGAATACTCCTTCCTGATAGACAAGGAGTCTTTTATTTGAGAGTCATAAACTCTGGCTTCACCTCTTTCCCTTCTAGAAATGACTGCAAGCCTTGGGGAGAAGGGCCTGGAGGACTAGGCTGCTATGATTAACAGGTCAAGATCTTTTCCATGGATCATTCTTTGAGTAGCAAGGTCTATAAAGAATATGACACATAGACATCCTGTTGATGGAAGGGAGAGAAAGAGAGATGAGATCCAGTCTGTCCTCTTGGCTCTTTGCTTCCTATTCAGGCTTCTGTGGTGTCTAGTCCTACTGCATGGGGTCTCTGTTGAGCAGCAGAAGTTGTGGTTAGACTCCAAATCTGGGAGGCTTCACCCGTCAAGGTCACACAATCCAGGCAGAGCAACACAGGAGCCATGGGTTGGGTGATGGCCTAATTCTTCGAGGCCGGTCAGTGCATTTCTGAGTGATGGCTCCTTATGAGTAGCAAATTGTTCTCCAAATTTGGGTTTCTGCTCAACTGCTTCAGGCAAGCCTAACCTTTCAAACACAAGCAGTGTCTGTCTGGGTGTGCAGAGGCACTTAGGTTATGGAGAGGAGGTTACTCTGCTTAAGGGAATTGCATTTAAAGTGCAGGTTCTGATTGGTCTCTGCAAATAACATTGCTGCCAAAATGGATGTGTCTGGAGGATGTGGCTGAAAATTCAATCTTGTGGTGATTCGAGGGAGGTGCATGCCATCTGATGTCCTGGGGTGATGTCATCTAAAGTCACCTGGGCTATAAACTCGGGCTTGCTGGAAAATGGCTGGAGGGACTTGAACTGCTGTCTGTTGTCAGGTGGTGGTCCTCCTATTGCTACCTGTCTGGGGGCTCTTCTCTCCTTCCTCAGTGTCTAGTACATAGTGTGGCAGAGTGGAATTCAAAATTTGTCTGTGCTTTTTGATGTGCTATTTCCCCACATCCCCTGCCCGATTTGAGCAATATTCTAGGCTTTGACAGCATTCTTCCCTGTGTTCAGAACCCTCCTCTCCCTTGTCTTCCTCTTCCTTTTTCTCCTCCTCCTTCTCTTTCTCTTCCACCTCTTCCTCTTCCATTTTATCCTCCTCTCCCTCTTTCTTCTCCTCCTCTTCCTCCACCTCCTCTTCTTCCTCCTCCTCCTTCTCCTCCTCCTCTTCGTCCTCCTTCTCTTCCTCTACTTCTGCATCCTCTTCCTCCTCCTCTTCTTCCTCCTGCACTTCCTTATCCTCCTCCTCCTCTTCTTCTTGTTCCTCCACCTCCTTCTCCTCCTCTTCTTGTTCCTCCACCTCCTTATCTTCCTCCTCTTCTTCCTCCTCCTGCTCCTCTTCTTCCTGTTCCTCTACCTTGTTATCCTCCTCTTCCTCCTCTTCCTTATCTTCCTCCTCTTCCTCCCCCTTCTCCATCAGTATCATTGCTAGAGCTACCATTTCAGTTATTTTTGTATTTTTATGGTTGTTGCCATTTATCTCTTTCACCAGGTCCTGAGCACTGAGGTAGGAGCAGTATGCCTATTATTTCATTTGATCGTCTCAACTATTTATTATCCTCTTCATCTCACTGGGTCTCAGAGTGACTAAGCCTTTTGTCTAAGATCACAGAGTTAAAGAGTGGTGGAGCTGGGATTTTTTAGGTCAAGTTTATCTCACCCCAGAGCTCATGCTTTTAGCCTTCATGTTAACAGTTTCCCAATCTTAGAAAGCGAAAGGGGGGGCCTTGTTATGTCAATTCCAAAGGTTGCTCCTTCACGCTGTACCCTATCTGTACACTGGATAGGACAGTACTTGGAAACTTGGCGTGGGGAGCCAGACATCTTGAGTTTAAATCTTAGCTCTGCTGCTTCCAAGATATGTGACTGGAAGCAAACGTCTGAGCCTTTCTGGCCTGGGTTTGCTTATCTGTAAAATGGGAACAAAAATATCTTTTTTCTTAGTGTTGTCATGGGTTAGAATGTTCTAGAACAATCTTGGTAAATGTCATCCATTCTTGTCACCCAGTTTTGCTCTTTCAACTGGCTTTCACTAGCAAATTATCTATTTTCTTCATTCAGTCATCAATTCAATAAATCTGGATTAAGCGCCTACTCTATGCTAGATACTGTATTTAGTGCTATGAATATTCTTTAATAGTTTCTCACTAACTGTGGCCAAAAACAAGTTGAGTCACCTTCTCGTCCTCAGTTTACTCCTCTGCCAATGGAATTAATGAGGCTCCCACACAGGATGGTTTGGAGGGTTCAGTGAGAGACGATATGACGGGTTCATAGTGGTGCTTGATTCAAGGTTGCTGGCAGAATATAAATGAAAGTCCTTAGCAAGCTCTTACGATCCTGTGAATTTACTCCATGGCATTCAGGTTCAAAAAATAGATCACTTTTCTTTTTTTCTGAAACAAATTAAATTGATCTCTGAGGCTCACCTGCTTGGTTAACGGGGTTCAATTCTACTCCCCATGGGCATCTTATAAGAACTCCATGGTCCAGGAAGGGCCCATTCAGGTCCCTTGAGGTCTCCATCCTTGCAGTTGCTTTTGTTGCCTGCCCTGCTGAGCATTGGTCCTCCGCCGTCTTGGGGGCACCCTAGTCTGCTGGGGAATTAGTGATCCTCTTCCCACCAGGCTTGCCCACAGAAATGCACTCCGGAAGTCATTCCTGCTGGACGGGGTCTTGACCTTGTGGGTTTGGGTGGTGACAACGTCCAGTGCTGTTTTTGTCTCAGGGCTCTCAGGCTTAGTCTCACTCTGCTCCTGCTTCCCTAGCCTCTATGAGGTTGCTAGCTGGATTCCTTAATGAGTCTGACTTCTTTCCAGCAAGACTTCTTCCTTCCATGAATGGTGGGAGGCAGGGAAAGAACCTTTTTTTCTTATGACAGTGCAAACGCGACAGAAGTTGACATACAAATAGAGCACCCCAGTCCATTGTAAACATAACACAAATTATGTTCTGTAGCTTTGGCCTCTCTGTGTATCTTATGTTCTCTCCCAGAAAATCAGCTCTCACTTGTAGACAGGAGAAGAGTTCTAACATTATTCTAGACTAGATACCAGATATTTTGCACGCATCATCTCACTGAATCCTCAAAACAATGTTGTCTCATAGGAATGACTTTCATTTTCCTGATAAGGCAATTGAAGCTCAGGAGAGTTAGGAAAACTGACTGTCCTGTCCAGGTTCACCCAGCTAGAAAGGGGCAGAGCTGGGCTTTGCATCCAAGGCTGTCTGCTCCATGTCCACACACTGTTCACTACACTTCCTGCTCTTCTGTGTCTTTTATTTCGTTTGTAATCCTTACAGCATCTCTAGTGCAGTGGATGATAATAAATGCTGATGAAAAGAAACCCTTCACAAGCTAAGGAAGTTCAAAACTCACCTGTGTTGAAGTCCTGCATTCCCTAAAGTAAACAGGCTGTGAAACAACCTCCTTTATAGACACCTTAAACACAGTGCATGCATTTCTCACCCTTCTCTTTGATGACTTAGCACTTTATGTGCACGATGACATTTTCAACTACGGAGCCATATTGAAGTTTAAACACTGCTAAAGGATTATTCATTTCCATTCCAGAGCCTAACAACTGGGAACCCTGAACACAGTGTTAAACTTCACATATATCTTCTCATACCATTCTTTTCTGGGAATAGGTACTATTATCATTCTCAGTGTATAGATTATAATGCAGAGGTTCAGAGAAGCTAAAAAATTTGCTCAGGGTTATCAACTATAAAGTGACAGTGATAGGATGTCAACCCAGGTGTCTCTCACCTCAAAGACTGAGCTCTGAGTAATTTTGTTATGCCAACCCTCAGGGCTGGGCTGGAAAGAGCTTTAAGATCCCTTCTAGTTTGAAACCATCCACCTCAACTAAAATTTCTGATATTCAGTGGCATAGGCTGGGAATTCCTTCACTCACTTGGGTATCCTAATATTAAAAAGCCAGGAGTTTTGAGATCACAGGATATTTTTCCATATTCATTTTAAAAGGTGTAATGTAAAGCCTCAGATTACCAGATTATTGTTGGACACTTGGAATATGGGGGAGATGGCTACTGTGATGGTTAATTTTGTGTGTAATTTTTTTCTTTTTTTTTTTTTTGAGACGGAGTCTCATTCTGTTTCCCAGGCTGGAGTGCAGTGGTGTGATCTCGGCTCACTGCAACCTCTACCTCCCTGGTTCAAGCAATTCCCCTGGCTTAGCCTCCTGAGTAGCTAGTAGCTGGGATTACAGGCACACGCCACCAAGCCTGGCTAATTTTTTTTGTATTTTTAGTAGAGATGGGGATGTGTCAATTTGATTGGTTTATGGGGTGCCCAGATATTTAGTTAGACATTATTCCTGGGTGTGTCTGTGAAGGTGATTTTAGATGAGATTAACACTGAATTGGTAGATGGAGTGAAGCAGATCATCCTCTCCAATGTGCATGGGCCTCATCCAATCTATTGAACACCAGGATAGAATAAAAGGCTGAGTAAGAAAGTATTCTTTCTCTGTGTCTGACTGTCTTTGAGCTGGGATATCAGTCTTCTCTTGCCTTCAGACTTAGAATTGAACTTGACCTTACCCATTTGGCTTTCCTGATTCTCGGGCCTTCTGACTCAGACTGAAATTTATACCATTGGCTCTCCGGGTTCTGAAGTTTTCAGACTTAGACTGGAACTATATCATTAATTCTCCTGGATGTCCAGCTTGCTGACTGCAAATCTTGAACTTTTCAGCCTCCATAATTGTGTGAGCCAATTCCTTGCAGTAAATATATATTTATATCCCCTATTGGTCCTATTTCTCTAAGAATCCAGCTGAACACAGCTACCACCATGTTTACAATATGCATCTTAGTTCCTGGAATTCCTAGTTGCTATGGTGAATCTTCATTTGCTTGTACATTTAAGGAAACATCCCAGTTTATTACAAGTTATTTAGAAGAACTTGGCTATGGTGTCTGTTTGCAGTTAATATTGGGCAAGATAGAAAATGGCTTCACTCTAAGTGTTCTAATCAGTGACAACAGATGTTCATGGAAGGCAGAATTTTCTGTGAATCAGTGTTTTGATAATATCGTTAAACACAAATTCTAAGGTAGAAAGAGAAACTTTAGTTTGGGCCATATGTGCTTTTGATGAGAGATTTTGGGTAAATGGATGACAGAGCTTTCTACGGTAGTTCAAAAATTAGAGCGGGCTACCCTGAGTTCACTCTGGGGTTGTCGCCTGCTTCCCTGCTAGCTCTGGGGATAAGAAGATATCTTAGGAGTTGGGATTATAAGGGACTTAGCCTTCCACTTAATAAAATCAAAATATAAAGGGGGAAAAACTATTTCCTCTTGTAAATACCTCCTCTCTGCTATAGTTCTTCTTCCTTTGGAGGATCCAGTAGTGTGCTGAAGCTAGCTCCCACTGGCCCATGAGAACAGATTGTTACATATTCAGGAATTTTGGAAATGGTTGTTAAACTCTCGGTAGCTCAAAATTAGCTATAGTGGGATCATTCACATCACTGATGACTTGAAACATTACAAACCAGAGTTTGTTTGCTTTCCTGAGAGCCTGTTTACCTGTTTACCATTCATTATAAGGATTGCAGTTAATGTTTGTGTTTCTGCCTGTCCAACATACATTTCTTAGCCTCTTCTGGTAAGAGCAAATTTCCTTTGGGGAAACACTGGTATTTAACTCAGGCCATGGTTTGGGGGGCCATATTCCCTAGATCCAAGAGCCAGCATATAACCTGGGCTTGGCTATTCAGAGCATTCCATCTCCCTGATCACAGTGATTGGCTCATAGGTCTCATGTGACACGTATATACCAATCAGAGCTAATTAAGGAGCTTTTGTGGTACTACAGGAAAGATCTTGCCCATGTGAAGGAGAGAGGTTGTAAGAGCTTAGAAGTGCATTGGACAGCAAACAGTCTGAAGAAATGGACGCATGCCAGGTCCAATGAGGTAGGTTGAGCATCTGCAAGCTATGCCTGAAGTCAAATATCTCTGAACTTTTGAAATTGCTGAGCAAGTAAGTGTGACCCTGCCCTCATCTCTGATTGGCTTAAGCATGTTTGTGTTGGGTTTTCTGTCCCTTGTAAGTTACAAGTTACAGCTGAGATAGTCCCAACAGTTACAAGATTCTTCAAGTTTTGTATTATAGATTAAATTCCAAGCAAACCATGCAAGAAAATCTAATAGAGAGCTTGGTAGAGTTGAGAGGAAAAAGAGCTTCTGTCTACAATTCGACCTTAGCTTAATGAAACATACCATGGTTTTTTTTTTTTTTAGCCCCCTTCTCCTCCACACCTACACAAACACCAATATTTGTTCAAATACAAGTTTTAGCATTTTTTTTTTTTTAGCTGTGCCGACTTGGAAAATTCCTAAACCTCTCTGAACCTCATCTCCTTCATCTGAAAAGCAAATATATTAATATCTGACTCTTATGGCTGATATGAATATAAAAGGACACAATTCCTAAAAATGCACAGTTTTTTTTACAGAGTAGATAATATATTACTATAACTACTGGTTAAATAAATGTGTATGGGGTAGTCTAGGACCTTATATTACACATCTTATAATGGAGTTTCTATGGAGAAATGCTTGTCAATTTCCAAGACTCTGACTTCCTCAGACTCCAAACCCAGGGGAGCAGAGGAATTCCTAGGTTGAACCACTGAAAATTAGGAACTTGAGGTGAGGGGAATGTTTTGGGGATGGAAAAATCATAAATCTCCTCTTGACCCACCCCCGAGGATGTGTCCTATGCCATTTCGTTCTCCCCTGTATCCTCCATGTCTGTTGCCTACAGGGCTTTGGAACTGCTTATCAAATAAACACCTCCCCCCTCATTTTATTGCTGTGGAAACAGAACTAAGAGAAGATTAAATTCTGTGCTATAGTGCCTTCATCTTACAGTGTATGAAGAGGAGACAGACAATAAACATCGTCTTAAAACCCAGCACTGGAATTTCTTTTGAGGAAATAACCACCATTGATGAGCTCAAAGGTTTAGACAAATGTCCAATATTCATATAACGTGAGCCACACAGAAATTTTTGAATTTCTAATGGCCATATGAAAAAAAGAAAAAACAAGTGAAATTATTTTAATAATTATTTTAACTCAATAAACCTAAGATACATTAAAATTATTTAGACATCTTACATTATTTTTTCACACTAAGTCTTCAAGATCCAGTGTGTATTTTACGCTTACAGCTGACCTCAATAAAGACTAACCACATTTCAAGCGCTCAGTAGCTCCATGTGGCTGGCGGCTGCCATATTAGTCTAGCAAAGGAGACTCCGAAGATTGACTAAGGTGCTTTGCAGGAAATAAGAGGGAGAGTGGCGGGAACATCAAAATGGAAACGTTCCAGCTCTAAGAATCTCCAAGCATTGTAGGAAAGTCAAGCAATTCCCATCCACCTCCCCGACCCCTGCGATGTTTATGAGAGTGACTCCTTAGTTTGAAAATAGAAGAAGAGCTTGAATTTCCTGTTGGGCACAATGTGTTCACAGGTGCCTGCAAAGATGTTTCTCTGTTGCCCTGGACTTCACAGAGTCTTTGGGAGGACTTTGGACAGGAGTGGAAGTCATCGAAAATGATGGCTCAATGCAGTCTTCTTGTGATCTCACAGCTGATAATGGGATCTCACAAATAACTTGTATTGTGACACACACATAACGTCTAATGGGATCTCACAAATAATGTGTAATGGTAAAGGTAAAGGTAAAGGTAAATGTAAACAGGTATTGGAAGAACAAGGGAGAATTCCTGAACTGTGATGTTCAGGCCAAGTCTTGATAACAGAAGGGTATGGGAGGTGGGTCTTCCAGAGGAGGGGACAATGTGTGTGAAGGTTCGGAGGCCAGGGAGAGCAGGGGCACCCCAGAAATTGCAAGGACTTCCCTCTGTGGGAATGTGACTATGAGGGGTTGGTGGCCAGATGGGAAGCCAGAAGGGAAGATGGCAAAGCAGATCCGAAGGGCTGGGAGGGTCACGATAAATAACTTGAATTCTATCCTAAGGCTATGGAGGAGAATTTATATGTTTCAAACATCACTTGGGCTGTGGGAATGGTCAGAGGGGCCAGAGGTAGAGGACAAGTAGAGGTCTATCAGGGGTATTGAAGTCATGTAGTTGAGAGGCGATGGCGGTTGGTCTATTGTAAGAGTAATGAGATAAGAAGGTGCTGGAGATGTTTTAGACGGAAAATGGAGAAAATTTGGCTACTGGTCTGGGCATGTGTGTGTCTGGATGGGCATGAAAGACAGGCAGGAACCCAGCATAATTTCCAAATTTCTAGAATGGACAACTGCATAGAGAATGCTGCCATTTAGCGAGTTCAGCAAATGTTCAACTTGCAGGGATTTCTGAGGGATGCTGAAAATGAAGGCATTTTTCCAAACCTCTGTGTCAAGACACCCAGATTCTGAGGAGGGAAAGAATAACTGAAATCAAATTCCTCCTAGAAATTTTGATGAGCCCCTTGGGTTGCAGAGTTGGGAAAACTGCATTCCTTCTCTTGGCCTCAAAAATTTTTTCCATTTGCAAAATGAAATAGTAATTCTTACTTTTATAAGGGTGCTGACAATAAAATGCGATGATAGATGCAAAGGCGTTTTGCAAGTAAGGCATTCAATTATTGTTATTGTGATGCTTATCGGAATGGGTTTGGAAAGTTCTCATCATTGTTATCGAAAATCAAGCTCGAGGCTCTGGGCTAGTGGGTTATGTAATTATTCCAAAAATCTTTGCAGCAGAAACAAAAAATCCTGAGTCCTGGAAGCTTATGACAGTCCTAGATGCATTCAACCCATTCATTCATACATTTGTTCATTCACTCAGTTGTTCAACATTTATTGAGCACCTACTACGTGCCAGGCATTGTGTTCAATGCTGGCAGACTACAGAAACAAAATCTATTTTCTGTTAACAAGAAGTAGGAAGGACATGTCCCTGAATAACTCCAATCACATATATTTTATTACATTTAAAATTATTTTTAAAGACAGGGTCTCACTGTGTCACCCAGGCTAGAGTGCCGTGATGCAGTCATGGCTCACTGCAACCTAGAACTCCGGTGCTCAAACAATCCTCCCACCTCAGCCTCCCAAGTAGCTGGGTCTACAGGCATGTGCCACCATGCTGGGCTATTTTTTATTAATTTTAACTTAATTTTTTTTTTTTTGAGACAGGATGTCACTATGTTGCCCAGGCTGGTCTCAAACTGCTGGCCTCAAGTGATCCTTCCACCTCAGCCTCCTAGTATTGGGATTACAGGTGTGCCCAGCCATTGTGCCCAGCCATATATATTTTACAAGTTTATGACCATCTATAGAGTTGTATACACTTTATTCAGTGCTTAGGAAACAGCAACCCTCTATAATGAGCACCATTCTCCCTGTGTTGTTGACATAAAGACTGAAGCATAGAAAGATGAACTGCCTTGACCATAGTTTACTAGCCAGGCAATCCAAGACTCAAATCCTGGACTTCTTAATCCCAGTCCAATGCCAATGGTGGGTGTCTTAAAATAATAACACCCGCTAAGGAACAGGAACACCCACATGGGAATGTTTCCTATGTGCAAGGTACTGTGCTGAGTGGGAATATATTATTTTAGTCAATTCTCCTGATACTAAAAAGGTTAATATTATCTCTAGAAGCAGAGAAACAGAAAATATATGCGTGCACACACACACACAAACAATTGATTGAGCACTTACGACATGCCAAGTACTTTACATGAATTACATCATTTAATCTTCATAACAACCCTAGGAAGTTGGCACTGTTATCATCTCTCTACTGTGGATGGGAGCCCTGATGTTCAGAGAGGTTAAGTAACTTGCCTGAGGTCACACAGCGAGATATACAAATAAAGTGCACAGAGAATTCAGAAGCCAGCCATTTAATGATTGACCTGGAAGGGTAGGGGAAAGCTTCCAAATCCACAGAAGTGAATATGCCTCTGGTGGTTGCTAGTAAGAGAAAAATGAAATATCTATATCAAGTGTGTGACACTGGGCAGGACTGAACTGGAGTCAGTTTCAAAGGGTTAGGGTAAATGTTGGGGTAAATGTTTCAAAATCCTTGTGTCTTCCCATGTTCCTCCCTCTGTACCTAGTCTGTATCTATTTATGTCCTAATTTCCACTTTCAACAAAGAGCAAATCATATTGGATTAGGGCCCACCCTAATTAACTTATTTTAACTTAATTACTTTTTTTTTCTTTTTTTTTTTTGAGACAGGGTCTCTCTCTATTACCCAGGCTGGAGTACAGTGGCGCTATCTTGGCTCACTGCAGACTGGACCTCCAGGTTCAAGCTATCCTCCCACCTCAGCCTCCTGAGTTGGGACCACAGGTGCACCTCCATGCCTGGCTATTTTTTATTATTATTTGTTGTAGAGATGGGGTTTCCCTATGTTGTCCAGGTTGGTCTTGAACTCCTGGGCTCAAGCGATCTTCCTGCCTCGGCTTCCCAATATGCTGGGATTACAGGAGTAAGCCACCATGACCAGCTTAATTATCTCTTTAAAGGGCTATCCCTAAATACAGCTGCATTTTGAGATACTTGGAATTAAGGCTTCAATATATAAATTTTGGGGAGACACAATTCAGTCTGTGACAGTATTTCTTCATTACATTACACAGCCAAGTTTATGATTTGTCTCTTTATAAGGGTAGCACTCTATGATTATTTCACTGTTGACTTAATATAGATATGTAGATTTTTTTCTTTAGAATCAATACAGTTGTCAACACACATATTTCAAAGTCCAGACTTTGGTCTTTCCCCAGCATCTGAAAATGGCAACATTCTCCTTTCCCCACATCCAGAAACCCAAGAACCCTCCTGTTCCCCGTTGGCTTCCAGAGTACCTTGGGGCAGCCGTAGTCCTCTCCTGACAAAATGGAACTGTCAGTGTTTCATGCGCAGAGCCAGTTCTCTGTTGTGAAAGTGAGAAAGTGTTATTTAATTTCATCAACCCTCCGTTCCCTCCGTGGTAAAATGGGCTTAATAATATTTATGACTATTATATTAATCATATAAATATGATTATTATGAGGAACAGCTGAGATCAAGCCTATGCAGGCCTTATCCCAATGCCTGGCACACACAGCAAGCACTCAGAAATGGTGGATATTATTATGGGCTGGACCTCATAGGTTCACACCCCGTGTGATATCCTTTATGGCAGTTTTAAAGCTAAAAGCATTCATGTGGAATATCTGATTTCCAAGTCCCTGGAGCAGCCAAGTCCGTTTTATGAGTGGGGATGTGGAATTGGATTCCCCAGAAGCTGACTGTAATGCTAGCTGTTGTAACAAACACACCCATACATCCATCCAGTAGCTTCACACTACAAAAGCTTGCTTCTTGCTTATGTAATGGTTCCATGTGGGTGTTCCTGGTCACTGGGGTAGTTGTTCACAGGATGAGTACAAGACCCAGATTCTTTCCAGTCTATGGCCTTTCTCTCTTCTCTGGGGCCTTCGAATTTTCTTCATCTATCCAGAGGGAGCAAACATGGAGAAGTAGCGAGGGAGGTCTTTGTGGGCAAGACGTAGAAGTGGCTTGTATCAAAATATGGAATGCCTAATTATTAGGCAAATGATAATAATTATTTATAATAATTATAAATTATATTTATATTATTATAATTATTTATAATAATAATAATTATTTGCTCAAATGCCTATTAGTCAACAGGTGGATAAAGAAAATGTGATATATATATATATAAAATGGAATACTACTCAGCCATATAAAGGAATGAAATAATGGCATTTGCAGCAACCTGGATGGAATTGGAGACCATTATTCTAAGTGAAGTAACTCAGAAATGAAAAAGCAAACATCGTATTTTCTCGCTCATAAGTGGGAGCTAACCTAGGAGGATGCAAAGGCATAAGAATGATAGAGTGGACTTTGGGGACCTGGAGGGGTAAGGGTGGGAGGGGCTGAGGGATAAAGGGATAAAGGACTACACATTGCGTATAGTGTATACTGCTCGGGTGATGGGTGCACCAAAATCTCAGAAATCACCACTAAAGAACTTACTCATGTAACCAAACACCATCTGTTCCCCCAAAAACCTATTGAAATAATAATAATAAAAAATAATTAATAAAATCCCAATAATAAGGCAAAAAAAAAAAAAGAAGTGGCTTGCATCGTGTCTCTCCACATCCATTGCCTGGATTTCGCTTACGTGGCCACATATAACTGCAAGGGAGGCTGGGAAATGTGGTCCAACTATGTGCCCAACAAGAGGGAACAGGTTGGGTAAGCAACTAGCCAGTATCTGCCTCATTGATCACGTCAATGGGTTTTCAAATTTGGTCAGGTAGCCCTGAAAAAATTTACCATTCCTCTTCTGATTGGTTTGGGAAGAAGATCTGGAGAAAGAGCAATTTTAGAAACTTCTATAAAGAATGGAAATCATCTTGTTGAGAGCCTAAGACATGCAGAGGCTGCCCGATTCTCTGCTTCTGTTGTCTTGTTTAATCTTCATAGCAAATACACGACAGCAATTTTATTATTTCCATGGAGCAAACCTTGAGTATCTAGCTACCATTTATTGAAGGCCTACTGTGTGCTAGAAACCTTGCTTTACATGTGTGATCTCGTTTTGGCCTCACAAAGCCCTGCCAGGTAGGTATCACTTTGTACCATTTTGCAGCAAGGAAATTGAGGCCCAGATGTGTAAAGTGACTTACCCAAGGACACACAGTTAGTATGTGGCTGAACGGGGTCTTGGGATTGACCTTGGACTGACCCTAAAGTACTAGCTCTTTCCACTGGGGTTTGGGAAGAAGTCCTAAGCTAGGATTCCTGTAAACACAGGATTAATTTCATCTCAAATTCCCCCATCCCCTGTCTGCCCTCTGCTGAAGTCGGGACCTCTCTGTAGCAGACAGGAATTTCCAGTGGCCAGGGAGGGATGGAATGGTTGAGGTCTTTCTCTACAAGCCTCTGCTTCTCCATTCATGCTTTTTCCTAATCCAACTTCCGCTACATGCCAAGCGGTGACTAAGCCATTGACTCACTTCTTTTATGGGCCCGAGCAGTCCAGCTCAGATGAAATGTGCCAGCTCTTGGACGTCAGCCACCCCCTGGCATCTAGGCCTGATGCTCAGCGTACACCTTTGAGCGTTTGAGGTGCAGACATCTAGAAACTCCACTGTGGAGTGATTTTCCATGCCTGACACAATTGGTGCTTGCCGGTGCCTTTTGCAGGCCATTGTATTGGCAAATGTACTCATTTCAAACCTCAGTTTAGTCTCTAAACAGATACTTTAGGCAACAGAGATTCTTAGGCTGTTTTGGGGTTTTTTTTTGCAGTTTTTAATTCCGTCTTAATATTACTAATTCTAATAATAATACTAATATAACAATAGCTAATGTTTATTAAGTAGTTACTAGGTGTCAGGCTTGTATATGCTCGTGCTGGTCATTCTTCCACTTATCTGCACAGCCGCTCTCTGAGGTGGTACAAATATTATCCACATTTTAAAGAGGAGGAGGCTCAGTGTCAGGGAATTTAAATAATGTGTCCAAGGTTATTCAGTTCTGCAGCTCACTCTTTACCAAAAGACCCAAACTGAAGGACATTTGGGGTTTTATTATTTTATTGTCTGCTTCTTGAAAGACAATTCATGGGGAAACACAGTCAGCCTTGGAGATGAGTTTGACTTGAATGTACGAATAGTTACCAGATGTATTAGTTATCGACGCCTGCATAACAAAGTATCCACAAACTTTGCAGCTTAAAAAAACAAACATGTATTATTTGGCAGTTTCTGTGGGTTGGGAAACTGGAATTCTTTAGCTGGTGATTCTGGCTTAAGGTCTCTTGAGACCTTAAGACTCCAAAGCTTTCTAGTTGTGTGACTTTGGTGCCTGGGGCTGCAGTCCACTGAAGGCTTGAGTGGGGAAGATCTGCTTCCATGCTCACTTACGTGCTTGTTGGTGGGCTCAGTTCGGCACTGGCTGGTGATTGGAGGCCCCAGTTCTTTACCATGTGGGCCTCCCCGTAGGGTGCCCAGTTGTCCTAAGGCTGGGCGCTGGACACCCCCAGAGTGAGTGATCCAAGAGAGGGAGCAAGCCCAAGACCAAAGGCACAAGTGTTTTTTAGAACCTAATCTCAGTGTAACTTGCCATCACTTCTGCCACATTCTATTGGTTACCCGGACCAACCCTAGCACAATATGAGAGAGGACTATAGAAGGGTGTGAGTATTAGAAGGCGGAGCTCACTGGGGGCCACCCGAAGCAACTCTTATCTGGATCCCATCCCCTTTCCTTAGGGACTTGACTCTATCAATTACTCTTCATCCCCAACCCTCTGGGAATGTCATGGTTGTTTTGCACCCCAGTGCAGAGGATGTGATAGTGTTTGGGAATGACCTTTATCCTGGACAACACATCCTGAAGCTTCCCTTTGTGGAGGCCCTGAGTTTAGAGGCAGGGAGATAAAGCATGATAATGGTCTGGGAATGTGGTGATCCCATTTTACAGAATAAAGACATGCCTACTCAGCAGGGTCCCCAGAGTTGGAAGGGAGGAGAACCCAGAGTTTCAGAGTTTTCCTTTTAAACAAGATGCAAACGAGGGCTTTCATCTCCTCTTTTTGTGCCCCTGGGCAGAAAGTTGTACCTCCAATGAGAAATGAGTTCTGCCTGGTGGAGGGAAACACTCCTTGGTTCTTTATTGAATCCAATCATTTACATCTCATTGAACCCAATCAAATTAGCCACTTATCACATTAAAATGGCAAAAGAGAGATTGCGTCAAGCAGTGCTAATTCAATAGGAAAGAGGAGCTGACTGGGAGCACTATGTCATAGGATTCTGACACCCATTTTCAAGAGGTGGAAGTCTGATGTCCTCCTCTGCCCGTGATGGTCACAATGACCTTCCTCAGACAGCTTTGCTGGAAGGCATTGCCAAGGAAGGGAAAATAGGAGTCCTCGGCCCTGCAGAGGCTTAGGGTGGGAAGGGGAGGACAAAGGGAAGGGTAGTATGGCAGCCTGGGGGAGAGCTGTGATTTCAAGATACAGTGGTGTTTAAAGGCTTGAGATTTGGAGTCAGGGAGACTCCAGAGCTTTCTAGCTTTGTGACTTTGGGCAAGTTTACTTGACCTATCTGATTCTTAGTTTTCTCATCCACGAAATGGAAGAGGGTAGTATTTGCCACAGAGGGTTGCCACAGCAAGGCTACATGGTTGGTATTCCAGAGAAAGCCTTTCCTTTTTCTTTTTCTTTTCTTTTCTTTTTTTTTTCCTTGGGAGACAGAGTCCTGCTCTGTAGCCCAGGCTGGAGGGCAGTGGTGCAATCTCTACTCACTGCAACTTCCGCCTCCCGGGTTCAAGCGATTCTCCTGCCTTAGCCTCCCGAGTAGCTGGGATTACAGGCGTCCACCACCATGCCCGGCTAATTTTTGTATTTTTAGTAGAGATGGGGTTTCTCCATGTTGGCCAGGCTGGTCTCAAACTCATGACCTCAGGTGGTCCACCCACCTCGGCCTCCCAAGGTGTTGGGATTACAGGCATGAGCCACCGCACCTGGCCGTTTTTCTAATCCCCTTTTAATCTCATTACATCAAGGAACAAGTTTCCGTTTCATACCAGGCTGTTTGTAACACTTCTTTAATACTGGCAAATGCTCTCTGATCCTTTTGTGGGTGCCAGGGTGTTAAGGTTGGATGAGTTGGAATTATCCAGGCTTACACTTGAGTCCCTCTTGCCTTTCTTACTATCTGTGTGATCTTGGATAACATAGCCCCACACTCTGAGTATCAGTTGTAAAATGGGAATAATAATGATAATAATAAATGATACCTTCCCATTGGTTTGTCATCGAGCATAAATGAGTTCATGAATCTGAAATGCTTAGTAGAGGGCCTAGCTCATAGCAAACAGTAAATGCTAGTTCATATTATTAGGACTCATTTCAGCCTCTTCTCTGCCATCTTCTCTTCCACACCCTCATGCCCTCCACACTGCAACCATTTAGAACAATGTTCCCATCCTGACTATGACACGCTTTCTCTTGCCTCAGGGCCTTTGCACACACTTTCCTTCTGACTGGAAGGTTCTCTCAGACTCTTTCCTGACTGATCCTGCTCATCTTCCAGGCCTCAGCTGATGTATTTTTTTCTTTCAGGAAGTCTGCATTGACTTATATTTCCCTTTCCTGTGGTTCTTCTCTATTAGGATGTTTTGGGATGTGTTTCTCCTCTCTTCTGGAAAGCCTAAGAGCTTCATGAGGGGCAGAGTTCCTTCCCTAATCTGCTTTGTTTATTCTTGTCCCCCCAGCACCTAGTACAGACTCTGACACTTGCTGATGGCTGCCTGGGAGCTCAGCAGGGGCCTGATATCATTCTATGCATTTTACGTATATGGACTCATTTAATCCTCATAGCTGAAGCCGTCCTCACAGGGCTAACAAGAATTCTGGACAGAAGTATGGTTGTAATTAAGCATTAATCAGGCTGCAATCTGCCTCACTTTCTTGTAACCGAAAGTCACATAGCACTGGAAACTGAGAATTGCATTCCCTTTGTTCCTACAGATAAGATTTCTGACATTAGAATCATAGGCTTTTGGTTAAGGATTGCTTATGATGTTTTTCACAACTCAAATTCCAGGGAAACAGCCGACACTAACCAATTTGAAGACCCCCACAGAGAAACAGAGCAGTTTCTTCATCTCCCAGCCCTGTGACTTCACTGTGCACTCTTTGAACAATTCAGTGATCTCCACTCTTTGTCCCACTTCAAAATCCTTAAAAACTCTAACCCCAAACACATCAGGGAGACGGATTTGAGATTTCCTCCCACCTCCTTGTTTGATAGCCCTACCATTAAACCTCTTTCTCTGTTGCAACCCGGTGGCTTTGTGAATTGACTTGCCATGCACATTGGATAATGGACCTATTAAGATTCCACAACTTACTGAGATAAGTTTTGTTTTATTTTTAATGGCCTTATCGAAATATAATTGAGATAGAGTAAACTTTTTTTTTTTTTTTTTTGAGACAGAATCTCGCTCTGTCGCCAGGCTGGAGTGCAGTGGCGCGATCTCGGCTCAGTGCATCCTCTGCCTCCCAGGTTCAAGCAATTCTCCTGCCTCAGCCTACAGAGTAGCTGGGGCTACAAGCGCATGCCACCTCACCCAGCTAATTTTTGTATTTTTAGTAGAGACGGGGTTTCACCATGTTGGCCAGGATGGTCTCGATCTCTTGACCTCATGATCCACTTGCCTCGGCCTCCCAGAGTGCTTGGATTACAGGTGTGAGCCACTGCGCCTGGCCACAGTAAACTGTTTTTAAGTGTACAATTTTAAGTGTAGAATTTGATAAATTTTAACATGTATACATCTATAAAAACAAAACTACTATCAAGATAATGAACATATCCATCAACTAAACATCCCTTGTGCCCTTTTGTAATCTTTCCATCCCATCCCTCCATGCCAGCCCCCTCCTCAGGCAACTACTCGTATGCTTTCTACCACTATAGAGATGTTTGCATTTTCTAAAATTGCATGTAAGGGGAGTCATACAATATATACTTTTCCCCGGCTGATTTCACACAGCATAATTTGAGATTCATCTGTTTTCTTGCTTATGTTAGTGTTCATTCCCTTTTATTTCTGAGTAGTATCTGTTGTACGGATATACTACCGTTTGTTTATTCATTTACTTATTGATGGACATTTGGTTGCTATTGATGGATATTTGGTTGTTTCCAAATGTCCATCAATAGGCAAATGGATAAAACCAAATGTCCATCAATAGGTAAACTGATAAACAAATGGTAGTATATCCATACAACAGATACTACACAGAAAGCTGCTATGGATACTGATTTTATTTTTATCCCATTTTACAGAGGAGGAAATTGAGGCAGTGAGTATATCAATTGCTTAAGGCCAAAAAGTTACTAAATGACAGAGCCCTATGTGGATCAAGATTCCATAGGTTCAGAGTCCAAGCAATTTTTTCCTCCTCTCTGTTAAGGAAAGTTTCAAATATAAATGAAATTAGCAAGAATAGAATAATACACACTCCCAGATTCATCACTCAGCTCCAGCAATGACCAATATTATTTTATCGTTTTTCTACATTTTAAACATTTGTGATGGAATATTTTAAAGCAAACCGAAGACATCTTGTCATCTCACTTATCTATACATCAATTTGTATCTCTCACTTATGTGAACATTAAAAAGATTACCACATGAGTTTCAAACTTCAGCAAAAGTAGAAAAAATAATATAACAATTCCCTCTCATACCTCTCATCAGCTTCAACAGTTATTGGCTCATAGGTTGTCTTATTGCATTAAACCCTCATCTGTATTCTCCTTCTTCTCCCCTGCCAATCATTGTGAAGCAAATCTCAGGCATTTTGTCATTTTATCTGTAAATATTTCAGCATGTATCAGTAAAAGTTAAGGAGTCTTGTAAAACAACATAGCCATAACACCATTATTACACTTAAACATTTTATAGTCATTTCCTTTTCTATCATTAAATATTCAGTTGACATTCACATTTCCCCAATTGTCTCCTATTGTTTTATAGTTTCTACTTCTCTCTCCCTCTCATTCTTTCTCCCTCTCTCTCTGGCTCTCTCTCCCTCTGTCTGTCTGCCTTCCTCCCTCTCCCTCCCTCCTCCACCTCTTTCTCTCTCTATCTCTCTCCTCCTCTTTCCCTTTTTTGTTTTACAGTCTGTTTGAATCAGCACACAAATGACAACCATATGCTGCAATTGGTTGAGACATCTATAATGTGTTTTAATCCACAGATTCTCTGTCTGTCTCTCTCTTCTTTTCTCTTGCAATTTATCTGTTAGAGAAACCAAGCCATCAAGGCCGTATTTTACATAATTTCCACGCCATTATCACTCTTACAAAATTAACAGTAATCTTTAGCATCATCTAACACCCGCCTGTATTCACATGTCCTTGGTTGTCTTGAGCATGTCTTTGGATTTTTTTTTCAAATCAAGATCCACGTGAGTCCCCCATTGTGTTTAGTGGCTGTGTGATGGTTCTGAGGTCTCTTCTGCCCCACGTCAGGTCCTCGTCTCCATTTGTCAGGTCATTGCTGTGTCCTGCAGAATGCTCCACAGCCTAGGTCCTAAAGCCCATATGGTAAATCGCTGGGCTCTGCTTTGTTTCCTGGCTAGTAATCTATAAATAATTGTTGCAGGAATGAATGAATACATAGAAAGAAGCAGTTGAGAGGGTAAGGGGTCCTAATGCTCTTGGAACATTGCCTGAAGTCATTTCTTTGCTCTAGACTAGATGAATGATTTGTGTGTGTGTGTGTGCGTGCGTGCACACACAGCAAAATGGATTCTTACACAGAAACCTGCACAAATAAAGACAATGAAAAACAAATGTTTAAGGCTGGGTACAGTGGCTCATGCCTATAATCCCAGCACTTTGGGAAGCTGACGTGGGAAGACCACTTGAGACCAGGAGTTGGAGACCAGCCTGGCAGCATAGTGAAACCTTGTCTCTACCAAAAAAAAATTGCTGGTCATGGTGGCATGTGCTCGTAGTCCCAGTTACTTGGGAGGCTGAAGCAAGAGGATTGCTTGAACTCAGGTGTTCGAGGCTGCAGTGAACCATGATCACACCAAAACACCCGAGTGGTTACGACCCCGAGTTCTGACTCCACGCTGCCTGGGTTAGAATCCTGGCTTTGCTGCTGACAAGCTGGGTGGCTTTGGACATGTTACCTAACTTCTCTGTGCCTTGGTTCCCTTTTCTGTAAAGGGGTATTTACAATAGTACCTACCTCTTGGGAGTGTCGTAAGGATGTAATGTGTTGATTCATGCAAAGTGCTTAGAACTGTGCCTGGCATGATGTAAGTCCTCAACAAACGTTGGCTCCCATAACAATAATTAATGTTATTAAGAGGGAGCATGAGGGACACCTGATAGGGCCTGTGGATCTTCTTCTAGAGTTCTACAGAGCACAGTTTGATAACCTGTGGCCTAGATGATACCTGAAGACTTGTCCCTTTGCTTTCACTTTATTTTGGGCTCATTCCAGCTACTAGATCCATCCATTCCCCCATCCTATAGTTATCTGTGTTTAGGAGGTCACTAGGTGGGCAGGAAACCGAGAAGTCCCATTCCTTGGCCTGGCCTGATTAAGTCAGAAAATACCTGCAACCGGCCGGGCGCGGTGGCTCACGCCTGTAATCCCAGCACTTTGGGAGGCCGAGGCGGGCGGATCACGAGGTCAGGAGATCGAGACCATCCTGGCTAACACGGTGAAACCCCGTCTCTACTAAAAATACAAAAAATTAGCCGGGCGAGGTGGCGGGCGCCTGTAGTCCCAGCTACTCGGGAGGCTGAGGCAGGAGAATGGCGTGAACCCCAGGGGGCGGAGCCTGCAGTGAGCCGAGATTGCGCCACTGCACTCCAGCCTGGGCGACAGCGAGACTCCGTCTCAAAAAAAAAAAAAAAAAAAAGAAGAAAATACCTGCAACCTCCTTTCGTGTTGTTCTCTACACCCTAGTCCCACCCCAGCCTTGCTCATGTTACTCCAGGGACCGTCTCACCAACATGAAATAACCTAGTGCCAATATCGTGTTTTGAAACCCAAACCCTGAAACCGATCGCCTGCAACTTGGCTGGCAAAACTAAGTACATCTGCTTTAGAGCAATTAAGAAATTGCAGCCCGGCAAAGGAAAACATGCTGTTGAAACAGGCTTCTGTGTGCCATTAAATATTCCCAGCCCACTAATGAAGTGTCACAACAGATCGGGAGGGAATCTTGGTTCATGAATCTGGAGGCTCAAAGCAAAACCAGCCGTTGGATACCCTGAGGCTTTTTTATTGATAGTGTAGTGGCAATGGTCAATGGCTTTTGAAGTCCTACTCTGTGCCAGGTACTGTGCTGCACTCAAATTCATATTTTCTGTTATTTGATCTTCACAGCTCCTCTGGGAGACAGGTTGAATCGTTCCCATTTTGCACATGAGGAAAATGAGGCTTAGAGAGGCTAAATCATTTGTGCAAGATTTCTACAGGCGCAGAGCTGGGATTGAAACCCATTTCTGTTCAGAGCTCTTAACCCTGCCACTAAGCATCCTCTTGGTCAGGAAACATGTCATTTTATAGGATGCCTTAGACATCAAGCTCAGAGCTCTTGGTCAGCTGTGATTAGAAAGTGTTAGTTCTCTCCCTGTGATAGGACATGCCTGTGTCTTACAAACTGCTTTAGTTCCAAAGATAAAGTCAATACACTGCAAAACAGCATTGCAGATTTATAGAGGGAAAAATTTATGCCAATTTGATGGTTAATGTCTCAAGATGTTTCTATAGAGACAAGTTTTATATATATATGTATATATACATATATATATATACACACACATACACATACATCCACATTAGCAGCCTTGAAATATATGCTTTTGTTTTAAATTCCTTTTTCAGTACCCAGGTTCTTGTTGGTTTGCTATCCTAAATGTATAGGTCTGACCTCTTTCACCCCAGCCATGATTTCTTCTCTGACATCCAATTTTTTCTCATACCAGAGTTTTCTCCTGATTTCAGCACGTTCTGGAAAGTAGTGTATATTCAACACACTCTTTGTCTCTCTCTCTCTGTCTCTCGCTTTCTGTCTGTCTGTCTCTCTCTCTCTCTCTCTCTCTCACACACACACACACACACATACACATACTTGACCACTCCCAGCCTGTAGTACCAGGGTGAGCTTACACATCTTTGACTAATTAGTTGGCAGAATTTAAGCAGTGTATTGGAATTTTGCCTGGGCTAGTAAGCCAGAATAATACATTTTTGCTTGAACTTGGCTCTTAGGAAAATAATTTCTCTGTGTGCCTGGGACAGGGGCTGGGCAGGCAATGAGAGATCTGAAAGTGCAGTGGGCATCTGTTAGATAGGAGGTGCAATCTTTTTACCTGCAGAGATCCTTTGGGGTTTTAAAGTTATAAACAAATTGGTTCCAGGCTGGCCTCGTTAAAAAAAAATCTATAACGAGAAAAAAAGAAACACCTTGGCCGAGCGTGGTGGCTCACGCCTGTAATCCCAGCACTCTGAGAGGCAGAGGCGGGTGGATCACCCGAGGTTGGGAGTTCGAGACCACCCTGACCAACATGGGGGAAACCCCGACTCTATTAAAAATACAAAAAAATTAGCCAGGTGTGGTGGCGCATTTCTGTAATCCCAGCTACTCGGGAGCCTGAGGAAGGAGAATTGCTTGAACCCAGGAGGTAGAAGTTGTGGTGAGCCGAGATTGTGCCATTGCACTCCAGCCTGGGCAACAAGAGTGAAACTTCGTCTCAAAAAAAAAAAAAAAAAAAAAAAAGAAAAGAAAAACAAACAACAACAACAAAAACCCACCTTTAGGTTGCTGCAAATTGGAGGAAACTGGAGTGACATTCCGACTTGCCTGGAAGGTTTAAAGGTTGGACGACTTGCTCAGCCCAAACTTTGAAGTCCCCTGGATTCCTTTATTTCTCCCACACCCCGCATCCATCTTGTCATCTCTACTTGTATAAGGAAGGTAGATAAATATACACACCTTCACAGCCACCGCCCAGGTTCAAATCACATCAGCTCTTACTTGGATTATTGCAAGAGCCCCCTAACTGGTTTTCTAGCTTCCTCACTGGGAGTTTATTTGCTGCTGATGCTGTGATGGGCGATATGATGCTGTGAAGGCACCAGTCAGAGCTCATAGTTCCTGTTCTGGCTCCCAGCTCACCCAGAGAAAAAGCCAAAGTCCTCACTGCGACCCTCAAGGCCCCCATAGGACCTGCCTCCATGTTCCTTAAAACTCATAGGTGAGGCCAGGTGCAGCGGCTCACACCTGTAATCCCAGCAGTTTGGGAGTCCGAGATGGGTAGATCATTTGAGGTTAGGAGTTTGAGACCAGCCTGGCCAACATGGTGAAACCCCATCTCTACTAAAAATATAAAAATTAGCCGGGTGTGATGGCACACACCTATAATCCCAGTTACTTGAGAGGCTGAGGCAGGAGGAGAATTGCTTGAACCCGGGAAGTGGAGGCTGCAGTGAACTGAGATTGTGCTACTGCACTCCAGCCTGGGCAACAGAGCAACACTTCGTCTTGAAAAAGAAAAACCTCATAGGTGAGTTTTAAGGCTCACAGGTGAGCTCTGTGCTCACCTCTGCCACCCTGCCGCATCTTCTCTTTCCTCCCACCACATTGGCCTTCTCTGCTCCTGGGACACAGCTGTAGTCGGGCTCCTACCTCGGGGCCTTTGCACGTGCTGTTCCTGCTCCTGGCAATGCAGTTTCCTCAGACAGCTACACACTCTTTCGCTTCTTTTTGCACTTTATTCAATTGGCCCTTCCATGAACCTCCTCCTCCTCACAATCTAAAATTTTAATCGTTCTCTGCCTTCAACACTTCATGATTACCTTCTGACCTTTATTATTTTCTCCTTAGCACTTACCACTAATCTCACATACCATGTACTTTACTTACTTTTCTCACTTATTGCTTGTCTTCCTGCCCTCCCCCAACTCAGCATTAAAAGGTAAGCTTCGTGAAAGCAGGCACGTTTATCTGTTCTGTTAGCTGCTCTATCCCTGTACCTAAAACAGTGCTTAACAAATATTTCTGCAGGATCAAATGAGTTTGTATTTTCTGGATAGTCCATACAAACCCACATTCTCTACACTAATGGGTGCAAGTTTTACAACGAAGCTTTCTTTTTTTGGTTATGATAATTAGGCTCCCTTTCATGGGGACAACAACAGACAGTGTGGCTTCAGAATTCTATTTTGTGTCTGGTGCATGGGTACCAACTTTAAAAGCAGGTGGCTCCCTGGGAAATAACTGCAGAAGGAAGACACTTAGATGAAATTAGAAAAATTGGGCGTTACCTTCATGAGACACCATGGTGATAGGGCAGGGCAAGACTTGAGTGCTCCCAAATGCTGGTGACTCAAAAAGATGGTGTCAAGTTGAAGAACAGAGGCTCTTGATTCAGACTGCCTTGCTTCAAATCCTGGTTCTATCTCTTACCAAGTAGGATGATGAAATCTGGGCATATTAATGTCTCCAAGTCTTAGTTTCTCCACCAAAAAAAATGAGGATGCTGACAATAGTGCCTACCACAAGGAGGCTTCAAAGATTCAGAGAAACGAGGCATGTGATCTAATGGATAACAGAGTGACTGGCACACATGAGGGCTCTGGAAAATGTGAGCCATGGTTGTTAGCTGAAGAAAGAGGGGTCAGTCACTGATGTCACTGAGACAAGAGGCCAGGTATGATTGTAGAGGGCTTAGGGTGGGATGCTGGGAGTTTCATACATTGGGAACTGTAGAAAGGAGCCTATTAATTTCCTAGTGTGTGAAGCCTTCAAGGTTTGAATCATCCAGTCCTCAACTCTAGCTGTGGGCAGAGGATGTCTTTTGGGGTGTGAGTTCAGGCAGGTCTCCCTTTCTTTGAGACCTGTTATTTTCTATTTTTGATGGGGAGCCCCTGTGGCAGGTTTGTGTGATCCTGCCCTTAGGGTAAAGCTGATTACACTTGATCCAGATTGGAACAACTAGACCATATCTCCTGGGGATTTATAACTGGGACTTGGCTTCCATTGGCACTGGAGCTGCGAGGATGTGTAAATTCAGGAGCTGTGGGACAGCCACGTTTGGCCATGTGCACTGAGAAAGTCTGTTTTAGAAAGAGAGAGATACAGAAAACATCAGTCATTTGGTGGTGGTGGTGGTGTGGTGGGTCATCCATTGTCCCACCCTCCTCTTCCTGTTTGGGGAATTTCCCTTTCTGTCATCTTGGTGGAAGCAAAGCTACTTCAGATCACAGAAACCCAAAAGGCCACATTCTTGTTTTTTAGCTCTTGGGATGCTAACGCAGGGGCAAGTGGTGCAGGCTTGGTCAGAGTTGCAAAGTAGCTGGACCACACTAGAAGGAACTGGGGATCTTTAGAGAAAAGTCTGGTACCTGGTCTTGTTATAGGTCCACCAGGTTTGTGGGCCTGCTGTGCAACAACCAATACACTGAGACAGCAGGGTTTGCAGAAGAGAAAAAAATTAACAATTGCAGGGCAGTTGAGAGAGGAGACAGGAGGGACACTCAAATCTGCCTCCTTGGGCAGATCTGGGCTGGGATTTTTTAGGAGATCATGGAAGGTAAATAGCTGGAAAATTGGGGTTATTTGTCAGGGTATAGGGGATGAAATTGTTGGGATGTAAGAACTGCATTCTTTTGTGAGTCAGCTTCTCATGGAGTCCTTCAGACCAGCTGGTGTCAGCAGTTTCACTGGTGTGCAGAACCTGAAAGAATATCTCAAATAGAAAACTTAATATTTCACAATGATTAAGTTGTTATCTACAGAGAAGTTAAGGGGAGCTATACTCTTGTGACAGAGTCTATGTGATTCTGAAGGAATAGGCACCAAAAAACTACGAGGAAGCAGGTCACAGAGCAAGGTGGCTTCATGATTAATGCTGAATGTGCTGCAGACCTGGTTTATTTTTATTTCTCCCCCTCCTTCTTCCCTGATTAATTGTATAAAGTTTATAGATACAGTTCCAGTCCAGGATAGGAAATATATACCTGGAAATGAGCCTGGCAGATGTTTGTTATGTCAGAAAGCCAAGAAGTTACCCAAGACCAATGGGGTTCATCAGAAGAACACATGAACCATCTTAAAAGGGATTCCACCAGTCAACAATGGAACAAGTTGAGTATCAGTAGGGACATAACTGCAGGAGACTGAAAACACTTCTAATGTGTTGAAATGCAGGAGTTCATGAGGATACCACCACCACCATCAACAACAACAAAACTCACAGGTCCCTCTTGGAAGATGCTAGCATACCATTGCATTATTTTGAAAACTGATAAGGAAAGGGAGAGAATCAAGCATGCATTCTACTTTTCCCTATACAGTTTGTCAGGGAGGCCAAACAATTGAAGGGCATGTTTATCTTTGTAAGTATTCTAGCTAATAAATGAGGAAGGATTGAAAGAATTTCATCATTTTTAATACCTAATGAAATAAAGGATTTAGAAAGTGATTGCCAACTGATATCCAAACAAAAGAGGCAAACAGACATCGTGGCTTCTTGATGGAAGTGTGCTCCCTAATCATGAAGCAGTTAACAAAGAACCAGAATGAAATCAAACCTCTAGATCTAACTACTTACTTCTAGGAAACACGGGAGAAACAGGAGTATGTTCAATTCAATCATGGAGATAGAATCAGTAATTCAGACTGTGGGTGAACTCTACAGGAACTGATTTCTTTTTTCCACTTTATTTTTTTAAATTGTTTTGTATGTATTTAAGGTGTATAACATGTTGTTTTCATATACATATAGGTAGTGAAAATGTTACTATAGTCAAACAAATGAACACATCCATCATCTCACATAGTATCTACTCTTTGAGCAAAAAATCACAAGTACAACCCGATGTTATTAAGGACGGCTCTCGTGCTATACATTACATCTCCAGACTTGTTCATTCTACATACCTCTTACTTTGTATCCTTTGATCTACATCTCTCCATTTCCTTCCCCTCTCTCTGGCCCCTGGTAACACACACACACACACACACACGCACACACACACAGAATATTCTCCTTCCTTCCTTCCTTCCTATTAAAAGAGACATGAGACATACCAACCAATGGCAAGGTATGGTTCTTATTTTCATCTAGAATCTAACAATAAATATGAGAGAAATACCTCAAGATAATCAGGTAAATTTCAACACCAACTCAGCATTTCATAGTTTTGAGGAATTATTTTTAATTTTTAAAGTGTGATGATAGTTTTGTGATTATCTATCATCTAGCTGTCTATATGTTTTTATGATAATACACGTATCTTTTTTGTTTGTTGAGGCAGGGTCTCACTCTGTCCCCCAGGCTGGAGTGCAGTGGTGCGATCATGGCCATGGCTCACTGAAGCCTCAACCTCCTGGGCTCAGGGGATCCTCCCATCTCAGCCTTCCTGGTAGCTGGGACTGCTGGCATGCCACCACACCCAGCTAATTTTTTGTAGAGAAAGGGTTTCACCATGTTGCCCAGGCTGCTCTCAAACTCCTGGACTCAAGCAATCGTCCCACCTCGGCCTCCCAAAGTTCTTAATCAGGGACAATATTTCTCCCTAGGAGATATTTGTCAACGTCTAGATGTAGTTTTGGTTGTCACAACTGAGAGTGAAGAGGGTGATACTGGCATCTGGTGGGTAGAGACCAGGAATGCTGCTTAACATCCTACAATGCACAAGACAGCCCCCGACAGCAAAGAATTATCTGGTCCAAGATGTCAGCAGTGCCAAGATTGAGAAACGCCATTCTAGACATACATGTTGAAATTGTTTTGGATAAAATTATAGGATAAGTGGTATTTGCTTCGAAATATTATGAGGGTGGGGACAAGTGGGTAGGGAGACAAATGAAACAAGATTGACTGTGAGCTGAGAATTATTTAAGTTGGCATTATACTGTGCTATTGTGTGTGTGTATATATGAAAATATCAATAACAAAAGCTTATAAACACGATGCAGGCATAGTGGAGATTGTATTCCAGCAGCAGTGCCTCAGCAGGACTCTGTGCCTGGTGCCAGCAGTGGAGCGGGTGCAAGCTGGGATGTTTGGTTCTTAGAGGCAGCAGCAGTGGTATCCTCACTAGGCTTGGTCTGTAGTGGGATTTTGGCTGCAGTTCTGGCTGTCTAGCTTTTCCTTGTTGCTGCTTGTTTTTATCTTGTTCCCTGAGCTTCCTAGAGATTCCGAGGCTTCTGATATCCTTTCAAAAATTCATTTTCTGTTAAAATCAGTCATAGTTAGTTTCTGTGCAGCTAAGGATTCCGATTGATTGAAGAAAAGAATGAAGCAGATGTATAGGGTGAAGCTGATGTGACAGACAATGGAAAAGAGAGAGAGAGAGTATTCTACTCCATGGTTTCTTCCTTTGTCTCCTTCCTTCCTTCCTTTTCTCCTTCTCCTTCCTTCCTTCCTTCTTTCCTTCCCTCCTTCCTTCTTTCCTTCCTCTCTTCCTCCCTTCTTCCCTCCCCATCCCCCCTTCCCTTCTCTTCCATTTCCTTCCCCCTTCCTTTCCCTTTCCTTTCCTTCCTCCTTCCCTTCCCTTTCCTTCTTCCTTCCCTTCCCTTCCTTTCCCTTCCCTTTCCTTCCCTTCCTTTCTTTTTCTTCTCTCACTATGTTGCACAGGCTGTTCTTAAACTCCTTACCAAACCACCATCCTGCTATGTCTGCTTTTGTTCACTCCAGTGCAAATGTTCCATCAATATTTGTTTAATGAATAAATGATTGCAATTTGGCTTCAGACAAAGAATAAGCGTGGTGTTCATGCCATCAGAGGCATTCTGGTCCTCTTGGCATAATCCTTGTAGATGAACATTATGTATTTATTGTGGTATATACATTTGTCTCTTGTGAGTTTTGCTGGCATTTGTCATACTCTCTAAATGCCACTGACACTAGGATCCTGAGTCCTTGTGTTTGTGAGACTGGATAGGGAAGCACCCACCAAGGTCAGGCCCCTTGAGAGGCAGAGCTTGCCTTCTTGTCCTGGGAGATAGCCCTGTATTGATGGACGCAGCCCATCAAATTTCATTAACCAGTGTGGCAAATAGAAAAAAAAGTTATAAGCAGGTAGCCTAGGGTTTAAGAGAACAAACTTTGAGCCAAACAGCCTTGGGTTATGACCCTAACTCTGCCATTTGTTAATGTGTTATCTCAGGCAAGTATTAATAATTTAACCTCTCTACACCTCAGTTTTCTCATCTGTAAAATGAACTATTTTAAGGATTAAGTAAATAAAAATATACATGCAAGAGCTGACACATAGTGAGCATTGTATAAGTGATATCATGATTACTAAACATTTGGTTTATTACTATCGTTGGGAGGTTCTTCTAGTATAATGACCACCAGCCAGGAGATGCCCAAAGTAGAAGATGGTCAACCTTAGGCCCACTTAAAGCTCCATGGCTCACATTCTGCCATTTACTCATCACTACAGTGATATCAGACATGGTTGATTCCTTTCGAGCCACAACATTAATTATGCAGCATCAGTAACTCCCAAGGGCCTCGTCTGGTGGAGGGAATTTGTGTGTGTTGGGCGTGGGGGTTCCAGGGTCCTGCTGACCTGGGATCTACTACGTATTAGTCTGTTTTCATGCTGCTGATAAAGACATACCCGAGACTGGGTAATTTATAAAGAAAAAAGGTTTAATGGACTCACAGTTCCACCTGGCTGGGGAGGCCTCAAAATCATGATGGAAGGTGAAAGGCATGTCTTACATGGCAGCAGACAAGAGAATGAGAGCCAAGTGAAAGGGGAAACCCCTTATAAAACCAACAGATCTTGTGAGACTTATTCACTACCACAAGAACAGTATGGGGGGAAACCCCTCCATGATTTAATTAGGTCCTACCAGGTCCCTCCCACAACATGTGGGGATTATGGGAGCCACAATTCAAGATGAAATTTGGGTGGGGACACAGCCAAACCATATTATACTACCTTCTACCTGTATGATCCAGCAGGGGACCTAATGTAGTTTACTCACCTGTGATAGGAAGGTAATTATCCTATCCCAGGTAGTTGTCAGTGAGAATTGGTGCAATAATACATAAAAAATTCATGGCACATGATGTGGAGGTTAACAAATGTTTCACGTCATTCCATTTACTTTTCCTTCTAGCTCTCAAGATTGGTAGCCACTCATTTCTGCCAAAGAGATCTTTTGGCTGGTTTGCTTTATTTCCTGTTTTGGGGAAAGGTGCTTAAGTACCTACTTGAAAGTGCCTTCAAGTTCACATGGTCTTGTACTCCTGGGTTCAAGCTATTCTCCCACCTCGGCCATCCAAAGTGCTGGGACTACAGGCATGAACCGCTGTGTCTGTCGTCATGCAGCCTGAAGAAACATGTGGCAGGCCTCTCACTCTGTTACCACAAAGCACTATTACTTCAGATCATTTATCTTAGATGCCAACAATTGGAAACCTGTGGATCTTCAAACCTGTTCTCTTCAGCTCACATGGAGTCTTTTAAATTGGGAAATTCCACTGACATTTTCACAGCTTCACTTGAAAAATCAAAGGACTTGGCAACCCTGGGCCCACATTTCCACAGGAAAAAAAAACTGGTGGTTGCTGAGCTATGGATGATGCCTCCAGCCAGGGAAAAATGGCTCAATTTCTCCATATTCCCCACCACTCTGTTCTCTCACTCATCCACACGTATTTCACTTACTTCTTATATCTGGCTAGTCCCCAGAGGCATGTGAGATCATGTCTGTGGAGGTTTTAAATCATGACCCCAATTCTTTAACACTCCTCTCATCAAGAGGTGGGGTCTATGTCCCCTTCCATTGCACCTGACTGGGCTTGTGACAGCTTTGACAAATAGAGTAAGGCAGAAGTGACACTATGTGACTTCTGAGGCTAGATCAATAAAAGGCCAAAACATCTGCCTTATTATTTTGGGGCACTTGCTCTGGGGGAGGTCAGGTGTCATGTAAGAAATACAACTACTCTGAGACTGCTGTGCTGAAGAGACTACGTGTAGGTGCTCCTGGTGACAGCCCCGACTAAGCTCCCAGGTAACAACCAGCATCAACTGCCATCCATGTGGGTGACCCAACTTGAAGCTGGATCCTCCAGCCACAGTTGAGTCTTCAGATGATTGCAGCCCAGCCAACATCTAACTGCAACTGAATGTGAAACCTGGATTTGTAGCCTGAGTGTCATGCACAAAATCATGAGCAAAGTAGAGTGCTTACTGTTTTACGGCATTAAGCTTGGCATGTTTGTTACACAGTAGAAATATCTGGAACAAGGATGTTTATTTGGTCTATTTAGTAGGCATCAAACTTCCATAGGGTGCACTGGAAGATGATGTGAGTTCTTCCTTTTTCCAGTGGTTATCATGAGAAGTGGGGATCAGAGTATAGTAGTGGGTTCATTCGTTCATTCATCCAACAGATATTTATTGGACATATACTATGTGCCAGACATTTAATAAACGCTGGAATTTTGGCAGTGGAACAAAGCGGACTAAGATCTCTGCCCTCAAGGAGTTAACATTCACTAACAGGAAAACAACTAATTACAAATAAGAAAATATATATTGTATATGAGGAGTTGATAAGGGCTATGGAGAAAAATGATGCAAGGGAGGACAATTAGGAGTCTGGAAGCAGGGAAGGGTGTGCTAGGACTCCTATTGGTGACCACTGAAGTATCTTAAATATCCTATTCAAGTATAATAATAACAACGATAATAATAACAACAGCCATTTATTGAGTCCCTACTACTTATTGCCTTTTATATGTGTAATTCCACGTAAATTTCACGGTGACCCTTAGGGTTAGGAATGACTATCTCCATTTTATAGACGAGGAAAAAGTGACTTGGAGAGGTTAAGCACATCACGGGAAGACTTAACACTGGCAAGTGACAGAGCAAGAATGAACACCCAAGACCGTCTGATTGTAACACTTTTTCCTTTTCCCCTAAGCTAGCCCTTCTTTCCCAGAGCTCCATTGTGTGGTGAATCAGAAACCCAACTGATGATTTCTGACTCCTCTCTGCAACGTCAAAGGAAAAGGAAAAAGAGAAAGAGAAGAGAAAACAATTCCCTTTGGAGAAGAAACAGTCAGGAAATGAAGGCACACACTTGAAAGATTATGTATTTAATGTTTATGACTCTTCCTCTTATCCCTCAAGTTTGGTTTAACATCTGACTGGCAAAGCTGACAATTTATGAGGATCTTGGGCAAGTAATCGTGTGAAACTTCCCTGTGGCTGTAGCCATGGCAGGCAATTTATCCTACAGACTGTGGGGCTTTTCGGGTAAAATACTTTTCTAATATTTGTTTCCCTTCTGCTCATGCTTTTCCCGAAGGGCGACAAATGGCAGTAGTTTGCCAAGAAAACACTGTATATGATCTTGAGTGAGACTGTCCTTCTGCCTCAAGTCACTCTTTAAAAGAAAAGGAAGTGATTAATCCCTCACCTCATCCATAAGCCTGCATCTAAGTCTTTAAAACTCCAGTGGCCATTCCAAAGCTGTCTCTTTCTTCAGCAATCCAACTCCCTTCCTTTTCTCCCTTGGCCACTGGAGAGGAAAAAAAAGTACCACTTTTCTTTATTTTCTGTTAATCATCCAGATTTAGGTCTTCTGGGGAAAATAAAACCTTAGATAGGGGTCAAGATAGTGTGGGAAGCTTCCTTGGAAAAGTGTAAAATTGACTAAGATGATACTGGCAAGGAAGATTCTGGGCCAAGGAATAGACTCCCTCCCCACCATAGCCAGGCGGGACACTAATAGTGGCCAGGTCCTGTCTCAGGCATTTTGTGCTTCTTGTCTTCCTTAATCCTCCAGTCACCTGTGAGGGAGGCCTAATCATTAGCCTCATTGTAACGATGAGCCAGTTGAATCTCAGAGGGGTGAGGTGACTTGCTGGAGGCCATATTACTAGGGTAGTGAGTTGGGGAAAGGACATTCCAGGCATAGAAAACAGCAGGAGAAAAGTGGGGAAGTGAGAACCAGCTCGTGATGCTAGCTAGAGGTGGCGGGGCATGGCTGGAGGGCTTGGTGTGGGCAAGGAAGTGTCAGGAGATGAGCTTGGGAAAGACTTTGGATACTCTGACTCTAAAGACAGGGAGAATTCCTGAGGGATTTTTAAGCTGGGGAGTGACATCATTTAACTTGCATTTTCAAAAATCATTTCAGAGAATGAGCTGGATGAGGACCCAAGTAGAGAGAGGGTGGCTGCAGAGGAGGATCTTATCTCAGTGACCATGGTGGGAAGTGCAGGGGGTTTGAAGCAGAAGGCAATATCTGTATCTTTAAGGAAGACACAGTCCAGTGAGGAAGAGAAGGCCTTACGTATGAAGCCAGATGATGTGGTCACCAGGTGGTACAGCACCAAGCCTGGTATTTGTGGAGCAGCAGATCCAGATTGGATCAACAGACTCTTCCAGTTTTGCTTTGGTCAAGAGAACCAAATGAGTTGGTTCTTGAACTCCCACTTTACCCTTAGGGCTCTCCTCTTCCCAGGTGTGTGTGTGTGTGTGTGTGTGTGTGTGTGTTTGTGTGTGCATGTGTGTGTGTATGTGTGTACAGGGGAACAACACCATGGTCACTGAACTAGGATAGAAACATTTTTAATTGTGAGATGTTGTGAGATGCTACTCCCCTCCCACCCCAGCCAAATTTCATCAGCCCTCAAAATCATCTCAGCACAGTCTGATGTTAGCTAGAGCTGAATTCAAGTCTAAGCTTGCCACTTCACTGTGTGACTTCCAGTAGGTCATTTCATCTCTGTGTACCTCTGTTTCCTTACCTGAAAAATGGGGATTCTTAAGCTATCTTCTTTGTAGGGTTGTTGTGAGGATGAGACAATGTGTGTTGATACAGTTATCTCAGATCCTAGCATGGAGTAAGTGCAAAATGAACATGAACCATTGCCTCTTGCCTTGTTGTTTGTAGCCTCATTCCCAGGTATGACAGCTTGACACAATCTCAATGTTGGAGACCCTTTTTGGATTCTACACAGATCCCAGTGAATATAAGAAAGCCCAAATAAAAGACTAAACAAACCTGGACTGTCTCCAGTGGGTCCAGAACATCTGATTGCCACGGGTGGCCTAAGGATCCTGGCGGGGGCACAGCCCGTGTGGTACTAGATGGGAGTGTCCTGGGACTCAGGGCCTCATAGCTGCCCTCCATCATCAGAAGCTCACAGCTGCATTTCCCAGCAGGGATCATTAATCATACCGGCCACTGATACCACAAACAATAGGGCTGAGGCTATTTGCCAGAGATCTAGGACAAATATGGTTCTTGGTTATTATCCTTGGTTCCAACCCAGTAGGGGGAGAAGGAGAAGCCCATTCTCACTTTTCTGTGGTCACAGGATGTCATTGTTAGAGGCAAACCATAGGTGAGATTTGAATCTTACTTAACTCAGAAACTCAGTCCTTGTTTCCTTCTACCCTGTCCTTCTGCAAAACATCAGCAAATGCTGACCTGCTGGGAAATATTTGATGGTGCTGAAGGGGATGAAAAGGAAAGGAAAACCAGTGTGTATCCCATGTCCTGTCAATACCCTCTGCTAATTCTAGGTTTTACTGCATGCTCAACCACCCTGTGAGGTTGCTACTTTCATTCCCATTCTCACTTTAATTTTAAGTGGAGAGACTAAAGCTCAGAGAGAGGAAGTTAAATGCCCCAAGAAACACAGCTAGTTAGAGACTAAACTAATATTTCCTTGTACTTCTTCCTATGGGTTCTCACAGTTGTTCTATGGTTCCGTTTTAACAGATGAAGACACTGAGACTAGATAACTTACTCAAAGACTCACAGCAAAAAAAAAAAAAAGAAAAGAAAAGAAAAGAAATTTCGAAAAGTGATAGAGATAGGTGTTTTGGACTGAAGTCTTGTGATTCTAAACCCCAGGTGACTTCCATTATCTAATCTACCTCCCTGTTACTCAAAGCATGGTCTGTGCTTTCAAGCCACTGTTTCCTCATGTGTAAAATGGAGATAATCATTCCTAACCCTCAGGGTCATTGTGAAATTTACATGGAAGTACACATATAAAAGCATAGTGGACTTCCACTATCTAATCTACATCCTTGCTACTCAAACCAGTAGCACTGGCATCACCTGAAACTTGTTAAAAATGTGGTTTCTCACCTAGATATACTGAATCAGAGTCTGCATTTTAATGCATTTAATGTAATCCCCGGGGGACTGTGGGTACACAAGTTTGAGGAGCAGTAGTCTACATGGGTCTATTTTTGCACTGAAAACATACTCACTGAGGACAAGGCATTGCAGCAGCACATCTACAGAGGTAACACTAACAATCCATTCCTTCACTCTGTATACATGCCACTCCTCACACGAAGAGGTGGAAGTTGTTTCCACTCCCTTGAATCTGGGTTGTCATGTAGCTGGCTTTAACCACTAGAATGTACAAGAAGTGATGTTCTAAGATTTCCAAGAAGTTTTTACTTCTTGCCTTTGGGAACCAGCTGCTGTGCTGTGGGAAGCTTAAACTATGTAGAGCAGACACATGAGTAAGAATTGAGGCACTCTGGGTGGTAGCCCCATCTCAGCATCCAGCCAACCCTGACTGCCAGTCAGGTGAGTAATCCATCTTGAATGTTTCATCCCAGTTGAGCCCCCTGATCACTGTATCCCCAGGCAACATCACATAGAGCAGAAGAGTCACCAAGCTGAACCCAGTCAACCCAAAGACTCAGTGATAATAACATGGCTGTTGTTTCAAGGCATTAAGTCGTGGGTGGCTTGCTATGCAGCAATAAATAGTTAAAAGGGAAGTTGGTATCTAAAAGTAGAATGCTGCCATATCATGTGTCAGTCGCCTTGGAACTGGGCAGTGGATAAAGACCTGAAATGCCTCAAGAAGGCTGTTAATGGAGGCTGGAAGGTCAATGAGAAAATTGCTGTTGGAGACAGGAGAAAATGAAACTTGAATGATGAACTGCCAGAACAATTAACAAAACTGTCCCCTGCAGTAACATGAAGATAAAAATGGTGCCTAATGAACCTGTCAATGGTTAAGGAGATTTCCAGTTAGACTGTTGAAAGTGCCAACTGACCCTTAGTAGCTCAGAGCTAATTATTTTTGTTAATTAAAATTCAATATAATTAAAAACCCAGTACCTTAATTGCACTAGCCACGTTTCAAGTGCTCAGGAGACACCCGTGGCTCCTCTGTTGGAAAGTATAGAATTTTATAGAGCATTTTCACCACTGCAGAAACTGCCACTGGACTGCCTCATCGAGAATTAGTCATGGAACTTCCAGAAAGCAGATGACACACCCAAAGGGTTTCACTCAAGCATTGCTACTCAAAGTATAGTCTCTGGACTAACAACATAAGCATCATCTGAGCGCTCCTTAGAAATAAAACTTCTCAGGCCCTGCCCAGACTTACTGAAGCAGAATCTCCGGGAATGGGGCAGGAATCTGTGTTTTAATCAGCTCCACTTCCTGGTGATTCTTATGCACTTTAAGAAATACTAAAGAAAAAAAGAGTCGAATAAAGGGACTATTATATAGGTGAGGGCAGGGCTAAGGAAGACAGCAACGGACAGTGAAACAGGAATTAGCAGAGGGGAACAGTATTCATGGACCCCAAGGAGAACTGGAGCCCTGAAATAGAGGCTCGTGGGCAGCCAAGGGGCACAGCCATTCTAGAGCTGGGGCAGTGGAGGAAGGGTTGGGGGAAAGAGGTAACTAATATCCTCACACCTCCCTCCTCTGCCCTCTGATATATATATATTTTTTACTGGAATTCCTATTGGCCCAAACCAAGCCAGAGGGCAAAGAAGTCTCCTCTGTACAGAGCAGGGCAGAAAAGGATGAAGAATGGATCTGGAAGGGCAATGAAATCTAACCAGCACACGTGGATTTGATGTGTTAGCCATATTTTTTAAAATTCACGTTTAATATACAAATGCATAACTATTAATATTAAAAAAGATGTTAGAGTGCTGTTGAAAATAATTTTATTTACAATATTTTGGGGACCTATGCTGTGAGCAATGAGGTCTCACCATACAATTTTAACAAAGGAAATAACCACTATTGGTGTCTCCTCCCCTCCCCTCCCTTCCCTCTCCCCTTCTTTCCCTTCCCTTCCCATTCTCTCTTCCCCCTTCTCACTCTCCCTCTCTTCCCTCTCCTTATCCATCCTCATAATATGTAACAGTATTATAGTAAATAGAGTATTGTGTCCTGTCATTTTCATTAAAAGTTATGTTTTGTACATTTCCTTGTGCCATTAAGGATTCTCTGAAAACATGTTTTTTGGTGGCTGTGCAGATGGTTTAAAGACGATTGTTGTTGTAAGCTGTCTCAAATCCTTTTGGGAAGTAGGTGGTGTATAACGCATAAATTATAAATGAAAAGCAAGTTGTTCTTAATTATACCCTCAACCTCTAAAGTGCAGTAGCTCTTTGTGGATCTGTTTGTACAAAGCCACAGAGATGGAAGGGACAGTCACAATGACCAAAAAGAAGCCACCAGGTGGAAGGGCTTTGAACTGGGAAGGGGATTCAGGCCCAAGCTCTGTCCAGTCTCTGACCATGTGACCTTGGAGAAATCTCATTGGTCAGATGAGGGTCCTTGGACCAGCTGAGGGTCAAGGTCTCCTTTAGTTCTGATTTTGATTTCTTGTTTTTTTTTTTTTTTTTTTTTTTTTTGAGATGGAGTCTTGCTCTGTTGCCCAGGCTGGAGTAAAGTGGTGTAATTTCAGCTCACTGTAACCTCCACTTCCTGGGTTCAAGCAAATTCTTGTGCCTCAGCCTCCCAAGCAGCTGGGATTATAGGCGTGCTCCACCATGCCCAGCTAATTTTTGTATTTTTGTAGAGATGGGGTTCCAGGGTCTAGAACTCCTGACCTCAAGCGATCCTCCCACTTCAGCCTCCCAGAGTGCTGAGTTTACACTGCGCCCAGACTAGTTCTGATTATGATTTCTAATGCAAATCCAATTCCCCTATAGACAGAGAAAAGCCTCATTGCAGAGACTACCCATCTCCTCCATTGCTTCCTGGTCCCAGCCACCATCATTGCCCACCTGGACAGCAGCAACCTCCTCCCCGCAGTGGTCTCCCTCTTCCACCCTTGCCCTCTACACTCTGTTTTTTCACAGGCAGCTAGTGATCTATTAAAGACTAAGACATGTAATGGTATTCTTTTCATTAGCCCTCATCTTGGCCAATAAAGGCCACCTGATCAGGAGCCTGGCTGCTTTCTGATCTCATCTCTTTTTACTTCCCCCTTGCTCACTGCACTCCAGCCAAAACCACCATGGTGCTGTTCCTTGAATCCACCAAGCACACTCTTGTAATAGCAATAGGTCCATGGCCCAGTGGTTGCAGCAGAGAAAGAGGCTTAATCATAGGGCTGCTGAAATAGGAGACAGAGGAAACCTCAAATCCATCTCCCAAGGAACTTGGGGTTAGGGTTTTAAGGGTTTTGGAGTGGGCCAAAGCATGGAGATTGTTGCTCCGTCAAAGAGTGTTAGGATGAAGCCAGGGCACAGGGAGATGAAGAAACTTCATCCTCATGCTGGCTCAGTTCCTCTGTGGGGGTCTTTAAACTGGTCAGCATCAGGTGTTCCACTGGAATCCAGGATCTGCTTAAGCAATTTGTAAATGAAAACTTTATCATTCTAACATCAGAGATTCTATCTATAGGAACAAAGAGGATGTAAGTGGTCAGCATCGAGTGTTATGGATTACTTTCCATTACAAGGAAGTGAGCCAAAGTGCAGCCTGATTAATGCTTAATTACAGCTATATTTCTGTCCGGAATTCTCATTAACTCTGTAAGGATGGCTTCACTTCCAGCTGAGGGCCTTTATACCTGCGGTTCCCTCTGCTTAGAATGCTGTTCCCTCAGATTTCCTTATGGCTCCTACATCTGCTCCCTTCAGGTTGCTGCTGAAATGGATCTTATCAGAGAAGCCTTCTTGAGTCTCTTCTGTAAGATAGTCCTGACCTGCACCATTCCCATCCCCTCTGTAACTTTATTTTCCTTCATGACACTTATACCTGTAGTGGCTAATTTACTTATTTCCTTATCTCCACTAGGATATAAGTTTCATAAGAGCAGGAACTTGGTCTGGTTTATTCATTGCTATATCCCCTGCACCTCAAAGTGAACTTAGTAAGTGCTCAGTAAAGTGCGTTTAGTAGGAAATCAATAAATATCGCATGAATGAATGCATAAATAAAAGCCTTCTGGGGAAAGTCAGTCCTCAGGAGGAAAACGAGCATAAACGTCTCAATCTTAGGGTTGGCACAGGTGGACTGACCCTTAGCCCATGCTCAGGGCCTGGATATTTTATGTAAAAGCAGTGGTGTCATTCTCTTCAGCACTATCTTTCATTCCCTCAGGCCACCCTCTAACTGTTCCTCCCCACAACTTCTCCAGCCCTTCCCATAATCGAATTCTCTTTCTCTTCCCTGCCATGAATGCCCTTCCTTCTGCCCCACCCACTGGCCTGTCAGGCCTTCTGCACCTCACAAACGATGCAATAACCATCTTTCCTGTTCTCGCGGCATTTAATGGCCTGTAATGCACTCAACTGCACACAATCTCCTTTACTTCCGCAGGAGATCCTGGAGACAGGTGCTAATGTCTTCATTTTAGTCATTCGCTGAAGCCACACAATTCATTGCGTATCTTGTCTGGTGGGGACTTGGAGACAGGGATGAAACATGCAGAGATGGTTCCTTCTCTCTTTGAGTCCAAAATCTGGCAGGGGAGATAGATGTGGAACATATAATAGGATGAATATTTTCTAACATATTAATGATTCCGAGGGTTGTAGAGGGGAAACAGGCATCTCTTATCCAGCGTCTGTGTATCTTCCATAGTTAATTTCATTTAATCCTCATGTCAGTCCTCTGATGTAAACCTAATATGAGTCCTGTTTTACAGACTAGGAGATAGGGTCTCAGACAAGACTTTTCCCAAGGTCACATGAGTCAGTGACTGTCAGGTTCAGATTTGAACCCAGGTGTGCCAACTGCAGTTCCAGTGTTCCAACCACCAGGCTCTGTGGCCTTCAGGTTGCTCAATTGAGGCCCTGTCAGGAGCAAGAGGCAGTCCAGATAGGTTCTTGGGAGAAGTGCTATTTAAGGTGAGACATGGAGTTGGTCAGAGAAAGAGGGTGGGAAAGTATTGCAGGCAGAAGGAAGAAAAGGTGTAAAGAGAGTGGAGGTGGGAGTGAGCTTGGTCCTTTGAGAGATGCAAGAGGATGCGAGGCTGGAGCCAACTGGACTTAGGGTGGAGGATGATGGGAACAGAGGGTGAAAGATGGGCAGGGACTGGAACATGCAGACCCTTGCCCAGGTTAGGAGTTTGTGCTTTTACATATGCGTACGTATATAGATAGTATATTTATATTATTGGTAGACTGACATAATTTATATGCAGGTCAGGATGGGAAATCTGTGCTCCGGGAAAATGAGGTGATTTGTCCCAGGTCCTGCAGCTCAAGGGATGGTGTGTTTCTCCCCATCTGTATATAAACAAAACTGGAATCAGAGTCCAGGTTTCCAAGTCCAAAGCTGGTGTTTTTTTTCCTCTACTGGAACTGCCTCTAGCTCTGGCTCCCACAAGCTCTTGCCACCATGACGAGAAGATTAGAAAATCCTTTCCAGGATTAATGGCAAAAGAGCGCTGCCCTGCTCTCTCATCAGGCACTGGGGCACATGTGCTGAACCTGTGTTACAAGCATTAAGTCATTAATTGAGAAGATTTCGACCCCAGAGCACCTGGTGGTCCAGGCGGCATCACTTCACTCATTCCTGAACACCCACTCAACACCCACCTCCTCCCAGACCCCTGCTTGAAAGCTAGGCAGGAGGAGCGAGCTCCAGCTGCCCGGTCTAGTGCAAACCACAGTTACCATCTGTGTCAGTCGGGTCTGCATCCAACTCTGTTGCCTTCTGTCCACACCCTGGGTGTTGCACGCGTCTTTTTGTCATGCCTACCTGATTGGAACTGCCGGCACAGTCTATTATCCTCAACTCCACAGAGCCTTCGTCCAGAGACTGTGCTGTGTGGAGGGGGAAATTCTGCTCTAATGAGAACATAGCTCAGAGCCTGACTGCCAGACTGAGGAAGGAGAGAGAATGCAGAGCTGGTGTTTTGAGAGTCTACTGTGAATTAGGAAGGAGGGAAGCGGCTCTGAGTCCAATAAGTCTAAGTGGTAGATAACATGATTTGATTTTCACATATTCCTCCAAGCAACTAGACATTGGATGGGGGAATTATATAATTTTATTTTATATTGTATGCATGTTGTATATTTTCTTTTGCATATTGCATATCTTATTTTACTATACACATATGCATATATGTATTTAATACATATTTATATATATATATACACACACACACAATTTTTTGTGGAGTGATTCAGGTATTAAAAGAGTGAGTAACGAATGTGGATAAGAAGCAGTGGGTGAACTGGGAAGATGATTTAGAACATGAAGGCCAGTCATAGAATCCGGGCTGTGCCACCTACTTTCTATAGTACTTTCTATAGCATAGCTCCTTTAATTCTCTCTGGGCCTCTGTTTTCTCATCTGCAAAATGGGAGTCATAGCCTGCTGTTGTTTGGGCAGGTGTATACAGTTAGATGCAAAGGAATCTGAGAGTCTGGATCCTGACCTCTGCTTTCGTATATGCACAAAGGATTTCATACATGCAATGGACAAGGACACAAGAACACCTGGGAGGGAGCGAGGGAGGTGGAGAGGAATAGGTCATGCCGTGCTCCTGGGTGGGAATTGTGGGGAGGTCTGGCACATGGGTTCAGGCAGAGCTAAGACAAGCTTGGAGGCTGGCTTTTACTTTTGCCTGCTGCCACTGGGACAAAGGGAAATGAAAAAAGGAATAAGAGATGTCCGTGCTTCTTTCCACCTTCCCTGAGAATTAAGACCCTTTATACCCATTCCAGAGGGAGTGGGGGAAAGTGGAAGGAAGGCACTGCGAGGGCCAGTCTTGTGGAGCCTATCACACATGGCAGAAGGAAGCAAGTTTGCCTTTCAATATAGTAACCTTCAGTAAAGCTGGGCCCAGTGAATGTTAGATGATCAATTTCTCCCCCTCTAGGATTGGGTGGCACAGTGATGATGAAGATACAGAAGGGCAGAAATTCTCTCTTCTCTTGAGGAAGAGGCCAGAAATGTGCACAGAGGGGGAAAAACACACCATCCCTTGAAACGTCATCTAGGTTTTCTCCTCTCCATCAACTGGGTTAAATGTCTAAGCCAAGGGTCAGGTGGATTGTGGCTCTTCTCCCTGGGGGAAGAGCAGAAGCATAACTAGGCATTTCTGCTTCTTCTTTTGGAAGAAGTCTCTCCTAGCACATCCTTGGGTGTTTTCCTGGAACCAGTAGGATGGATGGTTCAGATCTTCCCCACCAGAATTCTCTGAAATGGATCATGACAACTCATTCATTAAGTGAAGGCTCTCTGCACTCCAGCGGGTGAAAATTACTGTATTTCAATGCCCATCTTGCATTATATCCAAAGACGTCATCCAACATAGCTTTCTGGTGATCATACACCGTGTCCTAAATGGAAACCATATAACCCCTCTCTGGTTGACTTCTTATAAATTAGAGTTCAAAGAAGTTAAAGGCTGAAATTCTTCTCTTTCCAAGTTTTTACTATGTTTTGCCTTAGTCTAAGTATTTTCATTCAACTGAGTGAATAATAGTATTAGTAGGAGTAGCAGTAGCAGTACTAATAGTAACAATTGCTATGATGCATTGATCACTTACAATGAGCCAAGGACTATTCTAAGAACTTTACTGTATTAATTTATTTAACCCTTATAACTACCTTATAAAGCTGGTACTCTTATTACCTTCATTTCCATTTTGCAGATGAGGAAACTGAGGCACAGGTAAGTGGAAGTGATTTGCCCAAGGTCACGTGGTGGGTTGTTCCCCAAGTCCACATTGCTAACCATTAAGCTACGTGTCTCTGTGTGGGGTTGGGAGAATCAACAAACAGACTTAATATTATCTGGGGAAGGTGGAGACATAGAAAATAGGAGAGGAAAAAAAAGACAATCTCCCTACTTTATGCCTCACCAGGATGCTAATCACTTTGTGCAGGTTGTGTGGAATTTAAGAACTCTGAACTTTTTTTTTTTTATTATTATACTTTAAGTTCTAGGGTACATGTGCACAATGTGCAGTTTCGTTACATAGGTATACATGTGCCATGTTGGTTTGCTGCACCCATTAACTCGTCATTTACATTAGGTATTTCTCTTAATGCTATCCCTCCCCCATCCCCCCACCCCATGACAGGCCCCAGTGTGTGATGTTCCCCACCCTGTGTCCAAGTGTTCTCATTGTTCAATTCCCACCTATGAGTGAGAACATGTGGTGTTTGGTTTTCTGTCCTTGCGATAGTTTGCTCAGAATGATGGTTTCCAGCTTCATACATGTCCCTACAAAGGACAGGAACTCATCCTTTTTATGGCTGCATAGTATTCCACGGTGTATATGTGCCACATTTTCTTAATCCAGTCTATCACTGATGGACATTTGGGTTGGTTCCAAGTCTTTGCTATTGTGAATAGTGCTGCAATAAACATACATGTGCATGTGTCTTTATAGTAGCATGATTTATAATCCTTTGGGTATATACCCAGTAATGGGATCGCTGGGTCAAATGGTATTTCTAGTTCTAGATCCTTGAGAAATCGCCACACTATCTTCCACAATGGTTGAACTAGTTTACACTCCCACCAACAGTGTAAAAGTGTTCCTATTTCTCCACATCCTCTCCAGCACCTGTTGTTTCCTGACTTTTTAATGATTGCCATTCTAACTGGTGTGAGATGGTATCTCACTGTGGTTTTGATTTGCATTTCTCTGATGGCCAGTGATGATGAGCATTTTTTCATGTGTCTGTCGGCTGCATAAATGTCTTCTTTTGCAAAGTGTCTGTTCATATCCTTCACCCACTGTTTGATGGGGTTGTTTGATTTTTTTATTGTAAATTTGTTTAAGTTCTTTGTAGATTCTGGATATTAGCCCTTTGTGAGATGGGTAGATTGCAAAAATTTTCCCCCATTCTATAGGTTGCCTGTTCACTCTGATGGTAGTTTCTTTTGCTGTGCAGAAGCTCTTTAGTTTAATTAGATCCCATTTGTCAATTTTGGCTTTTGTTGCCATTGCTTTTGGTGTTTTAGACATGAAGTCCTTGCCCATGCCTATGTCCTGAATGGTATTGCCTAGGTTTTCTTCTAGGGTTTTTATGGTTTTAGGTCTAACATTTAAGTCTTTAATCCATCTAGAATTAATTTTTGTATAAGGTGTAAGGAAGGGATGCAGTTTCAGCTTTCTACATATAGCTAGCCAGTTCCCAGCACCATTTATTAAATAGGGAATCCTTTCCCCATTTCTCGTTTTTGTCAGGTTTGTCAAAGATCAGATGGTTGTAGATGTGTGGTGTTATTTCTGAGGCCTCTGAAGAACTCTGAGCTTAAGCTCACTGTGCCCGGCCTCCACCTTTATTATTGCAGCCTGCCTCCTCTGTCACAAAGTGGAATTTGCTCTAAGAAATTCATGCTGGGCCGGGCGCGGTGGCTCATGCCTTTAATCCCAGCACTTTGGGAGGCCGAGGTGGGCAGATCATTTAAGGTCAGGAGTTCAAGACCAGCTTGGCCAACATAGCGAAACCCTGTCTCTACTAAAAATACAAAAATTAGCCGGGCATAGTGGCGCATGCCTGTAATCCCAGCTACTCAGGAGGCTGAAGCAGGAGAATGGTTTGAACTCGGGAGGCAGAGGTTGCAGTGAGTTGAGATTGCGCCACTGCACTCCAGCCTGAGCGACGGAGTGAGACTCCTTCTCAAAAAGAAAAAGAAAAAGAAAAAGAAATTCATGCTGGTCTTCCTCCTTCATCTGGATGTTTTCTGAGGAGGCATCCAGTCTCCAGGTCTTGCTCGAGGCATTCTTCTTTCTGTGAGAGTCCTTCCTAAGTGCTTACAGCCTCCATTGTCCATTTCCCCTATGAGCCCAGTGCTTCTGGTCGCTTAAAGCTGAATTGAGTATGGATTCTGTTGAGGACAAATCTTCCACCTCCCTTTGGGAACAGGTGCCCTAGGATGGGCAGCTCTCCAAGCAGGGCTCAGTGTGGTGTGCTCTCCAAGAGCCCCATTTCCTGCTCTTGTCTCTGTCTTTCCATCTTCAGTGATATCCCAGGAACTTAGGTCAATTCAAGGAAAGTCAATTGCTGAATGGCATTCTTAGCAAACAGGCTTTTTAGGGAATTGGCTTTTGTTGTACTGGTTTGTCCATATATTGGCCTGATCCATATGTCATAGTTCGTGAACCCCTGAGCTTTTCTTCTTGGGAAGAAGGAAAGAAGGTATGGAAGGGGAGGAAGGAGGGAGAAGGGAAGGGCCATCTGTCCCAAGTTAAAACTAAGTAACTCATTGACTAAGTAACTAATGCCTAGCTCCAATTAAACACACACACACACACACGCACACACACACACACAGAATATGGGCAATCGTATGGGCATATCTAGTTCCCTGAAACATCTAAGATCTCAGCTCTTGTCCTCAGGAAAACCTTTTCTCCTTGTTCATTTTTCCTTTCTCCTTTGTTTTGTCATATCTATCTGCAAGACCGAAGTCTGCTTCTAAAAGTGATCCCTGAGTTTCTGAGCAAAATTGGTGCCTGACATATGTCCTTAGATTTTTGAGTTTTTCCTATATCCCAATGTAAGACACTCAAGTGTCTAAATGGCTTTGCAAAGAGCTGGCCACTGTGAGAGCTCAATAACTATGATAATGATCATGATGACATCAAATTATATTAAGCAGCCCTTTATTGAACTCCCAACATGTGGTGAGCTGTACACTCAGCTCTGTCGATGTAGAGTTAGATAATAATAATTACAGTTAATTTTTATTAGTACTGAGTGCATACCAAACACTGTCTCCATGCTTTAGAGCAATTAACTCACTTCATTTCACAATCGCCCTATGAGGAGCCACTATGATCATCACTATAGGTCATGAGGCACAGAGCAGCCCAGGAGCTTGCCCACAGTCACATAGTTAGTAGGTGGGAGAGCAGCTTCTCAAACTCAGCAGGCTGCAGAGCAAATTCCCTAACTGTTGGTTTCCACTGCCTCTCCCTTGCTCCTCCACAGCCTGTACTATAGCCTGGGGCAACAGTTTGGGCGGCTGGGCTGAGTAATGTGGGAAGCCCATGGGGAAGGGGACTGTCTAATTTCTCTTCTGAGAACCACCTTGTCTAAGTGAGTTTTTGAGACATCACCAGACCGAATTTTTCCTCCACGGACTCCACTTGCCCAGCCTCCGTCAATAATTTTACAACTCAAACAGCTGAGCCATGAAGGAGGTGGCTTGTTTTTGTTGCTGCACCATCTGTTTTTCTCCATCCGGCTTAATGTGTCTGCCTGGGATACTCGGCAGACACACTCTGCTCTGACCACCCCTGTGCCTATGCTCTGGGCAGTGCGGAAAACGGAGCCCTGGATACCTTGTCCAGTGGTCGTTGAGGACACTGACAGTCCAAGCCACATGTCAAGCTTGTGCCTCCCTCTGAACCTTTGCTTGCATGGTTGACAGGACATTATCTCCCCTGCATCCTTGTGTCTTCCCCATCTTTCAATGCTGAATTCAAAGCCCACCAGGACCCTGGTCTCTTTAGATGACCCCAGGCACAAGGATCCCCTGCAGGCATGGGCATTTTGGCTCCAGGATTTCCATAGACCACCCCTGCTTATCCTCTCTGACCTTGTTCTTCATCTAGCCTGATTTCCAACCTTGACATAGGACTCCACTCGATTTATGTGCCTCCGATGAGTGAAGGGACCTGTTCATTTTCTTTCCTCTACCCTACCAGGTGAGACTCTGCCCTCCTGCAGTCTTCTTCATTGCAGTTAAAGGCAGCTCCCTCTTGGCTGATGCTCAGGCCAAACACCTTGGGGCTCTCTTTCTCTCACAGCTGCACCATCGTGAATCCCTGGATTGTTGCAACAGCCTCCTAAAGGGTCTGCCTGCTTCTACCCTCACTCCCTAAAGGCAGTGTGAGCCTTTTAAAAAATGGTGTATCCTGGCCAGGCGTGGTAGCTCATGCCTGTAATCCGAGCACTTTGGGAGGCCCAGGTGGGAGGATCGTTTGAGGACAGGAATTCGAGACCAGCGTGACCGACATGGTGAAACCCTGTCTCTACTAAAAATACAAAAATTAGCCTGGCATGGTTGCACATGCCTGTAATCCCAGTTATTTGGAAGGCTGAGACACAAAAACCGCTTGAACCCAGGAGGCAGAAGTTGCAGTGGACTGAGATCATGCTGCTGCACTCCAGTCTGGGTGACAGAGCAAGACTCTGTCTAAAAAAAAAGAAAAGAAAAAGAGGTGTATCCTATCTCCTCAGCTCATGACCCTGAGGGTTCCTGATCTATTCACAGTGGAATCTGAAGTTCCTAAATTGAACTTCAAGGCTGTATGTGCATCATCTGATTTCTGACATCACTTCCTAACATGCCCACCTCACTCCTCCAATCTCAGTGCCTTCTTGGAGAGTCCTTGAACTTACAAGAACTTCATGCTGTTGCCATCTGAGACCCTCTGTCATTTTCTATTTTTTCCATTGATTATTGTCCTACATGACACTTATAGCCTTCTGGCATATTATATATTTAGATGTTTCTAATTGTCCCTCTCCCCCAAAAAGCTCCATGAGAGCAGGGACTTTATTATCTGCTTTATCCCAGGGCTGAGAATAGAGCTTGGCATATGGTAGATACTCCAAAAATATGTAATAGTGGCCTTGATTTGAGAGGCTGGACAGCAGAGTGGTTAGGAGGTGAGGCTCTGCAGCAAATCTGGGGTTCTAATCATGGCTCCACTGGTTAATAACTGATAATCTTGAACAAGTTACTTATCCTCTCTGTGCCTCAGTTTCTTTACCTGTAGAAGGCGTATGAGTTGTTGGAAGGATTAAATGAGTGACTACTTGTGGAACATTTATACCAATGTCCAGCACATCCTTACTGTGGTCTATAAAAGTTCCTACAGGCTCATGCCTGTAATCCCAGCACTCTGGGAGGCTGAGGCAGGTGGATCACCTGAGGTCAGGAGTTCGAGACCAGCCTGACCAACATGGTGAAACCCCATCTCTGCTAAAAATACAAAATTAGCCAGGCGTGGTGGCGCATGCCTGTAAACCCAGCTACTCAGGAGGCTGAGACAGGAGAATCACTTGAACCTGGGAGGTGGAGGGTGCAGTGAGCGAAGATCACGCCATCACACTCCAGCCTGGGCAACAAGAGCAAAAAAAAAAAAAAAAAATCCCACTTATCAGAAGGTTGTTAATTGCTTTAATATGTGCTTATATGTTGAGGATGCCTGTGTTTCCAGCTAGACCGTAAGTCTCATGAAAGTAATCCTCAGCCAGGCACGGTGGCTCATGCCTGTAATCTCAGCACTTTTGGGAGGCTGAGGCGGGTGGATCACGTGGTCAGGAGTTCAAGACCAGCCTGGCTAAGATGGTGAAACCCTGTCTCTACTAAAAATACAAAAATTAGCCGGGTGTGGTGACAGATGCCTGTAATCCCAGCTACTTGGGAGGCTGAGGCAGGAGAATCACTTGAACCTGAGGGGGGCAGAGCTTGCAGTGAGCCAAGATTGCGCAACTGCACTCCAGCCTGGGTGACAGAGTGAGACTCCACCTCAAAAAAAAAAAAAAGCAATGCTCTTCTCTAGGTTGTCTACTACCATATAGCCCTTAGGCCTGGCACAGTGCCAGTGATAGAGTAGATACTGAACAAATATGTAGTGACTGGATGTTGAAGGCATTTATAAGTCTGGGTTCAATTATTTTAAAATTCCTCTGCATTACAAAATGCTCTGTTTGGGAACAGTTGGGAAGGAATTCAAATAACCTTCTCAGATGGTGGAAGATTGTTGAGAGCAGTGATTTTTAGAGAGCATTGCCCTTTACGTGGGAACTCTGCATCCTTTCATCTAAGTCGCTGGTCACACTTGAAATCACTCAATACCACTTGAAGCTCACTGTCACCTCTTCCTCCACTCTGGCCGTAGCAATCATTTCTCTAGGCTCAGGCAACAGTTAATTTAAGGTAGCAATTAAATGGAACCAAATTGCTCTTTAAATATCATAAATCATTTAACAGAATGACTTTCGTCTGCCAAAAAGAATTAATCCCTAAAGCTGGAAAAATGCTCCAAGTGTATATATGTGTGCTTATGTGTATTTTTTCCCTTCTGAAAATAAATGGGAAAATCATAACTTTTTACTATGAAAATTTTCCAGCACACTCAGTAGTGGAGAGAAGTATCTAATGAACTCTTGTGCACCCAACACAACTCCAACAATCATAAAAATGTTGCCAAGCTTGTTTCATCAAAACCCCCGACTTTCTTTCTTTTATTTTTCTGGCTGGAGTTTGCCAAAGTAAATCCCAGACATCATATTATTCTACTGCAGACATAAAGGAGAAAGACTTTTTTTTTTTTCTTTCTCTCTCTCTCTACAGTGCTGCATTGCCATTATCACACCCAGAAGACCAACGATAATTCTCCAATAGCTTTCAGTACTCAATCCACACTGAATTATCTGAAATGAGAAATGATGAAGGACGGGCCACTGGTCTTACTGAAATAAAACTTGACACCTTCTGACATCCATCTCCTTGTTGAATACATTCTCTCTTCATCTCTCTGGTGTCTAGTTTCTATCTCTTGGGACTGTTCGCTTCTCCTGCTACAGAGACTTTCCCTTGGCATCATCTCTACCCTCTGCTTGAAAGAGCCTATTGATTTTTTGGAAGATTTGGAGAAGAGGCCTGGCACAGATTTACATAGGTCCTCTCCTAAGGGAAGACCAGGTCTTCCAACTCACCTTCAAAGATGGAGAGGATTTTGCAAGGATGCCTGTAGTCCAGTGAGGGAGACACTAATGCCTATCTTGCTAGCCAGATGTGCAAGATCAAAAGTCAGTCATTCTAGCAGCAGATGCTGTTGTCAGGGCACCTTGAGATACCATTTGTGTCAATCTACTTAGGTCTGTCTGCTTGACTCTCTAATTCATCCATCTGTTGCTCTGTTTGTCTATCACTAATCTATTCAAGCATGTGCCTATCTAGCTAGTGATGATTCTCTTAAATCTATTTAAGTGATTGCTCTAAGCTGCTCATTGGTACAAGTAATTCATCCCATTACCAATAATTACTCAAAGCCCATTGGTTTTTGCCCTACCAACTCATGCCGAATTTCAGTCTCCTGAAAATTCAGCTCATCTTCAAACGCACTGTATATTTTACTTACTTGATGTTTTGCATGTCATTCTCTCTGGATTGTAAACTCCATGAGGGCAGGCCTTTTGGTCTATTTTGCTCATTGTTGTGTCCCATAGCCCATTTCCAGGCCTGGCGTATGGTAGGTGTTCAATACATATTTAATAGGTGAATGAATGAATGAACAATTATCATCCCCATTTTACAGATGAGCAATAGGGGCTCAGGGAGGTGAAAGAACTTGCTCAAGGTCATGTCTAAAAAAGAGAAAAACTGACCTTTGAACACAGGACCATCCAATTTATAGGCATCATGCTCCTAACAGATTGCCATATTGCTTCCAGCAAATTAAATATTCCATGGCAGGAGTTATATTCTCGTTGCATTCTACTGTCTCTTCTGGAAGTTTCTGTTATTGTCAAACCTGAAATCCTCTATGTTGTTTTTTATTCTAGTCACATAGAAGACATGATTTAGAAAAATTTGGATTTTTGATATACCTTTTCTCTTTGATTTGGGCACTGTATGTCTTAGAAACAAGAAAGTTGATTTGGCTGTAATGTGAACATGGGAAAAATGCAATGAAAATTATCTTGGGGCTTCCTTTATAGGCAAAAGATGTTGGGATATATGTTTTGGGGTTGTAATCGTTCATCTGACAAAAAGTCCTTCTTATTTCTTCATTTTAGCAGATATTTCTTGAGCATCTGCTGTATTTCAGGCACTCTGCTGGGTGCTAAGAATGTAACAATGAATGAGACACAGAGGTTAATCTCTGTTGTTGCAAGATGACCTCCAGCAAAATATTGGGTCACCATGAGCATATATATATAAACAATATTTAGTTAATATCTTTTACATACTTGACTAATCTTTTAAAACAATTATTTAATTATTATCTTTAAATTTAATTAACTTAATTATCTAACTACTTATATGACAGCTCTTTTTAAAATCATTCAACTAATCATTTGTGCTTATTTATTAAATTTTTCTAATTTTAAAAGAAATAGTCATCTTACGTTGGATTACCTGTTAAGGATGTTGAGAAAAATGTGAGATTATGCAATTTTTAAAACTTTATGCCCAGTCGCAGTGGTTCACGCCTGTAATCTCAGCACTTTGGAAGGCCGAGGCAGGAGGGTCACAAGGTCAGGAGTTCGAGACTAGCCTGGCCAACATGGTGAAACCCCGTCTCTACTAAAAATACAAAAATTAGCTGGGTGTGGTGGCGGGTGCCACCACCTCCAGCTACTCTGGAGGCTGAGGCAGGATAATCGTTTGAACCCAGGAGGCAGAGGTTGCAGCCAGCTGAGATCATGCCATTGCACTCCAGCGTGGGCGACAGGACGAGACTGTCTCAAAAAACAAAAACAAAAACAAAAACAAAAACAAAACTTTACCGTTTGAGGCATATGTAATTGTCATATGTAACTGTTGAAAATAAGGGAAACATTGGCAATTTCATATAGTTCAACTTAAACATGTTATCTGACTGTAAACTAAAATATTGGACCATCTTGTTTAGTTCTAGGGCTCATCTACTGAAAGTAATGTCATATTTTAGCGTTGGAGCTATCGTGAAGTATATGCTAAAAACTTGATCATTATAGTAGGGTTGGCTTTGGGAGGTTATGTGAAGAAGTCATACAACCTCATAAAGAGTCAGGAAGGTGACGTGAAAAATCACCTTAAGAAGACTGAATATGTATCAAGCCTGTAAAATGTTAATGTAACCTGATTTAATATATTAGCAGAGTCAAATAAGGAAAGTGTCAGTCAAAAAGAGACAGGCAGGAGATTGTGCAGCCATGGAGATGAGAGAAAGGAGAAGGACCATTGGGATACTCAAGTCAGTACTGTCCATCTAGAAAGAAATTTTGACCAATAGAAATTTTCTGTATCTCTGAGATAATTTACATATGATAAAACCTTCAGTGTTAAATTAAATGAATTTTGGCAATTATGTACAACTATGAAACCCAAAATATAGTACATTTTCTTCACCTCAGAAAATTCCAGGCCCTTTCCAATCAAAACCAACCCCCTTCCAGGCAACCACTTTGTGATATTTTTCACTTTGAATAATGTAACCTATTCTAGAACTTGGTATAAGTGGAATCATCTGTATATATCCCTTTGTGTAAGGCTTCTCTTGCTAAATATAATGTTTTTGAGATTCAGCCATGTTTTTGGGCATATAAGTAGCTTTAAAAAATATTGCTGAGTAGTATTTTATTGTATGAATATACTACAATTTGTTTATCCATTCTCCTGCTTAGGATTGACCAGCGTGTATCTTTTATTGTGATAAAACATATATATAACATAAAAGTTACCATTTTAACCACTTTTAAGTATGTGTCATTTTCATTGGCACTAGGCACATTTATAATTTGTGCACCTATCACCACTACTTATCCAGAACTTTTGATCATTCCAAACAGAAGCTCTGTAGTTATAAAACAAAAATTCCCCATTCTTTCCCCAGACCCTACCCCCCTGGTAACCCCCATACAACTTTATGTCTCTATGAATTTGGCAATTCTAGACACCTCATATAAATGAAATCATACAGTATTTGTCTTTTAAAGGCTGGCTTATTTCAGTTAGCATAATGTTCTCAAAGTTCATTGGTGTTGTAGCATGTGGCAGAATTTCATTCCTTTTTAGGGCTGAATAATATTCCATTATATGTATATACCATATTTTATGTATTTGTTCATTTAATAATAGACACTTGTGCTGTTTTCACCTTTTGGCTACTGTGAATGCTGCTGCTATGAACAATGGTGCGCAAATATATGTTTGAGTCCCTGCTTTCAATTCTCTTGGGTATATACCCAGAAATGGAATTGTTGAATCATGTGGTAATTCTATGTTTAATTTTTTGAGGAACTGCCATACTGCGTTCTATAGTGGCTGCACCTTTTACATCCTCACTAGCAATGCACAAGGGTTCCAATTTCTCCACATCTTTGCCAACACTTGTTATTTTCAGGTTTCAATTTTTTAAAATAACAGCCATCCTAATGGATGTGAAGTGGTATCTCATTGTGGGTTTGATTTGCATTTTGCCTAATAGCTAATGATGTTGAACATCTTTTCATGTGCTTCTTGGGCATTTCTATATATTTGGAGAACTATCTATTCAAGTATTTTGCCTGTTTTTGAATTGGGCTACTTTTGTTGTTGTTGTTGAGTTGCAGGAGGTCTTTACACATTCCAGATATTAATCCCTTACCAGATATATGTTTTACTAATATTATCTCCCATCCCATGGGTTCTCTTTTCACTCTCTTGATAATGTCCTTTGATGCACAAAAGTTTTTACTTTTAATGAATTCCAATTTATCATTTTTTTTTCTTTTGTTGCCTGCACTATTGGCATCATATCCAAGAAACTATTACCCAATCTAATGTCATAAAGATTTTCCCCTATGTTTTCTTCTAGGAGTTTTATAGTTTTAGCTCTTCCATTTAGGTCTTTGATTCATTATGAGGTTTTATATCCTTTTGGTATATGATCTGGTATAAGGGTCCACCTTCATTCTTTTACATGTAGATATCCAGTTTTCCCAGCACCATTTGTTGAAGGCATCATCATTTTTCCATTGAATAATCTAAGCAATCTTTTTAAAAGTTAACTGACCATATATATGATGATTTATTTCTGGACTCTTCTATCCATTGGTCTGTATGTCAGTTCTCATTCTAGTACCAAACTGTTTTGATTACTGTAGCTTTGTAGTAAGTTTTGAAATCAGGAACTGAGCATCCTCCAAATTTTGTTCCTTTTTCTTTTTCAAAATTGTTTTCGTTATTCAGAGTCCTTTGAGAGTCCATAAGAGTTTAAAGATGGGTTTTTCTATGTCTTCAAAAAAGCACTATTAGGGACAGGGCAAATAACTGTGGCTCTCTGGGAACACTGAGGCTCACACCACATCGAGGCACAAGCTGGTAAAACCCCAGCACATCAACTTGAACGAGGACCAGGGTGAGCAGCAGCCACAGCAGCTGACCCTAGCATTTGCAGATGCGGGCCCAGTGGTGCTGGTGGCCTGGGAGCTGGGGCTGCTGTAACAAACAACCACAAACTGGATGGCTTAAAACAACAGAAATTTATTCTCTCACCGTTCTGAGGCCAGACGTCCAAACTTTAGGTGCTCCAGTGAACCACCCAGGGAATCACGATGATAAAGCGGCTTCATTGGGAGGAAACACACAAATGTGAGAAATGTTGTGTGGAGTTCTTTAGCATTTGTGAGTTCTTAGAACATAAGAAAAATTGCACTAAAAATCCACCTGTTGTGTTGTCATCATGAATGACAGCGAGGGGTCAGTGTCTTCAGGAGACTTCTCCGGAGCTGTGCTGAGCCACCAGCCACTTAGTTCAAGCAGTAAGGATGGTCACAGGGAGAATGGTGGCAGCCTAGGGAGCATGAAGGAGGAGCTGGGTGTGGAGTGTGTGGTGCACTCAAAAACAGAGATGGCCTTGCCACCCACACCCCAGAAGATAAGCTATTTACTTAAAGGCAAAGTGGCCAACACTATGTGAGCCTGCAGGCAATACAGGGCACCAAAGTGGCAATGAATCAGTGGAGCTTAGATGCATTGCCAGCCTCCGTGCCCCGTAACAACAGCATCCCATGGGTCCTTGAGTAGATCCTGTGTCTGCAGCAGCAACAGCTACGGTAGATTCAGCTCACCAAGCAGGTCCTCATCCAGGTGGACATGTGGGCCTTACAGCCTTACACGCCTTCTACTCAGGTGGGGAAGGGGCCAACACCCTGAAGGCCTTGTGCAGCCACCTGCTCCAGCAGGCTTCTGCGGCTGTGGCTTTGCTCAGCCCAAAGGCTGGAAGCCAAGGTCTGTCTCTGGACACCTTGAAACAAGCCATACTACCTCACACCAACATCCTTTTCACCACCAGTTCTCCATCCCCAGGGCTGACGCCCTTTGCTGTGAAGCTGGATGGGACCAGGGTGAGCCAAATGTAATGTCCCACCTCTTGAGTGCTTTGCTTTCTCAGGCCCCGGGATTGGTGTGCTTCCAAAGTCCTTTCTCCACTGTAGCACTAGACCCATCCAAGAAAGGGAAGGGGAAGCCACTGAACATCTCCTCAGTGGATGTTAAACCCAAAGACGAGGTGATCCTCTACAAGGACAAGTGTAAGTACTGTAACAAGGTTGTTTGAGACTGATAGCTCCTTGCAGATCCACCTCCACTTCCACATGGGAAGAGAGACCCTTTGTGTGCTTTGTCTGTGATAACTGCTTCACCACCAAGGGCAACCTCAAGGTGCACATTCACCAACATCCCCAGGTGAAGGCAAACCCTCACTCTTTGCTGAGCTCTAGGACAAAATGGTGGTAGGCAGTGACATCCCCTATGCACTCTTTGTACATCAATAGATGAACTGAGTCTCTCTTTAGACAGAAAACCTGTTCTTGTAATCCCCTCTGTTGGACTACCTCAAAAGCTGTTTGGGGCCTAACCCCAAGGACCTCACAGGTGGCCCATTGCCCAGTGACCTGTAGCCCACACTTCCTGGCATGGGGCCAAACCATAATTCCCCAAGGGTTGGTGGCTTCCAAGAAAGTGGGACCCCTGAACCAGGGTCAGAGACCCTGAAATTGCAGCAGCTGGTGGAGTACATCGACATGACCACCACTGACCCCAACAAATGCCTCATTTGCCACCGAGTATTAAGCTGCTAAAGCACCCTTTAAATGCATTGCTGCATCCATACTCCAGAGACACCATTCCAATGTAAGATCTGTGGCTGAGCTTTTTCTACCAAAGGCAACCCTTAAGACACACTGGGGTTCACCAACCCAACACGTCCATAAAGGTGCAGCATCTGTGCCTTTTCTATCAGAAGAAGTTCACCGGTGCTGTGATGTTGTGGCAGCATATTCAGATGGACCTGGCCAGTCAGATTCCCAACCTTCCCCTGCCAGAGAATTCCTGTGACTTTATGGGTCCTGAGCCAATGACGGTGGATGAGAATGGCAGCACCAGTGCCATGTGCCATGATGATGTTTTTGAAAGCACCAGTGTAGATGAAGTCAGCTCCCAGAGGCCTCCAGTAGCTCCTCAAAGGTCCCTGTGCCTCTTCCCAGCATGTAGTAGGCATCATCCACACTAGAGTTCACCAAGATGGGTTCCTTAGATGCCCTGGGAAAAGTGGGTCCTGCCCCTTTTGGCCTGCAGCACTAGAGCAGCAGAGAAAACAGTTCCATGAAGAGCAATAGCTTTGACCAACGACTGGTCCTCACTAATGGGAGACCAGGAGTATCAGAGCTGAAGTCCAGACATCATGGAAGCCACATCCTTCCAGGTACTCTGCTCGGTCAATGGCCAAGCAGAAAGGATCAGTCAAAGTCTCCTGATGCTGGGGACAAAGCAGAAAGCTCTGAAAACAGCTCTACTAAGATAGAAGGTTGGAGCCATCTCCCTTCAACGTTTATCTGAGCTCAGTCAATCTATGTCACAGTTGAAGTCGCTGGCACATTTGTTGAACCCTCCACATTGTCCCTGGGGATGACCCCTTTGTCAGTGGCCTAGCCATGCCAACAGGCCAAGCAACACAGCTGCACGTGGTGTGGGAAGAACTTCTTACCCATTAGCTTTCTTCAGATTCATGAGCACACTCACACTGGAGAGAAGCCTTTTGCATGCAACATTTGTGGGTAAGCTTTTACCACCAAAGGCAACTGGAAGGTCCACTATGTGACTCAGCACGCCATGGTAGGAAGCTGGCTATCGAAAACACCATGGCTCTCTTAGGTGCAGATGGAAAGAGTCTCAAATATTTCCCAGGGAAATTCTGGCCACTTTAGTGAACATGGGCCCTGTTTTGTGGAACCAGGACACCAGCATGCTCAATGGTGGTCTGGCCAAGAAGACCAATGAGATCTCTGTGATCCAGAGTGGCGGTGTTCCTACCCTCCTGGTTTCCTTGGGAGTCAGCTTCAATATAAATAACGCCACTGTCTCCAACGCGGATGGCTTCCAATTAGGTATCAGTGCAGATATGGAAAAAGCAGGTGCTACTGGGAGCATTCCCAAATACCAGTTTTCTCACTTCCTGGAAGAAGATGAGCTTGTGGTCAGCCAAACTCAAGGAGAACTTGCATGGAAGGAGAAATGCAAACAGAGTGAAATCTCTAGAATCTGCTCTTTTTAATAAGAACTCATATCCTGGCCAGACGCGGTGGCTCAAGCCTGTAATCCCAGCACTTTGGGAGACTGAGGCAGGTAGATCATGAGGTCAAGAGATCAAGACCATCCTGGCCAACTTGGTGAAACACTGTCTCTATTAAAAATACAATAATTAGCTGGGCGTGGTGGCGAGCGCCTGTAATACCAGCTACTCGGGAGGCTGAGGCAGGAGAATCATTTGAACCCGAGAGGTGGATGTTGCAGTGAGCCGAGATCACGCCACTGCACTCCACCCTGGTGACAGAGCGAGACTCCGTCTCAAAAAGAAAAAATAAAATAAAATAAAATAAAAAGAACTCATCTACTGTTTTCTTTTTCTTACTGGTATGCAAATGATGTTTACCAGGGTTATGACCACAATCTCAGGCAAGTCCTACAATCATGATTGTTGCTATGCTGCTTTGCAAAAAATGAGAAAAAAAAAATTCACACCCAAACAAGTACAGACTAAAATTCTTTTTTTAAATTTTGGAAAGAAGTGGATCTTGCAAAGTAGCTTTGTTACTTGTGACAAACTGTATACATAGAATCTTTGTACAACCTAGAGTGACTTTTTCCAAAGACTGTTATCTATTTCAAGGTAGAACCGTTGGACCTTATTGAACCACAGTGGAAAAGACAGCTAACTACTTAGCCTGTTGAAGAGAAGGGTATGGATACTTCCCTAATAACTGATGTAGGTAAAAGGACAAGGTCTTCCATCTATTTAGGTATCTGTTTTATATGTCCCCAACCCTGTCTCCATCTTTTCGTTTGTTTGTTTGAATGTACTTAAGAAACAACAGCAAAAACCTAAGGTTGTGGAATTATAAAATTGCTTCAGCCTTAGAACCTTAAGTGGGATGCCCTCATATCGACTTTTATTCCCAGGCACATAAAAACACTAATCCTTAAAATTGTATAGAGATGCAAACTGATTTTCGTGTGTTGATTGGATATCTCACAACTTTGCCGAATTTATTTATTAGCTTCAATATTTGTGTTTGGAATATTTAGGGTTTTCTACATATGAGATCATGTTATATGTGAACAGTTACTTCTTCCTTTCCAATTTGGATGCCTTTTATTTTGCTTTCCTAATTGCGAATCAATGTCTGTGTGGCTGCTTATTTAGATACAGCTCAGTTGGCCCGAGAGTGCCAGTGTCCTCGCCACATCTCCCAGATGCCTTTGTCTTCCTGAACTCCAGAAGATGTGGGCCCTTGAGTGGGGAATCTCAGGTGACTTAATTTAGTTTGCCAGTGCCTACCCTATTGGAGAACTAGGTTTTCATTCTTGAGAAGAAACTCATGGAAGCGTATTTTCTATTACAAGTTCACATATAATTTTTTTGTTTAATTTCCTTAGTGTGGCTTATGCCAAGTAATTATGAAGATTTTTTTTCCTTGAATATTTCATGAAGGCTACAAAGTTGGGACAGACAAGTCCTGGGTGTGAAAGCTTTAATTTATCCACCTCATTTATTTTGCATTTTGTGTAGCCATGGTGTCTGTTTTCCTATTCTAAGACCACTGAGGTATTCCCAGGCCCTGTCATAAACCTAAAAGTTGATGTATTCGTGGGAAAAATTGGAGGTTCAAGATGTTTTTGTGACTCCTGTTTTTGTAATCTTTTGTACATGGAACAATATTGAGCAAATGAAACATTGCTCTAGGCTGGGTGTGGTGGCTCACATCTGTAATCCCAGCGCTTTGGGAGACTGAAGCAGGAGGATCACTTGAGCCCAGGGGTTCAAGACCAGCCTGGGCAATATGGCGAGACCTTGTCTCTACGAATAATAAAAAATTAGCTGGAGGTGATGTGCATCTATGACCCCAGCTACTCAGGAGGCTGAGGTGGGAGGATCACTAGAGCCTGGGAAGTCGAGGCTGCAGTGAGCCATGATGGCACCACTGCACTCCAGCCTGGGCGGTAGAGTGAGACTCCGTCTCCATAAAACAAAACAAAACAAAGCAAAGAAATATTGCTCTAATGATTTAATGAGAAAGGAGAATGATAGATTCTAACTTCTGGGAGAGAAGTCTTTCCCCTCTCTGTGGAAGGCCCTGATTGAAATGTGGATCCAAGACTGTTAGCCAAAATCTTGCCTGTTAGTTATTTCACCTGACTTGAGGATTCCTCACCACTTTTTTTTTTTTTTTTTTTTTTGGCCAAGTTGTACCTTTCCTTCTGGAATTGTAAATGAGCACAGCGATAGTACCTGTTTACGCTGTGAAGTGGATACTGTTACAGAGAACACACCAGGGCTTTCTCACTATTGAGCTAGTAATGCCCTTGTGAATATATGATCTACAGAGAAACTCCTATAGTTGTACCTGCTGATGCTGTCTGTCTGTTGGAAAATAAATTTTGAATGTTTATTCCCTCCCCCAAAAAACACTTCTAGGACTTTTGTAAGGATTGCATTGAATCTGTAGATTGCTTTGAGTAGTATTGTCATCTTAACAATATTAATTCTTCCAATCCATGAACATAGGATTTCTTTGCACTTATTTATGTCTTCTTTAATTTCTTTTAGCAGTGTTTTGTAATTTTCAGCATACAAGTCTCTCTACTCTTTGGTTAAGTTTATTCCTAAACATGTATTCTTTTTTGATGCTATTTTAAGTGGAATTGTTTTCTTAATTTCATTTTTAGATTGTTCATTGCTAGTGTATAGAGACGCAAACTGATTTTCGTGTTTTTATTGGATATCTCACAACTTTGCTGAATTTATTTATTAGCTTCAATTTTTGTGTGTGGAATATTTAGGGTTTTCTACATGTGAGATCATGTTATATGTGAACAGTTACTTCTTCCTTTCCAATTTGGATGCCTTTTATTTTGCTTTCCTAATTGCTCTGGCTAGAACTTCCAATACTGTGTTGAATACAAATGGTGAAATCTGGCATCCTGGTCTGTTTCTAACCTTAGGGGAAAAGCTTTCAGTCTTTCACCATTAAGTGTGCTGTTGCCTATTGGTTTTTTATATATGACTTTATCACGTTGAGGTGACCAGTGGATTTTGTATTGGGAAGACCATCACTAATATGAAGTTGGATTCAGAAGTTTACAGCCAATGCTGTTTGAGTATTTTGTTTCCATTGGCACAATAAATGTTCCTGAGGGTTGGAACATGTTTATTGATGATATGTGAGATGATTTTATGAGGTGCAATAAAACGGGATCAAAAAACATTGGGTCCTATTTTCCCATTGGCAGAATTTAATTTCTCACCCAAAATTCTTTTTTTAACCTCTCTGATTACATCAATGAGAAGTCTCAGTCTGATGATTCTACATCTTTAACACTTCTCTAGCACTAGGTAACTTTTCACAATGAGAAAGTAAATTTCAGTTGTAGTACCTTTAGCAAACCACAGTATCTCATTAGATTTTAATGGTGTTGTCTTATTTTATTTGCATTTATTTTTCCTTTTATTTCTGGCAAATGATATAGATTTTCACTTATTTATAGCTACAAAATATTATAGATTAGAAATGTAAAGATTTATTTTAAAAATTCAGTATTTTAAATATTCAAGTAATATACAAGAGAGCTGGCCTTCAAAAAGCTATGCAAATGCATCCATTTGACTAAGGAGTAACTTCCCAGTACCAGGAAGGACATATAAGCAACTTATTTTCTCATCAAATGAATGGCACTTTGCACGGGGAATACAGATGTGCAAGGTTCAATTAAATCGATGTGAAATTTGATGATGCCCCACTTTCCCTAAACCCAGGGAGGAAGAAAGAGGAAGGTCCTGGAGTAAAAAGCTGTAATTTTTTAACCTTCAGAGTGACAATTCCTACAACCCCTAAGGGAAGGAAGAACAGTTACTTCTTCCTTTCCAATTTGGATGCCTTTTATTTTGCTTTCCTAATTGCTCTGGCTAGAACTTCCAATACTATGTTGAATACAAACGGTGAAATCTGGCATCCTTGTCTGTTTCTAACCTTAGGGGAAAAGCTTTCAGTCTTTCACCATTAAGTGTGCTGTTGCCCATTGGTTTTTTATATATGCCTCCATTTGACTAAGGGGTAACGTGTGTTACGTGTGTCCAGGGGTGAAGATCAGCATTTCTACCACTGTGTCTCAGCAGAGCAATAGCAGTGGCATGGACTAACTGGGCATCTTGTTACGTCCAGCTAACCTGGAGTGTTGGCCACATCTGCGCATAACCCAGACTTCTTAGTGGTGGCCAAGGTTTCCAGAGAGAGGCTTCCCAGGCACATAAAAACACTGATCCTTAAAATTTTATCATTCTGAAGTGCAAGCACATTCTTACATTTCGACAAATAATTTGTATCTCCTCTTAATTGCCATATGATTTTTTAAATGTTGCAAAGACAGTTTTACATTTAAGGGAGACCTGCAGGCTTCAACTCTATTAGGAAGTATCTGGTGACAAAGGAAAAAAGAACTTCTCCATATATAGATGTATTTGTTTGGGGGCTTTCAGCCCCTCCCCACAAAGCGATGTTCCAGGAGCCCCTTATTGAGATAGTAAATAATAGTAGCAGTGAATACAGCAAACAGTCATGTAGGTGGCATCTGAAAGACCGAAGTTTAAAAAATATGAAGCAGGACCATCTGTTACTATGAGACGAATGCATCAGTCCATCTTATCTTGATGCTGCTGAACATTTGATTCATGTAACTCCTCTAGTTTGGAGTATCTAATCATCAGATGACCTTTGAATATTACTTGGCTGTTGACAGGGAGAGAAAATACTGGTCACATGGAGTTAGAGAAATCCAATCTGTGTGATAATGATTTTGCACTGAAAACAATTCAATTAACTTTTTGGTTTTAAACATTAATCTTGAGAACTTGGGTAATGTGAATCTGCAACTGAAAATGAATCCATTGTGGGTGTGCTGGCAAAATCGAGGATTCAATTTGCAAAGCTGAGGCTTGTATGTGGGACTGCAGGATAAGCACCCAGGTAATTACTGGCTTTACCCAGACCTTCATGCGCACTGGCTGGGAGTGAGATGTATCCAGACGGGGGATCTCTGAGGGACCAGCAGGATCCTGGTCCAATGTAGAAAGCCATTTATGCCTTTCAGTGCATTTTGGTTTGTTTGTTTTTGTTTTTGAGACAGAGGCTTGCTCTGTGGTCCAGGCAGGAGTGCAGTGGCACGATCTCGGCTCAGTGCAACCTCTACCTCTTGGGTTCAAGCGGTTCTCTTGCTTCAGCCTGTCAGGTAGCTGGAATTACAGGCGTGTGCCACCATGCCTGGCTATTTTTTTGTGTTTTAGTAGAGATGGGGTTTCACTATGTTGGTCGGGCTGGTCTCAAACTCCTGGCCTCAAACAATCTGCCTGCCTCGGCCTCCTAAAGTGCTGGGATAACAGGCATGAGCCACTGCGCCCAGTCCATTCAATCCATTTTTCAAGTAACTGCTAATGTCTCCTAATCCCACCTCCCCAAAATAACAAATAATAAACTCACTATACAAAATTCTGGGCCAGGCACGGTGGCTCACACCTGTAATCCCAGCACTTTGGGAGGACAAGACGGGTGGATCCCCTGAGGTCAGGAGTTTGATACCAGCCTGGCTAACATGGTGAAACCCTGTCGCTACTAAAAATACAAAAAAATTTAGCCGTGCATGGTGGCACACACCTGTAATCCCAGCTACTCAGGAGGCTGAGGCAGGAGAATTGCTGGAACCTGGGAGGCGGAGGTTGCAGTGAACCAAGATTGTGCCATTGTACTCTAGCCTGGTCGACAGTGAGACTCCGTCTCAATAAATAAATAAATAAACAAATAAATAAATATAAAAAATTCTGACATATTTAATGGTTCAGGATAGTTACATGATTTGGGGAAGCTAAGACAGAGTGACCAATTCCACTTGGGTGGAAATTTATCTGGCTTTCTTCAATTCTACATACATTTCTCTATTTACCATATTAGCGGGGTTACAAGTGAACAACCTTCAAGATTTTTCCCCTTCCCTTTCCTCCCCTCTTCTCTCCTCCTCCCCATCTTTCATCTCCTCTCCCTTCCGTTTCTCCCCTTCTCTCTCCTTCCTTCCCTTTCCCTCCTCTTTCTTCCATCCTTTCCTTTCTTCTTTTCTCTCTCTTTTGTTTCCCTCCACAAATGAGTACGTGCTTTGTATTAGATCCTGTGCTAGTGGCAAGGGATAAACAATGAAGATAGCCACTAACCTCTTGCAGCGTACAACCCAGTGAGGAGCGAGGGGGAGATACAGATGGGTAGTACTACTGATCATTGCTAATGTTTATTGAGCAAGTTCTGTGTACCAGGTACCATTCCAAGACCTTTATATGTTTTGCTTCGTCTAGCCCTTACAACACCCCTATGAGAAAGGTATTCGTTTTATCTAGTTTATAAAGAAACTGAAGCATAGAGAGGTTAAGTAACTTGCCTGAGGTCACACAGCTAGGAGATAGATGCTCTTGGACTGGAACTCCAGCAGTCTGTTTCTTGAATCCACACTCTTAAACTCTAACCATATACAGCATGAAAAGGACCAGAAGAGGAGAAATGCAGGGTTCCGTGGGATCTTGGAAGACAGGCACCTTTGTGGTGCCTCTTGGGGTGATGTGGTGCTATTGAGGATGATGGCAAAGTGACTGGAGGAGAGAGTGCCAGAAGTCACAGGCAAAAGACACAAGGACTTACTGGACAAGAGAAAACCTCATAGGAAGGAGGCTTCCAAGTCCCCATGAAGATTAAGTGCTTACTCTGCTACTGATAATACCCTCTGATAGGAGAGAATATCCCATCTGCTCCTCAGAGAAGCCTCCTTTGGCTATCATCATGGGCATCCTGGCCCCTCCTGATGGTTTGAGAGATGCTGCCCCATTGCTTGACTTTCTACCAAAGGCACGTCCCAGGTGACACCCAGCTCATTCTTGTGTGTTTACAGTAGGGCAAGGTGAACTGTAGGGCAGTTTCCCTGGAACGATCCCCCCTCCTGCACCCCAGCCGAACCAAGCCTCACACTGCATGAGGAACCTTCCTGCAACCCCTAATGCACTCTTCCTTCCTGGTGGGGAGGTGGGAGAAGGTGTCTGGAAGACATGATCTCTGAAGGGTGATGTAGTAGTCCGTTCTCATGCTGCTATAAAGATATTACCCAAGACTGGGTAACTTATAAACAAAGGAGGTTTAATTGGCTCACAGTTCCACATGGCTGGGGAAGCCTCAGGAGACTTACAATCGTGGCGGAAGGGGAAGCAGGCACCTTCTTCACAAGGCAGCAGGAGAGAGTGTGAGCACATAGGAAAAAAACTACCGTTTATAAAACCAACAGATCTCATGAGAATTCACTCACTATCCCAAGAACAGCATGGGGAAAACCACCCCCATAATCCAATCACTTCCCTTCCTCAACACCTGGGAATTGCAGGTCCCTTCCTTGACACATGGGGATTACAATTTGAGATGAGATTTGGGTGTGGACACAGAGCCAAACCGTATCAGGTGAGTAGGAGTTTATATGTGACAGCAGTGGTAGGGAAAGGAAGAGACAGTGGGGACCATCCGGACCACTGCAAGTCATTGAGCAGGGATGAGGGTGGAATGAAGCCGAAAAGCAAGATATAAGGCTTGAGGGATAGTCAGAGGCCAGGTGTGCAGGGCCTTGCAAACATGACTCTGAGTCGACCTCTCTCCTAGGAGCAGTAGACCATTCTGAACACTGTTGGAAAGACCATATATGATTATCGTGACTCACAGTATTAAGCATTTCTTATATATTAGGGACTGCACTAACGACATACAATAGTTCCTTTATTCCCCACAACAGCTAGTGGTATGGGTTCTATTATTTACCCCGTTTTATAGATGAAGAAACTGAGGAACTGAGAAATTAAGAAACTTGCTCAAGGCCACTCATCTAGCAAGTGGTGGAGCTCTATTTGAACGTGGAGTTTCTGAATCCAGGGTCTGCACATTTACACCTTATGCGACGTGTCCAAATTGACCGGGATCCACCAAGCTATCGGCAGTTAGAAGTCTCTCTCTTCCAGTGAGCAGTTTTCTGCATGTTTGCCCAGGTCTCCCTTGTCTTTATCTTGAATGAACTGAGCAGCTGCAAATTCCATCCTTCACAATTCAGTTTCAGAGCGCGTATGACTAAGCCGAGATGAATTCGAGCTTAATCTTGCATGCCTAACGAAGTTGCAGAGGTATCTCGGAAATTCTCCTGCTTCTATTAGTGAGATAGTGTGTGAGGCTTATTTCCACCGACAGGCAGTTTTATCATTATTTTTTAAGCAGGGACTTGTCTCAAATAGTTCAGGTGGTGTCAAAAGGAGAGATAACAAACCTCCTAGAATAAAACGTCAGTGCAAGTAAAAAGCTAAATATCAGTTAGTCCAGCCCCCTCAATGCACAGGAAGGACAGGAATGGTTCCTGCGGCTCTTCCTCTGTACCCTTAGCCATCTGTGGGCAGACGGCCCCTCTGGCTAACTAGGGAGCAGTGTGGCATGGGAGATTGGGTTGGAGCTTTGGGGACAGGGGGATCTGAGTTTGAATTCTACCTTTGCCAAAGTTTTGCTAGTTGTGGGACCTTGGGCAAGGGACTTTACCTTCTTGGAATTCAGAATCCCCATCTGTAAAATGGGGTAGGAGAATTGCCTTGCTGGAGGAACTGTGCAGATTAAGTGCTTACTGCAATGCCTGATACAGAGCAGGCACTCAATAAATAGTAGTGTTCTGTTCTTAAATGCAAGCGAGCAGTAGGGAGTAAAACTCTCTGACCTTGGGGAGCTTATCATCTAGTAGGGAGACAGGACTGCAAACAAATTCACTCATTGCTGGAAAAGAGAAAGACACAGGGTGTTATGGGAACAGAGAGAAAGGAGAGTCTGAGTCTGCTTGAGAAGTGACAGAAAGGTCTGAATAGGTAACATTTGTCTAGGGCTTTGAAGGATGGGTAGGAGTTCACCATGCAGGTATCAGAAAAGATTTCCAAGTAAAGGAGGCAGGAAGACAATGATGACAACCAAAATTAGTGATGAAGAAGGAAATCAAGAGTTGCAAACTTCTCAGCAGGTAGCTCAGCTGGTTGAGCACTGTCCACAGATGTGTTTTCTTTGGCTAGTTTAAAAATTTAAATTTGAATATATGTTCTTTTTATTTCCCTGCAAGCTCCATCATTCCTTTTACCTTATGCCTGACCTGGTTCACACCTTTCTGTTACCTGTCCAATGTCAGAGGCATTTGAGTTTCAAACCCTTAAGAACATAGTAGTGAAAAGCACTGTCTTTGGTAAAAAGAGACCTAGATTTGAGTTCCAACTTCTCCATAGATTTATGTAAAACACACGACATCATGGTAGCATTTGTACCTACCCAGTGTGTGTTGTGGTAAGATGGAAAAGAAAGTACCTGACTTTAAATTTCGCACCAAAAGCCTTTATGCTTTATGGTGGTTTTGGTGAATTCCAAGCTTTTAGGCTAATTTTGTGTCTCACACCTAAATTCTCAGCATGTGTGTTAGTTCAGGTCTTCTGAGAAGTAGATGCTGAGTTGGGATAAGAGGTGTATTATGGACTGAATGGTTACATCCCTGCAAAATTCATGTGTTAAAACCCTAACCTCTATCTAGGCTGATGATATCAGGAAGTGGGGCTTTTGGGAGGTGATTAGGTCATAAAAATGGAACCCTTATGAATGGGATTAGTGCTGTTTTAAAAGGGATTTCAGAGAGCTCACTCATCCTCTTTCTTTCACATAAGGGTGCAATGAAAAGTTGGCTGTTCTGTAAGGAGGAGGCTGGAAGCCCTCAGAACTGAGAAATAAATGTATGTTGTTTAAGCCGCCCAGTGTTAGGTACTCTGTGATAGCAGCCTGAAGTTAGATGAGATACGAGAGGTTTATTTTAGGAAATGCCTGTGAAGAATAAAGGGGAGAGAGTAGAAGTGATCAGGGAGAGACTTCAACTGTGATGCAGGTTTGACACCTGTGAAAGAAGAGAGGGAAGGATGTATTGGATAGGAAGAGTCTCAGATCATAGTGCAGCTCTGGAGTCTCTACCAGGCTAACGGGGACACCCAGAGCAGACACTGTCCATTAGAGAAATCCTGCAGCCACAGGAATGGCTCTGATCCAGGATGCCCTTCACCCTCCCTTCTCCCAGTCCTCAGTCATTGGCAAAGAATAGCCCAGCAGAAGCATGACCCGGCATGAATGCAGCCATAGATAGATCTGGCCAGGACACTTCCATGGTTGCTGCAGCAAGTTCGGTAAATCCTTGTTCAATATTATTAAATCATCTTTGCAAGCTGTAGGCTCAATGTGCTGATGCTTCAGCACAGAATGCATTTATCAGCATTGTTACAGGCTGAGCTGTGTCTCTCCAAAATTCATATGTTGAACTCCTAACCCCCGTTCCTCAGAATGTGACTGTGTTTAAAGATGGTCTTTAAAGAGGTAATTAAGATAAAATGAGGCTAGTAGGGTGGTGGGCCCTAACCCTCATAAGGATGGGTGTCCTTATAAGAAGAGAACATTTGGGGACAGACATGTACAGAGGAAAGACAATGGGAAGATAGAGGGAGAAGATGGCTATTTTCAAGTCAAGGAAAGAGGTCTGAGAAGAACAACTCTGCCATCACCTTGATCTTGGACTTACAGCCTTCCAAAATGTAAGGAAATAAATTTCTGTTGTTTAAGCTACCGAGCTCATGGTACTTTGATATGATGGCCCGAAGAGATTGGATACAAACATCTAGCTAGATCATGGTATCCACGGGAATATAGAGGTGGGTTGCTGCTCTTTAATAACAGATTACTAATTTTGCTAATAAAAAAATCCATTTATCACCCATGGGCCCTTACCGTGTGTTTGTTTCCTAGGGTTTCCCTAACTAACTGCCACAAACTGAATAGATTAAAACAATAGAAATTTGGTCGGGTGTGGTGGCTCATGCCTGTAATCCCAGCACTTTAGGAGGCCAAGGTAGGCAGATCACAAGGTCAGGAGTTTGAGACCAGCCTGGCTAACATGGTGAAACCCCATCTCTACTAAAAATACAAAAATTGGCCAGGCATGGTGGTGGGCACCTGTAATCTCAGCTACTCAGGAGGCTGAGGCAGGAGAATCGCTTGGACCCGGGAGAAGGAGGTTGCAGTGAGCTGAGGTCGTGCCACTGCACTCCAGCCTGGGCGACAGAGTGAGACTCTGTCTCAGAAAAAAAAAAAAAAAAAAAAAAAGAAAAGAAATTTATCCTCTTGCAGTAAGGAGGCCAGAAATCTAAAACTGAGGTGTTGGTGAGGTTGGTCCCTCCCAGAGGTTCTGAGGGAGAAACATCCCACCCACCATCTCTCCTCGCTTGTGATGTGGCCAGCAGTCATTGGTGTTTCTTGGCTTGTACACACATCACCCCAATATCTGCCTCTGCCGTCACATCACTCTTTCTTTGTGAGTTTTTTTCTGTCTCTTATGAGGACACTTTCATTTGATTTAGGGCCCACCTTAATTTAGTAGGCTCGTATCTCGAGTTTTGCCCTCATTACATCTGCAAGGACCCTATTTCCAAATAAGCTTACATCCTGAGGTTCTGGGTAAACATGAATTTTTCTGTGGGGGACACTATTCAACTCTACACCATGTATTATGTCATTTAATTCTCCATCAATCTTATACAGTAAGTAGAACTAATACAGGTGGGAAAATGTGAGGTTCAGAGAGGTTAAGTGACTTGCCCAAGTTCACCCATCTGCTATGCCATCAAGCCAGGATTTGAGTTGGGCGTTTAGCTCCAGAATCTCCATGTTTAAGCAATCTTTTACATTGTTTGATGAAGGAAGGAATCCAAACAGGGTCACCCTCCACTCCTGCTCAAGAAACCACAGATCTTAATTTCTATCACGTTAGCTTAGTTTTGCCTCTACTATAAGTTCATATAAATGGGATCAGATAAAATGCAATAGTCTTGTGTCTGGCCTCCTTTACTCAATGTAATGTTTTTCTGTTTGTCTGGTTTTTTTGTTTGTTTGTTTTTGTTTTTTTGAGATAGAGTTTCACTCTTGTTGCACAGGATGGAGTGCAATGGCATGATCTTGGCTCACCTCAACCTCCGCCTCCCAAGTTGAAGCAATTCTCCTGCCTCAGCCTACTGAGTAGCTGGGATTGCAGGCATGCCCCACCATGCCTGGCTAATTTTGTATTTTTAGTAGAGACTGGGTTTCTCCATACTCAGCATAATGTTTTTAAGTGGAGGGTAGGAGGAAGGAGAGGATCAGGAAAAATAACTAATAGGTACTAGCCTTAATGCCTGGGTGATCTAATAATCTGTACAACAAACCCCCATGACACAAAGTTTACCTATGTAACAAACCTGCACATATACCCTTGAACTTAAAATACAGGTTAAAAAAAAGATTCATTGGTATGGTTTGGCGCTGTGTCCCCACCCAAATCTTACATTGAAGTTTAATAATCCCCACGTGTCATGGGAGGGACCTGGTGGGAAGTAACTGGAATCATGAGGGTGGGTTTTTCCTGTCCTGTTTTTGTGATAGTAAGTCTCATGAGATCTGATGGTTTTGTAAAGGGGAGTTCCTCTGCACATGCACTCTTGCCTGCTGCCATGTAAAATGTGTCTTGCTTCCCCTTCACCTTCCACCATGATTGTGAGGCCTCCCCAGCCATGTGGAACTGTGAGTCAACTAAACTTCTTTCCTTTATAAATTACCCAGTCTTGGGTATGTCGTTATTAGCAGTGACTAATACATTCATCTGTGTTATTGTACATATTAGTTGTTTGTTTTTATTTTTAGTGATGAATCTACTTCTGTGGTCTGAACCTATCACAATTTATGATGCCTGTTTGGATCATTTCCAGGCTTTAGTTATTATCATAGAGCTGCTATGAGTATTCTTATACAAGTCTTTATGTGGGCACATGTTTTCATTTCTCTTGGGTAGATACATGCCTGGGAGTGAAACTGTTGGGTCATTGGACAGATATATGTTTAATTAACTGCCAAACTATTTTACAGGGTGGTTGTAACATTTTACACTTTTACAAGCATAGATGAGAGTTCCAGTTGTTCTATGGCCTCACCAATATTTGGTGTTATCAGTCCTTAATTTAGCCTTTTTAGTGGGTATAAAGTAGTATCTTAATATGGGTTTAACCTGCATTTCCCGGAAGGTTATTCCTATAGAATATTTTTTCATATGGCTTTTTGGCTGTTTGAATCTTTTTTGTGAAATTTCATTTAAGTCTTTTTGCCTTTAAAAAAATGTTTTCAGACAGGATCTCACTCTGTCACCCAGGCTCGAGTACAATAGTGTAATAGGTTGTATTATTTGTTTACATATTCTGGCTGTAAGTCATTTGTCAGATATATGTATTGTAAATTTTTTCCAAGTCTGCCACTTGCCTTTTCATTTTCTTAATGGTATCTTTTGAGTACCAGAAGTTTTAAAATGCAATAAAATTTATTTTATCATTTGTTTGCTTTATGGTTAATGTTTTTATTTTCTGTTCTGATAAATCTTTGTTTTAAAGATATTATCTTATGTTTTGTTTTAGAAGTTTTACATTTTTCGCTTGATGTTTAGATCTCTGATTCATCTGGAATCAGTTTTTGGCTTTGGCGACAAGTAAAGTTTGAGTGAACTAGGGACCTGTTAATCCACAGTTGAATGATTTATCCATGTGCTATGAAAATAAAATCAACAACAAAGAGACAGCAACAACAATGGAAAGCTAACACATACTCAAGACCATTGCAGGTACAAATGACAGAAAACCCAACTCATAATTTAACAAGGAAAAAAAGATGTATTGGCTTATGTAACCGAAAAAGTTTAGGAGAAGATTTAACTGCTTATAAGTGATTTTTCAATTATAATTACCAGGACATGGAAGAATTGGAGAGTAATTCATTCAAGTAATTTTAGAAAAGAGGTAAGCATGCAAGTGTGGCTGGACCCAGGAGTTCAAATGATGTGATCAGCGTTTTGTTTCTCTCTCTCCTCATTTCAGATCTTCTTTCCTCAGCTGTGGTCTCCATTTTCAAATAAGCTCTCCCCTCATGGTGGTAAGATGGTTACCAGCAATTCTAAGCTGACTTCTCATTCTATCAGCAACCCCAACTCCTCAACAGTTTGATGGGTTACATTTTATTGATTCTTATTTTTTGTATTTTTATTTTTTTTAGAGACAGAGTCTCACTCTGTCATGCAGGCTGGAGTTCAGTGGTGTAATCATAGTGTCAGAGGCATTTAAGCTAAAGCAACTCCACCTTGAGTAGGGGCTGGGTAAAATAAGGCTAAGACCTGCTGGGCATCATTTCCCAGGAAGTTAAGACATTCTTAATCACAGAATGCAATAGGAGGTCGGCACAAGATACGGGTCATAAAGACATTGCTGATGAAACAGGTTGCAGTAAAGAAGCCAGCCCAAACCCACCAAGGCCAAGATGGCGACAAGAGTGACCTCTGGGCATACTCACTGCTACACTCCCACCAGCTCCATGACAGTTCACAAATGCCATCACAATGTCAGGAAGTTACCCTACATGGTCTAAAAAGGGGAGGCATGAATAAGCCACCCCTTGTTTAACGTGTGATCAATAAATAACCATAAAAATGGACAACCTGCAGCCCTCCAGGGTGCTCTGCCTGTGGAGATCCAAGAACCCTCTCTTGGGGTCTGGATCAGGACCTTTTTCTGGTAACAATAGCTTACTGCAGCCTCCACCTTCCAGGCTCAAATGATCCTCCCACTGTCAGAGGCATTAGAAACAGAGCAACTCCATCTTAAATAGGAGCTGGGTAAAATGAGGATGAAACCTACTGGGCTGCATTCCCAGACGGTTAAGGCATTCTAAGTCACAGGATGAGTTAGGAGATCAGCACAAGATACAGGTCATAAAGACCCTGCTGATAAAACAGTTTGCAGTAAAGAAGCTGGCCAAAACCCACCAAAACCAAGATGGTGATGAGAAAGATCTCTGGTCACCCTCACTGCTACACTCCCACCAGTGCCACGACAGTTTACAAATGCCATGGCAATGTTACCTTATATGGTCTAAAAAGGGGAGGCATGAATAATTCACCCCTCATTTATCATATCATCAAGAAATAACCATAAAAACGGGCACCCAGCAGCCCTCGGGGCTGCTCTGTCTATGGAGTAGCCATTCTTTTAGTCCTTTACTTTCCTAATAAACTTGCTTTTGCTTTGCACTGTGGACTTGCCCTGGATTCTTTTTTGCATGAGATCCAAGAACCCTCTCTTAGGGTCTGGATTGGGACCCCTTTCATGTAACACCACCACAGCCTCTCAAGTAGCTGGGACCACAGGCATGTGCCACCACATCTGGCTAATTTTTAATTTTTTTGTAGAAATAAGGTCTATGTTGCTCAGGTTTGTCTCTAGCTCCTGGGCTCAAGTGATCCTCCTGCCTCAGTCTCCCATAGGGCTGGGATTACAGGTAAGCTACTGCACCTGGCCAAATTTTATTGATTTTTTTTAAAACACTGGCTTCTAAAATGCCTTGTGATGGGATGCTATCATCTTTTAGTTTGCAGCCAATGCTCTAGAAGTCATGGAGGAAACTCTGCCGTTGGGTTAGCCAGTTTCAAGTTTAGATTCTATTTTCCCAGCCTACCCTCTTTTTCTCCATTTAAAACCGCTGAGCTATTGCTAGGCCGTTGTAGAGCAGTGATTCAGAGCTCTGGAGTCAGATAAAACCAGTGTCTACTTTCATATTTTACTAGCTGTGTGACTTTGGGCAAGCTGTTTGACCTCTCTGAGACTTAGTTTCTTCACCTAGAAAAGGAAGATAATAATAGTGTTGCCTTTTAGGATGGTTGTGAGAGGGAAATGAGGTAATACATGTAAAAAAATTAGAATGAGGGTTGAGACCTACAGATATCAACTGTTATTATTGGAGTTAGACAACAGTGACTTCAAGTCATTCTACAGGAAAGAATCCAGACTAATCACAATAAATGTTCTTTTGAAATGTCTCTAAATTATAGGCTCCAAGAGAGTTACAAGGTGTCAACCTCCCATTATCTCTTCTAAGCTCTGTCCAGTGGGTGCTGTACACAACCATCGCTAGACAAATGAAAAATGCTTTGATGACACAGAAGAGCAGCCTACTGCCTCCCAAATCCAGGGCTCTCAGATAAAAGCTGGAATGAGAATACAACTTAGATCCAAGCCCAGATTGGGACCCCTTTCTCCCTAAATTCCTAACTAGAAGGGAGCTAGTTTGTTAGTGAAAGGTTGGTGGGACCTACCACCACAAGAAAACACAAACAGGGCCAGGCGCGGCGGCTCACACTTGTAATCCCAGCACTTTGGGAGGCTGAGGTGGGCGGATCACAAGGTCAGGAGTTCCAGACCAGCCTGACCAACATGGTGAAACCCCGTCTCGATTAAACCTACACAAATTAGCTGGGCGTGGTGGTGAGTGCCTGTAGTCCCAGCTACTTGGGAGGCTGAGGCAGGAGAATCGTTTGAACCCAGGAGGTGGAGGTTGCAGTGAGCCGAGATCGTGCCACTGCACTTCAGCCTGGGCAACAGGGCGACACTGCATCTCAAAAAATAAAAATAAAATAATAATAATAATAAAAAGAAAACACAAACAGAAGTTCTGACTAGTGGGGAGGGGTGCTTTCTGCATGCAAGTAGAAGAGAAATGGACCTGCAGTGCTGGAATGCAGATAATGAAAATACAAGTAAGAGGGAAAGAGGCAGTGAGGATGTGCCATGCATTAGCAGAAGCTGTTAACATGATAATCTGCTATCCTGACTAAACAGGCTCTCCCCTATCACAGGAGGAGCAAGAAACGAAACAGAGTCAGAAGCTCTCTACCCAGAATCTCCTTGCAAAGAGTGAAGGCGAAAAGGGGAAATAATGCTCTCTCTAAAAAACCTTTTCATTCAGAGCAGTTTTGTGACCTTGGAAAGCCAAACTTAAATTAACATAGTGTTGCTAAGTAGAGACTTTCTGCTGGGTCTTCTATAATGAGTAAATACCATTCATTTGTACTTAGCAGCACGCAGCTGCATAAGGGCAATTAATATGCTAACTCAAGTTAAAACAGTAGGTCCTCTTAAGAAGGCAAAACATCAAGGCTTTCATGGGTTTCTTGTATTTGCTTATGTGATTCTGAAATAGCAGAAGCTTTTTCTTTGGCTCTTTTGTTTGTTATCTTAGAAATGTTGGTGTGTGAAATTTCTTTCTTTTTTTTTTTTTTTTTTTAATATTTTTTGAGACGGAGTCTTGCTCTGTCCCCCAGGCTGGAGTGCAGTGGTGCGATCTCAGCTCACTGCAACCTCTGCCTCCCGGGTTCAAGTGATTCTCATGCCTCAGCCTCCCGAGTAGCTGGGATTGCAGGCGCCTGCCAGCATACCTGGCTAATTTTTGTATTTTGGGTAGAGACAGGGTTTTGCCATGATGGCCAGGCTGGTCTCGAACTCCTGACCTCAAGTGATCTGCCCACCTCCGCCTCACCAAAGTGCTGGGATTACAGGCGTGGGCGGTGTCTGGAATTTCAAGGGGCTTTGCCAGGGAGTGTAATGCCACAGGTGACCCCAGCGAACATCTTCCCTTCTGCACTCACGTTGGGGTTTTCTTATCCACCCCAGAAGTGTTAATGGCTCATGTAATCGGAAGATTCAGGAAAAGAATTTATCTGACTGTAAATTTTGCTCTTGTTTCATTAACCATTTGTAATTTGTCCTTTTTTTTTTTTTTTTTTTTTTTTTTTCAGAAATGGCTCTAGTAATCTATTATGTGGGAAAGCTCTGATTCCCAAAAGTCCTTTAAAGCTTTCAATCAGACTGGGAGGAACTGGTCTTTCCCAGGGCTGCAGATGGAGGCTAACTGGGAGTTAGCTTTGCCATCCTTCCAAGGTGGACAGAGTAGGACCATCCGTGGGGCAGAGTGGGACAATTCTTGCCAGCTCCAAATGTCATCAGCTGATGGACAATTAATTAGTTGCCAAAACTAGCACTCTTAAGTCCTATGTCAATGATTTTAGGGGACGATTTGTTTTTGTTTTTGAGACAGAATCTCGCTTTGTCGCCCAGGCTGGAGCGCAGTGGCGCGATCTTGGCGCACTGCAACCTACACCTCCTCGGTTCAAGTGATTCTCATGCCTCAGTCCCCCAAGGAGCTGGGATTACAGGCATACACCACTACACCCAGCTGATTTTTTTGTGTGTTTTTAGTAGAGATGGGCTTTCTCCATGTTGGCCAGGCTGGTCTGGAACTCTTGGCCTCATGTGATCCACCTGCTTGGCCTCCCAAAGTGCTGAGATTACAGGCGTGAGCCACTGCACCCAGCCTTAGGGGACCATTTCTTCAAAAGAATGCAATTTCAGATGCATGAGCATCTCAAAGAACACATGCCTTGCATATGTCAGGAAGAGCCGATCATCTTATTTTCTCCTCTCATTTGCTAGGCCATTTTTTTCTTTATGACATGCAGATAAACTTCAGTTTTGGCCAAAATATCATGAGTTCTGAATTCCCATAAAAGCATCCAAATCAATGTACTGCTATGGCACAGCCCCGATGTGACCCCTGAGGTGATGGGAGGAATCTTGTCACTACGGGAGGTCTTTGGGTTTTGCAGCTTGATGTCAGGCAAGAACAAATGCTGTGGAGACTCAGATTTGAGCTCCAGTCCCTCCTCTGCTTCTTAAGAGTTATGTTCACTTGGGTGACAAATTTTGCTCCCTGAGCCTCAGTTTCCTTGATGAAGACAACACCAAAGCTGCCCCATGTGAAGATACATCAGCTTCAAAGACCTTTCTGTCCTAAGCTACATTACTTTCCAAATGCCTATAGTCCCAACTCTGACAACATGACAGCTCGATAGCCTTGCTGAGAAGCCCGGGGAATCCCATGTCTGCTTCCCAGCCCAGCACATCCATCCCCAGTGAAGGAAGCCAGCATATGGTGTTCTTTTAATTAAGCCCCACATCAGTGCCGAGCTCTCGCAAAGACAGAGTGTAGGAGGAGTCTCTGAAGTATGAGGCAGGTTGACAAGATGGGGGTCATGATGGATCTTTCCACACCAGACCCAATTTGCTTCTAACCACTTGGCACGCAGCTAGCATCAATAAAGGCTAACAGGGATCCCCATGATGCATTTGCTTTCTCTGCAAACCAGAACCAACTTTTCACTCAAGGGAAGTCGATTCCTAAGGATGCCTGAGACATTAATCTGCACAACAGGAATTGCAACCTTAAATGTTTACAGGGACCATATAAGAAACATAAGTGAGTGAAGCATGCCAGGATGGGAGGTAATAGGGAATAGAGGGGACTGCAGCAAAACGGAAAGCAAATGCCTAAGAAGATGGCTGATACCGAGGTCCGGGCACCTATTGCTCTGGGGGAATTGGGAGTCAGTGCAGCCCAGTGACATGGTTTGGCTGTGCCCAACTCAAATCTCATCTTGAATTGTAGCTTTCGTAATTCCCACATGTTGCGGGAGGGACCCAGTGGGAGATAATTGAATCGTGGGGCTGGTTTCTGCCATACTGTTCTCGTGGTAGTGAATAAGTCTCGTGAGATCTGATGATTTCATAAGGGGTTTCCCCTTTCACTTGGCTCTCTCATTCTCTCTTGCCTGCAGCCATGTAAGACATGCCTTTCACCTTCTACCATGATTGTGAGGCCTCCCCAGCCACGTGGAACCGTGAGTCCATTAAACCTCTTTTTGTTTATAAATTACCCAGTCTCGGGTATGTCTTTATCAACAGTGTGAAGACAGACTAATAGACCCAGTTTTCTGATATGTTAGGAAAGCAGGCTTATTCTTTTGCTTAGAGTAAATGTCAAAGTCCTGACAACAGCTTATAAGAGCCTTCATGGTCTGTTCCTGCCCCCAGCCCCAACTTCTAGTAGCTCTACGACCACATTTTCTACCACTCCCTCTCCACTTGCTGTGCTCCAGCCACTCTGGCATTGACGCTGAAGGATCATTTACAGTCCCATCTCAGGGCCTTTGCAAGAACTGTTCCTTCTGCCTGGCAAGACCGTGCCCTAGACAGCCTCATGGCCCATCCTTTCACCACCTTCTAATCTTCCCCCTAATCTCCACCTTCTCAAGGAGACCCAATCTAACTACTTTCCCCACACCCTAGCCCTCCAGAGCCCCCTTCTCTACTACAACTTTTATGCCCCATGTCATCTCTAGTGTGTACCTGTCTCCAGATGTGTGAGCCATATACTTAGGGAAAACACTGAGAATGCATGTGCTTGGCACCCTGATAAGAGGCGTTTCTTTCTTTTTGTTCTTTACTTTCCCTCCTCCTTCTTCTTGTCTTTTCTTTATTCCTCTTTCATCTTCTTTGTCTTGGGTTTCATCCCCTTCGTCGCCTCCCTTATCCCTTGTCTTCCTCAAATTTCACAGGATCTTTTATAACAAAAGCCTGAACCTTCCTTTCCATCCCTTCCTGGGGTCTCAGCCCCTCCCTTCCTGTTCCTCTGCCCACATTACACCCCATCCCCAGAGCATCGATCTGAGCAGGCTCTCTCCTGCTCCAAGACCCCAGTGACTCCCAGCTTGCTAGTAGCTCAGTCTAATGGTCTCAGCCTAGTGCTTGTGCCTCTCTTACCAACCTTCTCTTCCAGGACTCTCCCCACTGGCCAGTGAAGCTGGGCAGCACCCTGTCTGCTTACTAAGCCCACGAGGTATTCCATCTTCATCCGTTTATTCATGGTTTCATCCGCCTGAATGCTCGTCCTCCTCCTTCCCCTTTTGTCCAAATCCTCCCTGTCCTTCAAGGCCCCACAGGTAGTATTGGATCTGGGAAGCCTTCCCTGGGTCCCTTTGTAAACTACTGTTAGCACTTTATTTGGACACCCTTATGGCCTTACCACATTCTGTCCTATGTGGATGGAGGACAGGAGCCAAGGGAGGCTCTGTGGCTACATGCCTTTTTTCCATTTCTGCCTCTGCTACTTGCTAACTGTAATCCTGAGCAAATTACTAAAGTTTTGAATCTCACTTTTGTCATTTGTGGAATGGGGATAATAATTGCACCTACTTCATAAGGTGGTGGTGCCAATGAAGTAAATTAACGCACAATGACTATTATGTTATGACAATTATGTGCATGCGTCTAGTCCTTCCGACTGTTCTTTCTGTACGGGATCCTGATCCAATTCATCTCCATGAGATGTGTGCCCAGCCCAGCACCAGGCACATCATAGGTACTTAGAACATGTTTGCTGAAGGAGCAGGCAGATAAAATGCATGTTTGCCTTCCAGACAGAGTCTTAGTACTTAAGGGAACTTGGACTCCATAGATATATAATTGCCCGATGGGTTCCTTCTGCTCACTGCACAAACAAAATCAATTCGCTGAAACTGTGCCATTGTAGCAGAGAGAGAGTTTTATTAACACAAGGCCAGCCACATGGATGGAAGATGGAGTTATTACTCAAATCAGTCCCTTTGAAGGCTTGGAGGTTAGAGTTTTTATGGACAGTTTGGTGGGCAGGGTGCTAGGGAATGGCACCTATGATTGGTTGGGGATGAAATCATAGGGGTGTGGAAAATGGTCCTCATATGCTGAGTCTGCCTCTGGGTGGGACTACGGACCAGTTGAGTCATGAATCTGGATGGGATCAGTCTGAAAAACACCTTAAAAAACCAGTCGTAGGTTCTACAATAGTGATGTTATCCCTAGGAGAAACTGAGAAAGTCACACATTTTGTGGCCTCGGGATTATAGAAACCATGCCTACGTTTTAGCAGACCTCATGGTCCTCTCATGATCCTAATCTTGTGGCCTTTCATTAGTCTTACAAAGACAGTTTCAGCCCCAGAAAAAAGAGAGGATTAGTTTTGTGGGGGGAACTATTATCATCCTTGCTTCAAAGTTAAACTATAAACTAAATTCCTTCCAAAGTTGGCTTGGCCTATGCCCAGGAATGACCAAGGATGGTTTGGCGGTTAGAAGCAAGATGGAGTCAACTACGTCAGATATCTCTTACTGTCATAATTTTGCAAAGGTGATTTCAGATTGACCCTGGAAGTCATTCTCTTAATTCGTTTATTTGTTTGTTTGTTTTGAGAAGGAGTCTCGCTCTGTCACCCAGGCTGGAATGCATTGGCACAATCTCAGCTCACTGCAACCTCTGCCTCCCAAGTTCAAGCGATTATCCTGCCTCAGCCTCCTGAATAGCTAGCATTACAGGTGCACGCCACCATACCCAGATAATTTTTGTATTTTTAGTAGAGACGGGGTTTCACCATGTTGGCCAGGTTGGTCTCGAACTCCTGACTTCAGGTGATCCACCTGCCTCGGCCTCCCAAAGTGCTGGGATTATAGGCGTGAGCCACCATGCCTGGCGGAAGTCATTCTCTCGAGCTGTGAGATCGAACAGTCATTGAGAGTGTGAGCTCTAGAGCCAGATGTTCATGGTCCAAATGCAGGTTCTGCCACTTCCCAACTCTGTGCCCTGAGTGCAGGGGCTTCTTGTGTCTCAGTTTCTACATCTGTAAATGGGTGTGTTAAAATACCTATCTCATAGGGCTCTTGTGAGGATTATAAGAGTTAGTTCTTGCAAAGGCCTCTCAGACAATGCTTGACAATCTAGTGAGTAGTCAGAAAATATGAAAATATGACCCATGATTGTCTGTTTCTCTTGTGTATAAAATAAATGTGTCGAGCTCAGGGCTTCACACCCCATCTCCCATCCTTCCTATACACACACACACACACACACACACACACACTCCAGAATGGGAAACCCAAGGAGGGAGCATGAGACTCCAACCCCTTTGGCAGTGGTAAAGGTAGATATGACAGCTAATTACCTCCTGCCATTATGGATTCTGCCTCAGCTGCCTGGCTCAGAGATTCTTTTCACAAGATGACGGAGGTGTTGCGAGGACATCCGGGCATTACTATTCAGATGGTACAGTGGACTAGTAAATCATTGTACTGGCCCTGAAAAGCCTCTTCTCAAGTGGTACTTTTCCAGGAATCTCAGTGACTCATATTTCTCCATGATGCCAGCTGGATGATGGAGCTACGGGTATCCCCCCCTTCCCCCAGGCCAAGGGTGTGGGGCAGGAGTTTGCAGTCCATTCATCCAGGGCTCCAAATCTTTCTTTGTCTCAGCTGGCTAAGGGAGCAATTTATATCTCTGAGGATGTCTGCCTAAAGCAAGAGCCAGCCTACTCTCTCTCCCTGGTTGTTTGGAGATAAATAAATAATAAGGAGAGAGTTGTCACACAGCAGACAAACTGAAGCCAACTTCATGGAGCCTGGTGGGAAGGAGAGAATGATAAACCCAGGAGTGAGAACTGGCTGGGAAAATCTGCATCCTAAGGAAAATACTTGTGGATTTCATGTGAATTGAAGCTGTCAGCTTTCACTTTGAGTTCCCAAGCCTGGGCGATAGGAAGGGAAGATGAATCCTTATGTATGCTTCCCTGGGTGGCACGTTTCATCCTTCATCTCATTTGATTCTCACAGCATAAGTTAGAGGACACTGTCAACATTTAAGAAAGCAGAAATGGAAGCTCAGAGAGGTTAAGTGACTTGCCCAGGGTCACACAGCTAATAAACAGCAGACTTGGCATTTGAATTCAAACCTACGTTTTGAAACAATTTTATGCTGCCAGAGGAGCCAAAGAAAAGAAGGAGTTGCCACATCTAGATCCAGAAAACTAGGATATGTTGATGCTTCCTCCACTACTGGTGCCACCATCTGACTTCTATTGAGTATTTTTTTTATGTGCACCACACACAGAGCACTTCGCATACATCATTTCATTTCATCCTCCCATCACTCCTATGAAGTGGACATTAGTATGCCCATTGTACATCTGAAGAAACAGAAGCCCAAAATGGTGAGGCAACAAAGCCCAATTCTGTCTGGATTCTTTTTATTGTGTCATACCCACTGCTTTTCCCCCTGCTGGTTGGAAGCTTTTGGGGAATGTAATATCATCTCTGCTGTAGTAGGATGGAAGGCTGCTTAGCGCAGGGCCAGGAAGAGCCCTGGAGTAGCCTACAGAGAAGTGGTTTTCCACATTGTTTCATGTCTTGCTTCATGGAAGTTTAGGGGTCCATAGAGGTGTCTTTGGAAACAAGCAGAGAATGACAGGGGTACGGCAGAGCACTGAAGTCCTGAGTCAAAGCAGCCAAAGCTGCCTCTCCCTCATCTGTTACACAAACTGGGTTTCGACACCCCATCGCAATTGGGAAAAGCATTCTATAGAATTGCATCATTGCAGGATGGAGACAGACAGCCCTGGTTCAAATCCCTGCTCTGCATTTACTAGCGTGAGCAAGTGACCTTGGGCAAGGCACTTAATCTTTTTGTGCCTCAGTTTTATCGACTGTGTATTAATCAGGGTTCTCCATAGAAATGGAACCAATAGGATCTATATCTATATAAACAGACAGAGATTTATTGTGAAAGATTGGCTCACGTGATTATGGAAACTGAAGATTCCACAATCTGCCATCTGCAAGCTGGAGACGTAAGAAAGCCAGTGATATAGTTTCAGTCCCAGCTTGAAGGCCAATGGTATAAGCCCCAGTCTGAGTCCCAAAATCCAATAAGGAAGAGCTCTGTTGTCTGAGGGCAGGAAAAGATAGATGTCCCAGCTCAAGAAGAGAGCAAATTCACACTCCCTCCTTCTTTTTATTCTATTAGACTGTAAATAGATTGGATGATACCCACCCACTTTGGGGAAAGCTGTCTTCTTTACTCAGTCCATTGATCCAAATGCTAATCTCTACTGGAAACACCCTCACAGACGCTTCCAGAAGTAATGTTTTACCAGCTATCTGGGCACCTCTTAGTCCTGTCAGGTTGACACATCAATTTAACCATCACAAACTGTAAGATAGGGAAGACAATAAAAGAGCCTACTTATTGACTTCTTTTGAGAATTCAATGTCATGTCCATGTAAGTGTTCAGCCTGGAACATAGAAATTGTCAATAAATGTTAGTTCCTCTCCTCCCCTGTAATTTGCTTTACTTAATTCAAAATGTTGCTTGGGAAAAACACTCATTTTCCAAGAAGGATGGAAAAGGTTATGAATTATTTATTCATCCATCCTATCAACCAGCCAGTTGGCTTAACTATTGTTTGAGTACCTACTGTGTGCCTGGTACTGTGCCAGGGGATTGAGTTGTAGAAGTGAGGTCAGGGTGGAGTGCAGAATGTTCTATGCTATCTATTAATGCATCTATCCATTTATCCATTTATTTATCCATCCATCCATCCATCCATCCAAAAGATATTACATGCCAGGCAATGTGCAGTGACACAGAATATTTCACATTATCCTAGGCTTGCTTTTAATTCTGCCTCCTTTCCCATGGTAGTTGGTCTTAGAAGTCTTAGAGGTCTTCTATACTAGTTGGTGCTAGTATTTTACATGTCCTCCTGAAGAGCAGGGCAGGTCCAAACATGCAGTGGACGGATTGCCAATAGACAGGGTGAGGTATCGGCTACCTTAGTGGTTATGGATGTGGACCTCCATGATATATCATTTTGTTTTACGTTCTGTTGTGCTGCTTTAATCTTGTTCTAAATGCCCTTCTAAATATACTAATAGTAAAAAAAGAATGTATCCTAAACACAGAACACAGGGCATTCCCAATGAATGGAGACATATGAAGACTGGGATGTGATCCCCACCACATTGCAGAGTGGAATTATAGGTTTTGCAGGGTCTCTCTCTCTCTCTCTCTTCCTCTCTTTCCATGTGTATTTGCATATATGTGTGTGTGTGTGTGTGTGTGTGTGTGTGTTAGAGGCACCATCACATTGGTGTATGTGTATGCTTATGAATCAGTGTATAAATGGACATACAAATGTGCAAAGGACTGTAGTGTGTGTATATTTGAATGTGTGTGAGTGCATATACATGAGTGTGGGTCTCATGTGCATGGATTGCTATGTACGTGTGTGTTTCTATTTGAGCATGTGTGTTTATGTGTGGGTATGGGTCCTTGAGCAGCTGCATACTCTTTTACATACAAGAGTATGTAAAAAAGACCACTCGTTGTCTCCCACATCCATCATTTTATCCTTCTATAGCAAGAAACTTTTTCTTAGATACATGGCTTCTTGGAATAAAGGTTACTTTCTGGTATCCCTTGCAGTGAGGTATGGCCATGTGAATACGTTCTGCTCCGTGGGTGTGAGCAGAAGTGATTTGAGCAACTTCAGGGTCATGTCTTTAAAGGGCAGGGATATGCTGTCCACATTTCTTCCTTTTCCCCCACTCCCACTGCGGGGAATGCCGGCATGAGAATGGGCTGTCTTGGACCAGAGGGTCAAGGACTATACCCTGTGTGTGGAAGAACAACAAGATGGAAAGGTCCTGGGCCACAAGCACTCTGGAGCCTCCTTACTAACCCTGAATGGCTTATTACAGATTGTTTCATGAGATAATAATACACTTCTTATTTAAAACACCTTCTTCTGGTTCTCAGTGATAGGAGCTACAGCAGCTGTACTAAGTTATATCTTAATACAATATGTGTACATGTGCATAGTTCTGATAAAGTTAATTTCCTCCTTGTAGAGTTTCAACATCTCAACTTAGATATCTGATTGTTATACAGCTAGAAGTACTCTGCCTGGAATCTTTTTTTTTTTTTTTAATGATAATCTTGATGGTTCTTTTTTTTTATTATTATACTTTAAGTTTTAGGGTACATGTGCACATTGTGCAGGTTAGTTACATATGTATACATGTGCCGTGCTGGTGTGCTGCACCCACTAACTCGTCATCTAGCATTAGGTATATCTCCCAATGCTATCCCTCCCCCCTCCCCCCACCCCACAACAGTCCCCAGAGTGTGATAGTCCCCTTCCTGTGTCCATGTGATCTCATTGTTCAGTTCCCGCCTATGAGTGAGAATATGCGGTGTTTGGTTTTTTGTTCTTGCGATAGTTTACTGAGAATGATGATTACCATTCAGGACATAGGCATGGGCAAGGACTTCACGTCCAAAACACCAAAAGCAATGGCAACAAAAGACAAAATTGACAAATGGGATCTAATTAAAATAAAGAGCTTCTGCACAGCAAAAGAAACTACCATCAGAGTGAACAGGCAACCTACAAAATGGGAGAAAATTTTCGCAACCTACTCATCTGACAAAGGGCTAATATCCAGAATCTACAATGAACTCAAACAAATTTACAAGAAAAAAACAAACAACCCCATCAAAAAGTGGGCGAAGGACATGAACAGACACTTCTCAAAAGAAGACATTTATGCAGCCAAAAAACACATGAAAAAATGCTCATCATCACTGGCCATCAGAGAAATGCAAATCAAAACCACTATGAGATACCATCTCACACCAGTTAGAATGGCAATCATTAAAAAGTCAGGAAACAACAGGTGCTGGAGAGGATGTGGAGAAACAGGAACACTTTTACACTGTTGGTGGGACTGTAAACTAGTTCAACCATTGTGGAAGTCAGTGTGGCGATTCCTCAGGGATCTAGAACTAGAAATACCATTTGACCCAGCCATCCCATTACTGGGTATATACCCAAATGACTATAAATCATGCTGCTATAAAGACACATGCACACGTATGTTTATTGCGGCATTATTCACAATAGCAAAGACTTGGAACCAACCCAAATGTCCAACAATGATAGACTGGATTAAGAAAATGTGGCACATATACACCATGGAATACTATGCAGCCATAAAAAATGATGAGTTCACGTCCTTTGTAGGGACATGGATGAAATTGCCTGGAATCTTACAAACTGTGACTTCTTTGGAAAGGGAAAGATCTGAGGTTGCAGTGTTGAGGACAGGGCTACAGGAACATTTGAGATGCTCAGGCGAGTAAAAAGGGGTTGTCTTCTAGTTAGAGGTCTGACTATTGCCTCATGTCCTTGAGCAAGCCCTCCCTACCTCTCATCCAGACTTTGACTTCTTCACAATAAAATAAGGGAGGTGGGCTATATTATCCCTAAGGACCTTTCTTAGTTCAGAGGTTTCAGGATGGTGGCTTCTGCATTAGTAGGGATTCTCTTGGCCTCTAGCTCCTGGAATTTCTGAGCATATTCCTAAGAAGATGTATCTACCTGGAAAGCAGGGGTCCTAATGCTTCAGGTTGGAGGCTATGGGAAAGAAGTCCTGCAGCCAGCTGGATGCATAGAGGCCCAGGGGCCTTTGGCCTCAGATGCCCTGAATACATTTTTGAAGACTTGCAGGTGCATAGCTGCCTTAGCCAAAGATTATTTGTGAAACAGACATGACTTTGCTCCACAGTGCCAGGATGCAGAAAGCTTTACATTTCTTCATTTATCTAAATCAAATTAAATCTGGCTCTGAGCCCCCACCCACATGACTGATGAGAGGTGCAGAATCTGTCATCAGTGGGCTGTTTCTCCCACCCCATGGGATTGTACCAAATCCTGAAGGTTATTTTGGTTCCAGGAGGGGTTTTGTCCTCAGCTGTTTGTTTTAGAGATACTCCCTACAGTGGCCGAGCTGAGTGAGCTGTGGCTTAGATTCAGAGACCTTTGTAGAGCCTGTAGGTCATGGTTTTTGGTGATCAACCCTAGGATCCAAGCATTACCCTATCAGAGGTTTACTTCCTTCAGGGCACTGCAAGGGAGAAGAACACAGGTCTCCAGCACTCACAGAATCTGTCTCCCTCCACCCTCTCAGCCCTAAGAACTCCAGTTCTTTCCCAGGGTGGCACAATTTCTTCCTCCACTCACAGTGCCAACCCTTCCCTCCTCTCTCCTCTGTAGCAACTTCAGCTTAATTCCATAGTCAGTCTCACCTGCCGACTGTAGACCTGGCTTTGATCAGAAGAGCTCCTGCAATTCAAAGATGCTATGACATCTTACTCTTCCCTAAAAACTAGTCTAGGCCTTCGATTGGCACTGTCCCAGAGATATATATAACTTGGGCCACATAAATTAAAAAATTTCTAGTAGTCATTTTTAAAAAGTAGATAAAATTTATATTAATAATATATTTTCTTTAACCTACTATATTCAAGATATAACCATTTTAACATGCAATCAGTATAACATTATTAGGAGATATTTTACATCAATTTTTAGTGTTAAGTCACTGAAATCCAGTGTGTATTTTGCACTTAAGCCACATTTCTATTTGAATGGATCACATATCAAGCACTCAACAGCCACATGTGGCTAGTGGCTACCATATTGGAAGTGTGATCTCAGAACAATAAAACAGAAACAAAAATTTAACTCTTCTTCCAGCAGGTGAGGAGAAACAGAACATTACTTTCTCATCTTTCCTTCCCCTAGCTGAGAAACAAGACAGAAATTAATATCTCAATAGATTATCCTGACATACTGCGTTACAGAGAAGAGAAGTCACTCAAAATAGCTTAAGCAAATCAGGAACTGTTTTAGAAGGACACATGGGGCCGTCATGGAATCCTGGAATGGGAAATACGGTCTTTCAGGAACAGGAAAGTCAGTGGCATCAGAGGCAGATTCCTTCTATTTGAGTCTCTGTTCCTTTCTCTGGGGGTATAACTTTCTTGGATTTTCTCAGGCCAGAGAATGTCTCTTTTCTTTCTCTCCGTATAGGGCTTTACCCTTCTCTCTTAGATGGGCTTTCTCCATTTTCCACCTTGGAGGGCTGGTGGAGTGACTGCTCCAAGCATGGTCCCCTGGCTCTGAATTTACATACTGTACAAGTCCGATAACTCAGTGAGTCCAATTCCAGATTACTGAGAGAAATAATTTAATTGGCTCATCTCACCAATGATTTGGCTTCCCCTGGTCAGGGTTTTTTTTCTTATCCAGGCTCCTGTGTCTGGGGAGGTGAGTGAGTGGAGTCCCTTACAATGCAAAGAGCTGCAGCATCTCAACCTATGGATGAGGAGGCAGTTCTTACAGAACAGGGATATGGGCTATTGAGTCCCCACAAAGAATCCACTTCAATCATGAGTGAAGAGTTGGAACACTCAATGTTTATGGCTGCCATTTTTCTACCCAACAAAAGTCCAGCAGGAACAAAATGGACTCCAGACTCTTGTGTTGGACAAAAAAATGGTGACTTGAGTACTCCCATGTTCATATTATAGCAGCATTATTTTCAATAGCTAAGAGATGGAAGCCATCCAAGTGTCCATCAACTGATGAATGGCTAAACAAAAAGTGATCAATACATACAATGGAGTATTACTCAGCCTTAAAAAGTAAGGGGATTCTTTCTTTCTTTTTTCTTTTGTTGATACAGGGTCTCACTACGTTGCCCTGGCTGATCTCGAGCTCTGGGCCTCAAGTGATCCTCCCACCTGGGCCTCCCAAAGGGCTAGCTAGGATTATAGGATTAAGGGAATTCTGATACATGCTATAACGCAGATGAATCTTGAGGACATTATATGCCAAAGGAAACAAGCCAACCACAAAAGAATACATACTGGATGATTCCACTTACATGAGCAATCTAGGATATTCAAATTCATAGGGAAAGAAAGGAGAAAGGTGTTTTCCAGAGGCTGGGGGAAGGGATGAATGGGGAGTGATTGATTAATGAGCGTAGAGTTACAGCTGGACATGATGAAAATGTTCTGAGGGTGGATGGTGGTGATGGTTGTACAACAATATGAATGCGCTTGATGCCACTGAATCGTGCATTTAAAAATGGTTAAGATGGTAAGTTTTATGTTACACGTATTTTAGCACAGTTTTAAAAAATGTCAGCTGGACTCCTAGGTTTATTTGAATGAACTGGTCATTGGCTAAGGGAATTAGAAAAAAGCAGGTCTATTTATTTTGAGGATTTTTCACCACTCTCACAGAGAAAGAGATGTTCTTCAGTCACATCTGAGGTAATTAAATCTTTGCTCATGGTAAATTAGACACAGGTATTTTCTTTGCCTTTTTTTCCCCCCAGTTCTAAGGCTTCTTTTTGTGTTTGAGATGGACTTTCGCTCTTGTTGCCCAGGCTGGAGTGCAATGGCATGATCTCGGCTCCCTGCAACCTCCACCTCCTGGGTTCAAGCGATTCTCCTGCCTCAGCCTCCCAAGTAGCTGGGACTACAGGTGCATGCCACCATGCCTGGCTAATTATTTTCAGTAGAGACGGGGTTTCTCCATGTTGGTCAGGCTGGTCTCGAACTCCCAGCCTCAGGTGATCCGCTCGCCTCGGCCTCCCAAAGTGCTGGGATTATAGGTGTGAGTCACTGCGCCCGGCCCAAAGGCTTCTTTATAAGCAGACAGGAAGTCTTGTTGATAACATAATATTTTACATTCTAGGTTTAACCAAAACAAAACTGTGCTCTGAATAGGCACTCTTAGAAGGGAGAAAATATATTAAATTATAAATCTGTGGAATTTTTTTCTGCCTTAGGCTCACCTTACTTGCTCTCTTTTCTTGTATCTAGGTGATGGTAGAAAAGGAAGACTTGAGGAAGCCAGAAGGCTGAGCCCGTGTATGGAGAAAAGAGAAAACAGAAAGATTGCAGGGTGTTGATTTATGAGGGGACATTAGGGAGCACGGAATGAGGAGGGAGAGAGGCTGGGGAAAGGATTTTTGAGTTTTGCTATGCATTATGAAAGTCTGTTCCCCTTTGTTATTTTCAGCAGAAACTGCAGCAAAGATGTAAATTGCCTTTCCTTTACTATTTATTTGAATGTCATAAGGAGATGAGATAAGGCACAAGGTGACGAGGCTGTATGTGGCTCATGTCTGCACTTCCAAGATCTACAATACTGTCTGCCCGACAGTTTTAGCCGAGTCCGTTGAATGTGACAGAGGAGAGAATTCTAGGCACCGTCTTTAGGGTCTTGTCCTCATCAGCTCCTTTTTTCCCCATTGCACCACTCAGCACCTTGTAAAAGGCCCTTCTGAAGTGATCAACCATAAAAAGCAAAAGTGATCCCCTTCATGAGGGGAAATACTGCAGCAATTATCACTTTATGTCATTTTGGAGCTCTGCAAAAGAGCTGGAGCAAGGAAAGATAATGGCGGTGACAGAAATTATGTCGAGAATAGCTCTATATCACTTCATTTAGTGCAGGGGGGAAGTCAAAATGTTCATAAAAGTCCATTTGGTCTGAAAGCAAATAACTTAAGTCATTCAAACTCAGTCTTGTTGGACAGTAAAGCCGCTGGCACTATTTTGTAGAAAGGACTCTATAGAAAAATAAATTATATTTATTGAATTGAACTTCAAGTAATAACCCTACCACCTACTTTTTTTTTTTCTGGCCTTCCACATCCTATGAATTTTGATGAATTACAAAAAGTTCTATGGGAACATAATCACTTAAACAAAAAGCTATCCAGGTAATAATAACACAAGCACCTTTAAACCTGAGAAAAACTCATTTGCCTCATAGGCGTGATCATTATTTATTCTCTCACTGCTCTGATTGCTTTTCTCCAAATAAAGTTCAAAGTAACAGCTTTTTGTTTAAGGCTCCAGATGTTCCTTAAAACCTGCCATTCTTGGTCAGGTGCAGTGGCTCATGCTGGTAATCCCAGCACTTTGGGAGGCCAAGGCGGGCGGAGTTTGAGACCAGCCTGGGCAACATGGTGAGACCTCATCTCTACAAAAAAATTAGCCAGTCATGGTAAAACCCTGTCTCTACTAAAAATACAAAAATTAGCCAGTCATGGTAAAACCTTGTCTCTACTAAAAATACAAAAATTAACCAGGTATCGTGGCACAAGCCTGTAGTCCTAGCTACTTGGGAGGCTGAGGCAGGAGAATGGCTTCAACTCGGGAGGCAGAGGTTGCAGTGAGCCGAGATTGCACCACTGCACTCCACTGAACTCAAGCCTGGGCAACAGAGCGAGACTCCATCTAAAAAAAAAAAAAGAAAGAGAAAGAAAGAAAGAGAAAGAAAGAAAGAAAGAAAGAAAGAAAGAAAGAAAGAAAGAAAGAAAGAAAGAAGAAAGAAAGAAAGAAAGAAAGAAAGAAAGAAAGAAAGAAAGAAAGAAAGAAAGAAAGAAAGAAAAAGAACCTACCATTCTAGTCTACAAGGGACTACCCTAGCCCACCAGTGCAACTCTTGGATGTTGTGGGTTAGATTCCATTGACCTTTAAGCTCTGAATCTTGGCCTCTTATAGTCAAGCTTGCTGCTTCACTGGTCCAAGCCTATGCCTCCCTCATACAAAAAAGATGCAGGAGCTTGGCAGAGAAGCATCCTGGAACCATGCCAAACCATGAAACAACACATTCTTGGAATCCCATATAATTGCTTAAATCTTGCTCTCCTGATCTTGAGCTGTCTGCACTGCTTTTTCTGAAGAGTCAGCTCAGGTATCACTTCCTCCAAGGAGCTCTCTGTGATTTCACTCCCAGGCTAAGTTATCTTTTGCATCTTTCCCATAGGCTCTTTGTAGTGAGCATTTGTTGAAAATCTGGATTCTCAGGATCTTCGATCTCCCCATGTTTGGAGAATTCACTCATTCACTCATTTGTTTGACAATATTTACTGAGGGTCTGCTATGTTCCAAGCACTAAAGATGCAGTGGTGAAAAAACCAGACACAAATTCCTTCCCTCTGGAGCTTGAATTTGACAAAGAAGAGACAGACAAACACCCGAATAAATAGACATGTAGAATTTCACATGGCGATAAGAGTCATGGGAAAATATATCATGGGTAATAAAGATTCCAGGGGAGGGAAATATCAGAGTTTTAAATAGAGTGGTATCACTGAGAAGGTGACATTTCACCAAAGCCTGGAAGGAAGACTTCCTCTTTCCAAGTTTTTTTTTTTTTTTTTTTTTTTGGTGGCGGGTGATGCAGTCGGCCTCTACCTGTAGCAACTCAACAGGTTAGATGCTTACCATCCCAGCATGCCTTGCAGCTGGAGTGAGGATGAGTGACCTAGGATAATTGAATCCAAAGATTGCTTTAGTGCCTGGGAAGCTAAAAAAGCTGAGACAGTGGAGAAGCCATTCTGGCACAGCTGTGACAGCAACATGTGGGTTCCACGGGCATGGGGTCAGCAGTTCAGTGCAACTTAACATGTCTAGTGCTAGAGTAATGTTGTTAGACTCCAATAGCTGCTGTTCCCCAAATCTGGCTGTAGGGTCTTTACCACTGGTAGTTTTGAGACTGAGGTACTAGCTGCTGCTGCATCTCTCTTCTCCTGCTGTTTTATGAGCCTTCACCTTCAGGCTGTCTGGTGCTTCTGTGAGTTCCCTGTATCTTTCCTGTAAATTCATTTTTTGGGTCAAATAAGCTAAAATCGATTTTTGTTGCTTGCAACCAATAACCCTGACTAGCATACCCCCTTTCCATCCTGTGTTTGCCTCTGTCTATGCTTCTATGTCAATGTGTGATGATGCCTGATTTACTCATGTGTCTCTTGTTTATTGTGAGCTCTTGAAGGCAGGCACCACAAATTTATTACTCATCATCATGCCTCTAGTTTCTAGCCTTGTGCTCAGCATACACTGGGGCTCAGTGTGCTTTTGTTGAATTTGTGAATGAACAAGAAAAGGAAGGAATGCTAGCAAGACCCCAACTTTAAGAAAAAAAAATTAGCCAGTATGGTGGCACATTCCTGTAGTCCCAGCTGTGGTGAGAGGATCACTTGAGTCCAGGAATTTGAGGTTCCAGTGAGCTATAATTGTGCCACTCCAGCGCTGCAGTCCAGCCTTCCAGCCTGGGTGACAGAATGAGCCCTGTCTCAAAAAAAAAAAAAAAAAAAAAAAAAAAAAAAAAAAGTGCATAAATGAAACTTCTAAGTCCATGTTTGTTTGTTTTTTATTTTTGATTTTTTTTATGTCATCTTTACTTTCAGACAAAGTCTAGAGGCCACAGCCAACCTTGCCAAGGCAGCTCTGTCCCTCATGTCTAGTGCCCATTTCTAGTGGCACACACACAGATTGAATATGAGTGCTTTTCTATTGCTGGTGAAAGCAGCTTTCCATTAAGGCGCTGCTGCAGAGCTTATTGCTTTTAGAGAGCAGAAAACATATCAAAATGGGTCCTCAATCTCAGCTCAAAAAGGGAAACGGGAAACCTACCGAATGCAGAATGAAACCAGGACATTTGGATGCTTGATGATCTTGGGCACGTCATTACATGGGCCTCAGTTTCTTCTGTAAAATGGAGAGACTGAGATTGATCAAGTTTCTTAATCAGGGTATTATTGAAATTATGGGCTAGATAGTTCTTTGTTGTTGAAGGCAGTCCTGTGCATTGCAGAATGTTTAGAAGCATCCCTGCCTTCTAACCAGTAGATGCCAGTAGCAGTTCCCTAATTGTGACCAATAATGTCCCCAGATATTGCCAAATGCTCCCTGGGGTGTAAAATTGCCCCTTGGTGAGAACTACTGACTTGGATGATATTTAAGCTAGATTGCAAATTCTAGGGTTGGAGCAAGAATTGAGGCTTGTTCTTTGCCATATCTTCAGTATCTAGCAAACACTCAATATATGTTGAGTGAATGAGAAGACATACACAGTTCCTTCCAGCTAGGTAACTTCTTTAGCCCCAAGAAAACCATTCTGATGGTAAGGATACTCATTGTCCATGTGACCACTCCTACTTGGATAATGCTTATCATTCCTGCATTGAAATGAGCTAAAGCATTATTCAAAAATGGTTCTATCAGCCCTCTTTGGCAACGAAGAAGTGATTTTGTTTGTCAGGGCGGGTCCACTCAATCATGATAGCTATCTCAGACCATACCCCAAAAAGATTAACTCTGTATTTTGTGGATATGGCAAAAAGGGTTAGTTGAGAAGACTGAGTCCAAATTTTGGAATGAGGATTGTACATAGTTTATTTTTCAGTTAGCATAAGATTGTATATAATGGTTATGATTATTAATTTACAAATTCCTAAATTGTTCATTAGGTTTTCCTGTGTTTGGCTAAGACAGTGGTTCCTCTTCCAGTCAATCTAAGGCTTCTCTTATGTTTCAGATTCTACTTATCTGTTTCTTGGCATCCTACACTGTCTCATAAGAATTGCATTGACTATGTATATTAATTTAGAGTGTATTGCCCTCTTAACCATATTAAGTCTTTTGATCCAGGAACATGGGATGTCTTTCCACTTACTGAGGTCTTCTTTAATTTCCTCCAAAGAAATTATTGTTTTGCACTTCTTTTCTTAAATTTATCCCTCAATACTTTATTGATGCTGCTGTAAATGGAATTATTTTCTTAATTTTATTTTCAGATTATTGCTAGTGTTTCAAAATACAATAGGCTTTTGTATATTGAGCTCATATCCTGCAATCTTGCTGAACTTGTTTATTAGTTTTAATTTTTTTAATGGATTTCTTAAAATTTCCTATATCAAGATCATGTCATCTCCAAATAGAGATAGTATTACTCTTTTTTTTTTTTTCCAATGTGGACGCCTTTTATTTTGTATTTCTTACTTAATTGGCCTGGCTAGAATAACGTAGACAGAATAGAAGACATGAGAGTAGACATCCTTGTCCTGTTCATAATCTTAGGAGGAAAGCATTCAGTCTTTCAATATTAAGTATGAAGTCAGTTGTGACTTTTTGTAGATGCCCTTTATCAGGGTAAGGAAGTCCCCTTCCATTCCTAGTTTGTTTAAATGTATTTCTTTTGACTATTATTATTTTTCTTAGACAGGGTCTCACTCTGTCACCCAGGCTGGAGTGAAGTGGTGTGATCATAGCTCACTGTAACCTTGAACTCCTGGGTCCAAGGAATCCTCCCACCTCAATCTCCTGACTGGCTGAGACTGCAAGCGTGCCACCATGCCCAGCTAATTTATTTATTTATTTATTTATTTATTTATTTATTTATTTATTATGCTTTCAGAGATGGGGTCTTGCTATGTTGCCTAGGCTGGTTTCAAACTCCTGGCCTCAAGCAGTCCTGCCTCAGCCTTCCAAAGTGTTGGGGTGATCAGTGTGAGCCACTATGCCTGACCCTTAGATTGCTGAGTGCTTTTATTATACAGGGGTGATGAATTTTGTCAAATGCTTTTTCTGTATCTATTCAGTTGATCATGTCATTTTGTCCTTTGTTCTATTAATATGGTGTATTTACACTGAATTTCAGATGCTAAGCCAACCTTGCATTTCTGGAATAAATCCCTCTTCTTCTTTTTTTTTTTTTTTTTTTGAGAGGGAGTCTCGCTCTGTTGCCCAGGCTGGAGTGCAGTGGCACAATCTTGGTTCACTGCAAGCTCTGCCTCCCGGGTTCATGCCATTCTCCTGCCTCAGCCTCCCGAGTAGCTGGGACTACAGGCACCTGCCACCACGCCCAGATAATTTTTTGTATTTTTAGTAGAGATGGGGTTTCACCGTGTTAGCCAGGATGGTTTCAGTCTCCTGACCTCATGATCTGCCCGCCCTGGCCTCCCAAAGGGGATAAATCCTTCTTGGTCATTGCACATACTCCTTTTTATATATTTCTGGATTCGATTTGCTAGTGGTTTTTTTTTTTTTTTTTTTTTTAGGAGTTTTACATCTGTATTCTTAAAAGACATTAGTCTGTAGAATTTTTTGTGATGTCCTTTTTTGTATTAGGGTAACATTAGCTTCATAAAGTGAGTTAGGAATTGTTCCTTCCTCTTTTATTTTCTGCAAGTGTTTGTAAATAAATGGTATTAGTTATTCTTTAAATATTTGGTAGAATTCATCAGGATACCATCTGATTTTGAGCCTTTTTTGTAAGAAACTTTTTTGATTGCTAATTCAGTCTCTTTACTTGTTATAGGTCTATGCAGATTTTCTGTTTTTTTCTTGAGTCTAGTCTGTTTTTATAGATGTGGTTTTATTGGAATGCAGCCATACTCATTTATTTACTGATTTTTCATGGCTGCTTTCTTGTGACAATGGCAAAAAAGGAATAGTTGGGTCAGGGACTATATGGCATATAAAGTCTAAAATAGCTACTGTGTGGCCCTTTTCAGAAATATCTGGCTGACCCTTCTTGCAGAACATGAGGTTTTCCAGGAATGCATATGTTGCACAACAGCAAATATGGTTATATTTAATGAGCATCTTATAAGTTGAAACATGTGAAATTGCCATTTGTATAGGTCAAAGATGATAAAATATTGGCACTTACGTATGGTCAGCCTAATACAATTTACTGAGCATATGAAGGAATAAAATGGAGACCGTGTCCTGGAGGAACTTCTAGTGACACTCTCACACACTCCTAAAGTCAGTGAATGCTGTTATACAGGCATGAACCGAGTATTGCAGCAGGACAGAGCAGCGAGTGAGTAATTCTTACCAATATTGATGAAAGAAAGAGGCTGTATGCTGGAGAGGTCTTCAGAGACATGTCTGTGCTTCTAGCTGCTATGCATTTGAGCTGCATCTCATAGAACATGTCGAATTTTACCAGGTAAAGAGAGGCATTTTTCAGCTTTTTCCTTAAGGGGTGGTGTAGTGCGGACTGACATTGAGCCCTAACCCATGTCTCTTTTCTTCAAACAGCATTGCTGCAGACAATTCAGTATAGGAAAACAGTGGCCTAGAATTACAGGATATTAAAGCTCAAATGAGTCTGATTCCCTAATTTTTCAGGTGAAGCATGGAGGTAAACTGATTTGCCCAAGGTCACCCAGCAGTTGACTGATTATTCTATTTTACTGCTGGCCATCAACTCAAAGCTATTTCTATTAGATTACTTGGATGTGCAAGACAGCAGGTCAGAAAAATCTACTGGGGGCGCTGGAGGCAGACAGACCTGGGTTTGAGTCCTGATTCTGGCACTTCCTCACTGTTACCTGTTAGAGGGTTCATAAACTTTAATTGCCTTATATGTAGGCATCACAGTCTGAAACCTGTCTCTCTGGGTTCTATACCAGCACCACTACTTACTAGGTGTATGAGCTTGATCATGCTACTTAACCTCTCTGGGTCAGTAAATATGGGGATAATAATAGTACTTACCTCACAGAGCTATATGACGAAGTGAATTTAGGACTACAGAACATAAGACACAATAAATAGTGCCTGGGACATATAAAGTACTATATGTTAACATTATTATTATTATTATTATTATTATTATTATTATTTTTTGAGACAGAGTCTCGCTCTTTCGTCCAGGCCGGAGTGCAGTGGCGCTATCTCGGCTCACTGCAAGCTCCGCCTCCCAGGTTCATGCCATTCTCCTGCCTCAGCCTCCCGAGTAGCTGGGACTACAGGCACCTGCCACCGCGCCTGGCTAATTTTTTGTATTTTCAGTAGAGATGGGGTTTCACCGTGTTCGCCAGGATGGTCTCGATCTCCTGACCTTGTGATCCACCCACCTCGGCCTCCCAAAGTGCTGGGATTACAGGCGTGAGCCACTACGCCCAGCCAACATTATTATTTTTAAAAAGATGATAGGACTGTTATAAGGATGAGCTGGAGTCATTTAGTTAAAAGCATTTTCTAAGCTTATAAAACAATACAAGTATAATTTATTTATGTGAATTAAAAGAGTGGAAGCCCAGAGAATGAAGTTGATGAGTATTATTTCTTTAAAAAGAATTTTAAGAAATGTTTATATATTTGGGAGGTACAAGTGTAGATTTCTTACATGCCTGTATTGTGTTGTGGTGAAGTCTAGGCTTTTAGTACCCATCACCCCAATACTGAACATTATACCCGATAGGTCATTTTTCAGCCCTCATCCCCCTTTTGCCCTCTGATCTTTTTGGGTCAGCAGTGTCTATTATTGCACTCTGTATGCCCACATGTATCCATTGTTTAGCCCCTACTTATAAGTGAGAACATGCAGTATTAGTATTTGACTTTTAGTTTCTGAGTTATTTTACTCAGGATAATGGCCTCCAGTTCCATTCATGTTGCTGCTAAAGAGATGATTTCACTCTTTTTTATGGCTGAGTAGTATTCCATGGTGAGATATATATATATATATATATATATATATATATATACACACATATATATGTATATATAGATATACACACACACATACACACATAATATAAAATTTTATATATTTATATATTATTTATATATAATTATAAATTTTATATGAATAAAAGTATAAAATTTTATATATAATATGAAATATATAATGGTATATATACCCACCATATATACCATATAAATATGTGTATTATATTTATACATTATACCATAAAATATGTATTATATGAAATTACCATATTTTCTTTATTCACTCCTCTGTTGATGGACACTTAGGTTGATTCCATATCTTTGCTCTTATGAATAGTGCTGCAATAAACATATGAGTGCAGTATCTTTTTGATATAATGACGTTTTTTTCCTTTGGGAAAATGAGAAAAAATATTTGCGGGATTCTCTGGATTGAATGGCAGCTCTGTATATATAGTTCTTTGAGGAATATCCACACTGCTTTTCCATAAAGGTTTTACTAACTTACATTCCCACCAACAGCATATAAGTGTTCCTTTTTCTCTGCATCTTTGCCAGCATCTGTTGGTTTTGACTTTTTCATAATAGCCATTCTGACTGGTGTAAGACAGTATATCATTGGGATTTGTGCATTTTTCTGATGATTAGTGATGTTGAGCATTTTTAAAAAGACGTTTGTTTGTCTCTTGTATTTCTTCTTTTGAAAAATGTCTGTTCATGTCCTTTGCCCACTTTTTATTCGGGTTATTTTTTTCTCTCGTTGAGTTGTTTGAGTTCCTTGTAGATTCTGGATATTAGCCCTTTGTTGGATGCATAGTTTGCAAATATTTTTTTCCCATTCTGCAGGTTGTCTGTTTACTCTATTGATTGTTTCTTTTGCTGTGCAGAAGCTTTTCAGTTTAATTAAGTCCCATTCGTCTATTTTGTTTTTATTGCGTTTGCTTTTGAGGACTTGGTCATAAATTCTTTGCCTAGGCCAACGTCCAGAAGAGTTTTTCCTAGGTTTTCTTTCAGAATTTTTATAGTTTCAGGTCTTCTGTTTAGGTCTTTAATCCAACTTGAGTTAATTTTTGTATATGCTGAGATATATGGGTCCAGTTTCATTCTTCTGCATATGGCTATCCAATTTTCCCAGCACCACTTATTGAAGTGTGTCTTCCCCAGAGTATATTTTTGTTGACTTGGATTACTATCATTTCTTCAAGCCCTACTGCGTGGCAGGGACTTTACATACATCATTTAAGTGTCAGAATAACCTAGAAGATGTTATTATTTTTTGCTGACAAGAGAGGGAGCAAGGCAGAGGACAGTAGGGAAATTCACAACCCTGGGCCCAGGCTGTCTGCAACTGAATCCTCACTTGGTTGCTTACTGGCTATGTGAACACAGGTGAATAACATAAACCCCCATACCTCAGTTTCCTAGACTGTAAACAAAGATGTTAAAAACAGTAACATCTACTTGATAGGCTGTTCTGAGGATTAAAAAAAATAATTTTGTGAAGTGTTTAGGATGGTATATGACACATAGTAAAGGTTACATGAGCGTAAGTGAAAGAAAGAGAAAGAAACGAAGGAGGGAGGGAGGAAGGAAGGAAGGAAAGAAGGAAGAAAGAAAGAAAAAGAAAGAAAGAAAGAATGAAAGAAAGAGAAAGAAACGAAATAACCTAGCACCAAAGAGATTAAGTAGTTTGTTTACAACATCTAATATCTGGAGGGGTTGGGATGTAAAAGCAGGTCTGTCTGGGTCCCCTCTGAAGCCTGTACCCCTTCTGCTGAACCAGGCTTAGAAGAGACAGGGACAGGAGATGTGTTTTAGGAGGTCAGGCAGAACCAATCCCCCAGGATTTCAAAGGCAGCGTCTTGTTCTAAATGAATGATCAGGAAAGCCATGAGGCATGCTTGGTGTTCAGAAAGGATAATCGTCAACTTGAAGCTAATCCACTTCACATCAAGCCAGAGTCCCTAAAGCCACTTGGTGGACAGGTCCTTCCTCCACTCCATTCCAGTCAAAGACTTGCTGTGCTGGAGCTCGAAGCTCTGTCTTTTTTGTCTCCATTTGGCAATACTTGGGGAGCTCATCCAGGGACACAGGGACTTCAGGGCCTGTGTCTAGAAATTACAAACCACAGACAAATATTGGAATTCTTTCTTCACTGACACTGTCATGTTTTCTCAGGGACATTTCAATTTTCCAGCCTTTAGCTGCTCCCTGTGAGCTGAGTGAGGGTTCTATCTTGGCAGTGTGGGGCTGGATCGCCTATTAAAGTCTTCATTTGTGCTTTGTTTTCCTGTTCCCTATCCCATTGAATTTAAAATGCTATTGATTTTTAAAAGGCACCACTGTTTTGTATTTCACTAAGAAAAAACAAAACATACTACCAATTAACCGATGACACAAGAAAAATGCACATCTCAGAATAAATAAAATGAGGTGTTTTCTGAGAAGGTAGCCAGTCCTTTGTATGTTTCGTCTGGAAGGTGGACCTCCTTCCTAACATTTGGTTTTGAAAATCAAAGCTTATTCAGGAAATAATGTTAGATGGGTCTTGAAAAAGTGAGGATGAGGGAGACAAGTTCTTCTGGGGGCTGGAGCAGATGTAAGAAGCACAGAGAGAAGAGAAAAGTGAATCCTTAGTCTAGGAAGGTGGTCAGGCTCTGGGAGGCGTTGAAATCTGTGGTTGGCTTCCTCGTAAGGGTGTTAAGAGCTCAAGCTGATGGTCAAGGTGCCTCCTTGAAGGTGTACTTAGGTGCTGGCTTCCAGCCTCCACTGAGGCTCCCACGGCCAAACAAGACTCATCAGCAGTACAGCTGCCTGACTCCAGAGGGCTAAGTGGCTTGAGATCGCTCAGAATATTTGGCACTTTCTAAGAACTTTGAGGCTCTTTCTTAGTCCTTGAGAGTGGGAAGAAGCTCTGATAATAACTAGGATTGAATTTCCTGACTGACCAATGGGATGAGGCTGGGATTAAAATTTAATTCAGAGGAAATAAAGTACTGTGAAAATTTTGTCCATTTAGTTTATAGAACAAGCGCTAAATTGACATCTGTATCTATTACATGTCTGTTACATATGTTTAAGAATTCTTTTACAGACAGGGTCTTTCTCTGTTGCCCAGACTGGAGTGCAATGGCACCATCATAGCTCACTGCAGCCTCAGCCTCCTGGCCTCAGGAGACCCTCCCATCTCAGGCCCCTGAGTACCTGGGACTACAGGCATGCACCACCATGCCTAGCTAATTATTTATTATTTTAGGGGTGCGGCCTTCCTATATTGCCCAGGCTGCTCTCAGGCTCCTGGCCCCAAGCCATCCTCCCACCTTGGCCTCCCAAAGTGCGTTAATTACAGGCATGAGCCACCACACTTGGCTCTAAATTTTTTTTTTTTAATTGAAAACCTACTCTGGGTGGAAACAATCCTTGATCCCAGCCCCAGTTCCCCCAGAATTTTCTGTGTGGCTCCATGGGGTTTTACCTGGTATTTCTCATCATGACACTATAGGTATTGGGGCTGGGTGAATCCTGCACATTGAAGATGGTTTTGCATATTGTTTAACCCTCCCATGGTCAGCGGTGTCCCCTCGGTCACTATGAAAACATAAAATGCTCCCTACATTTCCAAATGACTCTTATGGTGAGGGGTGCCACCTCTGAGTGAGAGCCACTGTAATAATGGGCTACAGCCATGGCTTTGCTGAGTGATGTAAGCCACTCAAACTCTCTGGGCTTACACTTCATTCATCACTGCATTGTCATAATTTAAGGATAAGTTCTTTTTTTTTTTTTTTTTTACAGTCTCCCCTGTAGCCCAGGCTGGAGTACAGTGGCGCGATCTCGGCTCACTGCAACCTCCACCTCACAGGTTCAAGCGATTCTCCTGCCTCAGCCACCTATATAGCTGGGATTACAGGTGCCTGCCACCATGCCCGGCTAATTTTTGCATTTTTCTTAGAGACGGGGTTTTGCCATATTGGCCAGGCTGGTCACAAACTCCTGGGCTCAAGCGATCCACCTGCGTTGGCCCCACAAAGTGCTGGATTACAGGCGTGAGCCACTGCTCCCGGCAAGGATAACTTCTTAATAGGGCAGCAAAAAAGTGTATAAAACAAAGAAACAATCCCCAAAACAACCAGCTGCATAAAAATATACTCTCTGAGGGTAAGCAGGGGAGAAATCAAATATATGTCATTATTAGTGCTGCAATGGTTATTCTTAGAATTACTAAAAATGCAAGAAATTCTAAACAAGTGCTACTTATCTGGTTTCTGTTCAACATAATCAAGAGAACTGGGAAAAATAAACCATGATCATCATAATAAGTACTTAATTTCAGACTAGGGATCATAAGAAAACCACTTGGTTTGGTAAGGGAAAAGGGAATGAAAGGAAGTTTTCCTTATGTAGCATTTCTCTGTGCCAGATACTACAGTAAATCAGGGATCTCTCATTTGATCTTCATTGCAATGCTGAGGTGGGTGGTGGTGTTCCCATTTCACAGATGAGCCAACTGAGACTCAGGGAGGTTATATCACTTGCCCAAGGTCATGCTGCTGGGAATGAGTAAAGACAGTCTTCAAAACAAGGCTCCAAGATCTATAATCTTTTCATACAAAACACTCTGCATGTCAAACAGACGAGAGCATTTACTGAAGCAGCTTTCAAGGCAGCCTGGCTGGAAGGAAAATTCAAATCGTGGCTGCGGGGCAGTCAAGGCAAATCTGAGGAGGTGGGGCTGAGCATAGACGGTTGGGTGAGCTGAAAACAGGAGAGCCAGCTTAGGGTCAGAAGCCAGGAGGACTGAGCTCAGGGTGGAGCTCAGTGGGAGGAATGGGTCAGAACCAGGCATTCATACTGAGCTTGTGTGTGTGTGTGTCCGTGTGTGTGTGTTTATTTGTTTGTGTGTACGAGCATCACTGCGCCCACGTCTTCCATGTTGCTTGCTTGGACTGGATGCAAGAATGTGAATGGAGACTGAAAGAGGCTATGCAGTGTTGATGGATAATTGACTGTGTCCCCATTGTGCTTGCCTCTAAATGGAGATCCTCCCATAAAGGGAGTTCTGTTTGGGCTTCCCTTGGAAGTCCATTGAAAGCGTTTCACATTTCAATGCTTCTTTACATTCTCCTCTAGAATGAATCTGGAAGGGCCATTTCATTCCAGCCCTATCAGATTTACTACTTCCTCCTGTTTAGCCAGTTAGCAGGATGCGGAGAGTGCTCTATTCTGGGCACCAGCAAGTCACAGCTCTATCCTTGGGACTGTCCGGGTTAGGTCTCTCTGCCCTCCCAAGGTTTCTGCTGTTGTTGCCTCCTTGAAAGGTCTAGTCTCCCTTCTGCATAGAACCTCTGCTTTCTGAAATCGGTGGCTCCACTGTGTGTGCTCCAGCCATGCTGAACACGTTTCAGATCTCCAGATGTGCTGGGTTCTCTCAGGACTCCAGGCCTTTGCACTCCTGGGTCCCTCAGCTTGGAGCACTCTTGCCTCTCTGCAGCCTCTATGCCTGGCTGACTCATCCTTCAGATCTTAGCCAAGGTATTGCTTCCCTCAAGAAGACTTTCTGATGCTGCGGGCTGAGTAGGGATCCATGTTTATGCTCCCCTGTCACCTTGTGCCTCCTTTTATCCAGCATTTTTTCATCACTCCCAAATGGCAATTATGGTTGTCTGGTCACCTATCAGTGGACTCTGTTAGGTGGTCAGCATTTTGAGGCTAGGAACTCTATTTCTTTTATTTGCCATGGGTCTAATTTTGCAACTCCCCAGTTTTTTGCAGCTACCCAGTTGTTATTGACAGTACTGGCACTCCCTATTTAAATGCAGGGGAAAGTTCCAAAAACCTCTTATGGGAAGAAGACTTGACTAAGACTGTCAAGGTGAAATGAATGGTGACCACCTGGTTTAGTTTGATAAAACTAGAAAGCTCACGTTTTCTAACTAAGTGTTCTTCTGATGTTAGACCGACCATCCGCCCTTCTGAATTATAAGAAATTGTCTTTTGTTGAAATTACACGTATTCCTGGGAGTTTGAACCAAGTCGTTTGGTATGAGTTTTTCTCAGTCATCCCAAATTGGGGTGATCAGAGGGAGTACCAGAGAAGGTTTAAAAAAATACAAATTCTGGCCAGGCACGGTGGCTCACGCCTGTAATCCCAGCACTTGTGGAGGCCTAGGTGGGTGGATCATGAGGTCAAGAGATTGAGACCATCCTGGCCAACATGGTGAAACCCTGTCTCTACTAAAAATACAAAAATTAGCAGGGCGTGGTGGCGCATGCCTGTAGTCCCAGCTACTCGGGAGGCTGAGACAGGAGAATCACTTGAACCCGGGAGGCAGAGGTTGCATTGAACCTAGATTGCACCACTGCACTCCAGCCTGGCAACAGAGCGAGACTCCGTCTAAAAACAAAAACAAAAAAACCCAAAATGCTGGTCGCCAGTAACAGAAAGTATGATTTAGTTGGACTCCAGAATGAATGGGTCATTAGCATACTGAATACTCAGCCAGCCTTTTAAAGGAAAAGTTTATACCACCTGTAGAACTGCATATTCTGATGATAGTTTACAGGGTTGGATTTAGTTACAGAATCCAGTTTGTCACAGATATACAACTTAATGTCATCTGAAAAGTACAGATTGACTTAATCCATCTTCATTCCAGCTTCCTTCTAAAATGCTGTTCTCCCTAGAAAGATGTAAACTACATCTCTCAAAGAGGGTTTCAGACTACCAGATGCACCTGAAACTCAGATTCGGCACTGAGTTAAGTAAGGAGAGAAGCACCCTTTTTGCTGGTGCAGCCCATAGCAGAGGCGACTTGGACTTATAGTTAGCAGATTCTTAGCTTGGCTAGCAGCTTCTTTGTTATGTTGGGAACAGAAATTCTTTTGGGGCTCAGTCTTGTTGTGTTGATTTGGGATTCACTACTAGAAGCTCAATCTAGAAGCTGTTTCTTCTATTATCTCAATGATTCTAAAATCCATCAATGTGAAAAGCAGTATACAAAACACAGAAATCTGCGCCTTGACTGGCTGAAGTGGATTCTGTTCTCTGCAACCAAACCCTTGACAATCATCTGTGCATTCTAATTCAAACCAATCATTCAGTCTACATCACTCATAACCTACGGCTCTTGGAGAAGTTTAGTTCTTTCCTACAGAATCTTCTCTCCATAAAGATTTTTTTTTTAGTTTTTTGTTTTTGTTTTTGTTTTGTTACTTTAGCTATTTCCTACAGGAAGGATCTCTCCACAAAGCCTTGACCAATAGCAAATTGTACCTTGATCTCATAAAACCTAGAATATTTGCTTCCCCTGTTTCCCATTCTAGATGAACATCCATCAGTTACTGATCTCTTCCCTTTCTAGAGCTTTTACTCTTTTGTCAGTAGTTAACCTAATGTCTGGCACAGCAGAGGTTCTTACAAACAAATGCTTAATGAATTAATTAAATAACGAATTAGTGACTGAGTGGATGAATGAATGAGTAGGGGAGGGGGTGATGCATGTCAAATGGCACCACAGTATCTGGTTCAGAGTAGGTGTTCAATGAATAACCAGAATAAAGACCTGAACAAGTCAATGAGGTGAGTGTAGTGTCTATCACGGTGCTTCAGTACATAGTAGATGCTTACTAATTTTTACTGAATGAATTAATGAATGATGTCCATATAATGGCTCACATAAAGCCAGGCCTATAAAATTTTTAAATAAATGAATGATAATTTTCTATATCTGTGTGGGTTATTTTCTCCATGACCTCTGCCTCCATTACTTCCCATTCATCTTGGCCAGGTTCCCGTCTCTTGTCTTGGTGCCTTATTTGGCCCTAAACCACCCATCAATATCCATTCATCTGTCTTTTGTCAGCCAACTTCCAGCTCATTCCCGACCAACATTTTCAAGTATCCACATTTACCCACCTTACAGAAATGGGGTGAATTATAATTCATACTCACCAACTATCTGCCTATTATTTCTTAGGCACCTACTAGTTGGCACTAGAGAAGTACCATGTCCAAGGTCACACAGCTAGTAAGTGGCAGAGCCAGAATTTGAACATTGGTCTCTTTAATGCCAAAGCTACTGTTTTCTCTACAATATGCTGATTATGTAGCTATAGAACATATGTGAAACAGATCACATTTGCATCTTAATGCACATACATCTACATCAGGGTCTTTTAGCACAGTGACATCCTGGACTGGATAATTCTTTGTTGTACGGAGCTGTCCTGTGTATTGTAAGACATTTAGCAACATCCTTGGCCTCTACCCACCAGATGCTAGTAGCATCCCCTTCATCTCAATTGTGACAACTAAAAACGTCTTCAGATATCCCCAAATTTCTCTTAGGGGAAGTATCTGCCCTGGTTGAGAGCCATTGATATACATAATAGAAGAAGAAGTAGTTCAGCACGTTTGCAAGGAGGGAAGGGGCTCAGAGTTGGTGAGACCCTAAGCTAGCCAAAACCTGGGTTTGGCCAATGAACAGATTGGCTGGGAAGTCCTCTCCAGGGATTAAGCTTAGCCTATACCTTGTCAAGATGTGGCAACACCATGTAAATTCTGTACCCTAGAAGCTAAAATGAGGAACGTCTGATCTCATCAGAAACAGTGGGGTGCTAGCTTCAGTCCTGCTACTAAGTGGTTGTGTGGTCTTGGTTCAGTCTCCATCATGATGATAACAGGTTATTAATGGTTTTTATGTGCCAGACACTGGTCTTAATGCTTCATATGTATTTGCTCATTTAATCCCTATGACAATCCAATAAAATCGTTACTAAGATTGCCACATTTTATAGGTAAGGGAACTTGGCAAGAAAGGCTATGTTACAGCTAAAATTACACACGGTAGAGTCAAAATGAAAACACAGGCTCTGAAGTACTCATTTGATCTCTGAGCCTATTTCTACTAAGTGTAAAATGAGAGGTTGGATTAGCTGATTTCTTAAATATCTGCCCGTCTGAAAATTCCAGGATTCTAGGCAGTCGTGAATACAGCATGTATTTATTGAGCATCAGTATATGCTGGACAGTAAGGGGCATGAAAATTCTCCAAGAATTTATAGTTCTACAACAGGGGAGGTAAGACTTGCATGTTTTTATTTTTAAAAAGTAATTGTAATGGCCACTATTAACTGAGCTACTGTTAGATGTCACTCATGCATTGTACATTTGACCCGAGTTAGCTTTAGTCCTCATAAGAACCCTGTAGGGTCAGGAATGCCTCTTCTCAAATAAGTAACTGGGGCTCAGAGAGGTGAAGTGACTTGCCACACAAAATTAGAGAGGTTTACAAAAAGTGCAGAGTGGGAGGCGAGTTTCTCATCTCAGGCTCAGATGGGCCACCCTTCCTCTCTGTCATTTAGGGGAAGCAGTAGGAGGACAGTGTAAGCCCCAAATGCAGAAGGCTTGACTTCTTTAGCTCTAAGACTGCTCACAACCAAGTGTCTTTCTTTCTTTCCTAAGAAAGTCCATGGAGGGACAGAGAGACTCTGGATGGTTGTTGGACGACTGGAGAAGTTGGTAGCTCCGTCAGTAACAACCGCAAAGCAATTAGGTTCCAGGTATGGAATAGATGATGCTGCCCCCACCTGGAGTCCTTGGCCTTGGTGTCACCATAACCACTCCATGTTCTATCCACAAGCCTAGCATGATCCTTTTTCCATGCCTTGTTCATGTTCTTTCTTCAATATGGCCACCTCTTTCCAATTCCTCCACCCCACTATCACCCCTTGACAAACTCCTACACATCTTTTGTGACTACACTCAAAGTCACCTCATCCCAGAAATCTTCCACAATTTTCCCAGTTTAAATGGCAACTCCCTCTGTGCTTCCTTAGTTCTTAGTTTATTTCTTATTTTTATAGTCATTATTCATATTTATGTCTTCTCCAGTCCCACAGAAGTTCTTAAAAGGCAGGGACTTGTGTTTTACTTATAAATCCAAGTGCCTGGTTGATAATAATTTGTGCCCAGTTGATAATAATATTCCCTCATTCTTTTGTAATAGTCACACAATATTTGTTTTGTATCATGCAAGCACTGTGGTAGGCTTTGTAGTAGATAAGTTTGTTCTGGAAGCTTTCCTGGAACCCACAGCCAACTTCAAGAAAAAGACCATCTAACAAAACTTGTGACAGAGTGTTCTGAGTGGTCCATACAGGGCAAGAGGAGGGAGACTGTCTCTGCAGGAGCTCAGGAAGAATTTTCCAAAGGAAATGCTCCAGGTGAGCTTTGAAATGTAAATATAAGTGGGGGCTTTTCAGGCAGACGAGTGGGTGGACAGGAGAGGCTTTCTAGTTGGAGAAAGAAAGCTTGCACAAAGGCTGAAGATGAGAAACAGTGAAGTGAGGTTTGCATAGCATGAATGCAGGGTAGAATTTGTGCAGGGTGGCAGGGGATATGGCTGAGGGGTGGGTATTGAGGGGACAGGGTGTGAGAGATTCTGTATGTCCTACTGAAGGGTTTGAATTTATTCTGTTAGGTGAGATGGAATGTCTACCCAGACTGGTAACCAGTCACTACCATCCCTGGGCAGAGCCTGGGCAGCCGTCTTTGTTGCAGGTGAGTCCACATCCCTTGGGCATGGCTGGTAGGACCAGGGATAAACATATGCCCCAAATTGGACCAACCTCAAGTCTTCTCCCCATGACTTGTAATTGAAACTGAGGAAGAGTCAAGACATTCTCTTCTTGTGGCTAAGACTTGACATGTGAAATCACTTGGTAAACTCCATTTTAGGCTTCTTATTGTGAGTGTTATAGGCCGAATTGTATCTCTGCAAAACTCAGATGTTGAAATCTTATTCCCTAGTCCTAACCTCAGGACATCTTTGGAGATGGGGTCTGTCTTTAAGGCAGTAATTAAATTAAGCTGGATCATTAGAATGGGTCCTTACTCAATATGACTGATGTCCTGCTAAGAAGAGACTACGACACAGGTGCATGCAAAGGGAACACCTTGTGAAGACACAGCGAGAAGGTGGTCACTTACAAGCCGAAGAGGAAGGTCTTAGAAGAAACCAACCCAGCAGACACCTTGACCTTAGACCTCTTTTTTGTGAGAAAATAAATTTCTGTTGCTTAAGCTTCCTAGTTTCAGTAGTTTGTATGACAGCCTAGCAAACTAATACAGTGGGTCTCTGGCTAACATCTTAACCATGTGGCCATCTTGCTTGTGTCTCTGCTCAGCAGCCCCCAAAGGACAGCCCCTCCTGCCACCTCACATTCACAATGATAATGTTCAGGCATCTGGTGGTGGGAGGTGGGGGCTGCTTTCCTCCCTAGTCTGGGTACAACTTGCCTGCTGCTCTCAAACTAATACGTGCACACTGGACTCTGAGAAATGTTTGAGCAATTCTATGTTCAGGGTTAAGCCAGGTGTGGTGGCTCACACCTATAATCCCAGCATTTTGGGAGGCCGAGGTGGGAGAATCGCTTGAGTCCAGGAGTTGGAGGCCAGCCTGGGTGACATGGCAAGACTCCATCGCTCCAAAAAAAAAAAAAAAAAAATTCAAGGTTTTGGTGTTAAGTACTGAACTACACAGTGTTGCGGACAGCTGGACCTTAGTTTGGTCATGTCCCATGTGGATGCTTTCTCCTTGCCTAATGTTCTCCGTTTTCTCTTACCTTTCCCAAGCCCTCTCCATTCTACTCCTCCCTTCAGAGTACTCTTGCTCTCCCACCTTCCCACCCATTTAGGCATCCATATCCCACTCCAACAAAATCGTAAAGTCTCCATACCCACCAGTCCTTTCGGGTATCTGGCAGATTTGCCAACCTCAGGATCTGACAGTCAAGAGCTCTTCTCTTGCCCCTTGGTTACCGATGCCTGCTGAGGGCAGTTCCAACTCAGGCCAAGCTGCCCCAGAGTGTTCAAAATGAAACTGATCTCATCCCATCACCCCAAGAATTAATTAATTTCCAAAACACATCCCTGCCATGCACTCATCCTTCTGATCTGCATGAGAATTTAATATTCCTTTTAGTAAGATGACTTTGCATTTATTTCTTGTAAGTTAATACCCTGGCCCTATTATGTTCTCATTTGCCCCTTTCTTGATGAGAGTTAAATCATAAATCCACTTAACTTGGCAGGGAATGCTCATGCCAAGTTCCATTTGTGTTGTCGGGCTAACTGGTCTTGTTTTACTTCAGACTGTAAGTATAAGCCTAGAAATGGTGAGATGGACATAGTTGACCTGCCCTGGGCATGAAGGGGCACAGAACACTGGGAAGAAAAAGAATAATGAAGTAGACATCCAAGAGAAACAGAAAGGAGTGATGGAGAGATGGAATATGTCCTGAGTTCTAGACAGTATTCTGTTTTGTTGTTGTTATTTGTTTCCGCAGCTTTCTTGTCCTTAGGTGGCCATGATAGATATTCCACTAATCCCAGATATACACTCCTCTTCCTATCATAGTAGTTGAACCCCCAGTCTTCAGTGGGGTACATGGATGCCCAGATGAAAGACTACATTTTCCAGCTTCCCTTGCAGTTATGTGTGGCCATGAGGATGAATTCATGAGTGGCATTGATGTGTATGACTCCTGAGTTGTGCTCTTAAAGTGAAGTATTGCTTCCTTCATTCACCTTTCCCTCTTCCCGTGGGCTACATGGCAGATGTGTTAGTATTTCTTAGGACACTCAGGTAAGAACAATCTCTAGGCATAGCTGAGCAAGAAGATGGAAGGATCCTGGGTCCTGGACAAAAGGGACTCCCCTCGCCAGCCCTCGCCTGCTTACATCTGAACAATTACATGGGTGAGAAATAGCTAACTTATTTAAGCCACTATATATTTGGACTCTGTTACATCACAGGGATCTATATCCATCCTGATTTCTATAGGTGTTTTTTTTGTTTTGTTTTGTTAAACACCATCTGTTTATCTCTTTCTACCATTCCTGAACTTAATCTAAAATCTAAAGTAAGAGAGCTCACTGCTCCTCTCTTGGTCACTCACTCCATAAAAGTGGTATAGCTGGAGCTACTACAGCCATTCTCCCACTGAGTGAAGGCCAATGGGAATGGGGAAGATGAGGGCAACACTCAGTGGGAAGGAGAAATGCGGAGAAATGGGAGCTAGAGGCACCCGACAGCATTTGAGCTCCTGGTTCCAGTGGTTCCTGAAGTAAATTGTACCTCACTCTCTCTGCAGTTTCCCGAAGTGGCTCACTAAATTCTGCCCTTTTGGGATGAGGCTCATGGAGTTCTATTTCTTTTTTTCTCCATGCTACCAGGAATCCTTACTAACTCCCATAAGCTATCATAAATTCTCTCTGCCCTTATCTCTTCCTCCTGCTAAAGTTTGCTGTATTTCATTTTTATTTCTGGCTACTACTGAGTTCTAGAGTCTAAAGAAAGTTAGTGGTGGCTTTTAACAGGATGAGAGATGGGGTCAGTTAGCCTTTTAGGATGCTCACTTGAGGGTTCGTGAAAGTTTTTATCTAATGAAGATTTGAATTCCCTGCAGCCAGGCATGAACAGAGAGGTCTCTGCAGGACCTAGTGTAGTTGCCTAAATTTCAAGCCTTCATCACTTCCAGAGCGGGACAATGCTTCTCGCACTCCCAAGATTCCTAAAGGCTCAGACCACAGCTGCTTCACATTCCAAGAGTAACCTAAGAGTCCTTCTGAGGTTGATTAGGAGACGTGGGGATAAAAATTGGGTACGCATTTCAGAGGAAGACTGCACACATTTTCATTCAATAAAAGCTAATAAAGCAGGATGGTTAAGTAAAGTAACTTACTCAACCTCCCATGGCTTATAAATGGTAAGTAGTCTCAGACTTGAAAGCAGATCTAAGCCTTGGCTTCCTCATCTGTCAAATGGTGATAATAATCTCCATTTCACCAGATTACTGTGAGGCGTAATTGAAATAGTGTCCATTAAGTGATTGCCTTGGTAAGTTCTCAGTAAATGGTAGCTGCAATTATTTTTATAATTATGATTATTACTAGACAACTCAATGGATGCTCTGGTCCTGGCCTTGAGAAGTTGGATCAGAGAGATGGGAGGCAGGGTTTTCATACTCCACAAGTCCATGCCTCTAATGCGAAGAGAGTCCTCTACACACTGAGCTCACCTTAGGCATCATCAGGACTGAGAGGAGATCACAGAAAAGGAATCTTAAGGGAAATTGCACTTTATAGACTTTCCCCCAGGGCACAACCATTTCTCTTTCCTGTGGGAAGCAGATATTTGAGTTTTAGCTTTAGAGATGCCTTCTCCCTAAGGGGACCTTGGCTCTGCTTCTAGAGCAGAGGGGATGGGGAGAGGTCTCACATGTTTAGAGCTGCCTGCAGATTCCTGGAAGCTATAGCTGCTCCCCCTGTGTGTTGCACCCCATGGTCTTCTCTGCAGCTGGGCCCAGAGCAAAGCTTTAATTAATGCTAGAAGGACACCCACAGCTTCATTTAGATTCTTCCTGGAAGCAGAGGCAAAATCTCAGGTGCAGTGGGGGAGAATCTGCCCAGGGGTCATTCCTGTGCTGAAAACCTCTTGTGTTTCACATGGCCTTTAGGGAAAAGACCAAAATCCTTAGCATGAAAGACATGGCACCATGTAACAGAAACTCCCACACAGTGGGCCATGGCGCACTGGTAAATTCAAACCCGTCATAAAAAGTCCTCCAAATTTGATCCATGTTTATATGGCAGCAGAAGCTAAGGCCCTCAAGGGGCATGTTTGAGAAATGTTTGATGGTCACTGTTAGGCAAATTTACAAGCTAAAGATGAATACTGAATTGTTTAAGAGAGGAAGAATTTTCAGAGGCAGTGTAAGAGAGACGGAAGATAGATAAAAGGGCTGGTAGGAATGAGGAACTGGAGAAAAGGGGCAGAGGTGTTTAATGGAGCAAATCGAGGATGTTTCATTGTATGGTATGCAACTTAATCCTTCTTTCTATCCTGTCACTGAATCTGGTGGAAACTATCCAATTTTATCAATAGGATGTGGAGTGAATTTATTTTGGGGGTCTGTTGAAGTGTTTATTTTGGCCTTCCCATGGGTGAAGGCCCAGCTTGAATGCTGCCCATGAGAGACCCCTTACACCTAGTTATGTTTGCAATTTATTTTTGCTGCAATTTAGAATAACATGACAACTGTAGATATTCCAAGAGGAATATTCCTCTGTAGGCATATTGCAACATCAGAGGGGAATAGCCTCAGATGTAAGCTCCATAAAAGCAAAGCATGTTGTCTGCTTTATTCACTGCTGTATTCCTAATGCCTAGAACAGTGCCTGGCATACAGCAGGTGCTGAATGAATAATGATTGTTCTGTGATCTCTTCTGTCTACCTCTCTTGCCTCTTTTCCCATCCTACTGCACATCTTCTATGCTTTAATACCACTAAAGTGCTTCCAGCTCTGGGATATGCCCCACTTTATAACTCATTGATTCATACATTCATTTGGCAAAAATACACTGATTTCCTGTTTTGTGCCAGGCATTGTGCTAGAAACTGGAGACACTTGGAAAGCAAAATGTAGAGTTATCTGACAGTCAGTGGAGAGAGCATCATTCCAGTAATTACACACACACACACACACACACAAAATTTATACAAATATAAACCTGCAGGCTAGGACAAATGCCAAGAAGAACAATTGTGCTACAAGATTAGATTATAGTAGGATTTGTTCTGGATTGAGAAGGTGCTATTTGATCTGAGTTCTGGAGGTCCACTAGCAACTAGAAGATTATCAGTGTGGCTAGAGTAGTTGAAAACATGTTTGTGTGTGTGAGGGTCATGTTCGGATATGAGATCAGATGGGTGGGCTGGGGCCAGGCCCTGCAGAATCTTGCAAGCCATATTAAATGTTTTGGTCTTTATCCTAGAAGCAATGGGGAGCCATTGAAGAGTTTTAAGTGAGGTGAAGGTGTTTGATATGATCAAATTTGCTTTATAAAAAGATCATTCTGGCTGCAGAGCTCTTTTGAACTCCCTGCCACTCGTTCCTACCCCACAAGCCTCCCCTACCCAGTCTGGGGCCATGCAATTACTTAGTCGGTGGTGAGGACAGCCACAGTAGGTGACTGAAATCTCAGCCATGTATTTATTGACTCTTGGCAGCTGTTCATAATGAACTCTCAGCTTCCCTAGGGGTGCTGAGTAGACTTGCCGAGAAGAAGAGGAAGGGGTGGGGAAACTGCAAGGGGATGGATATGGGGCTTGGTGTTCTGTTCTCACATCTGTCTCCCTCTATTGATGCCTGCTGCCATGATGATGTATTAGAATTCAATAAGCTTTGCTTGTCTTTTCCTAGAAAGGGAAAGGCTGGCAGGGGGAGAGGCAGGCCCCATGCCACAATGAAGGGGGAAGCAATTCAAATGAATCATTCTATTAACTAGCAGGGGGAATCCACGGCCAGTGTGAGGCCATTGCTATGTTATTAATCCCAGTTCTTACCCAGAATGTTTAACCTTGGTGATTCTAGTGGCAGTGAGATGTAAAACCCTAAGTTTAATAAGGCAGCTGGGCATCGCAATCTCTTCAATTCCAGGAACAAGGATGGAAAGTCTTTTGCTTCCTCTGCTTGGGATGTTGACTCCAGGGTGGAAACAAAGTCTCAGGAAAATGAGGGGGACTGGCAATGTGCATATCGATCTTACCGCCCTCTTGCTCAGGAACGCCTGTAATGATAATGATCTTTGCTGATGCAGGGCTTACCTTGCACTTGACTTATGCCCTTATACAGAGGACATTCAGTTCAATCAGAATTGCTCTTCCAAAGAGAAAGCTCCCTTTGTTGGGAAATCTTTTGGTTGGTGTTGAAGCTGAAGATTATTCTTGGAAACACCTGGGTGGATTTCCAGGGTAGTTCTGGGGAGGAGGGGAGAACAGGCGGGAAAGACAGTAAGTGATAGCATGGAGATAGCAATATGGTGGAAAGCTACTTGCTTTGTGATGTGACTCCTTCCCAAGATCCAGTGGCAAATTTCCAAGAGTTCTCAAAAATCACAAAAGGGTGGATGGGACTTGATTTCTCATAGATACTGGAGAGTAAGCAATCCTGGGTATTGGAGGGTGAAACCCAGGCAGTATGGGTAGGCTGACTTTGGTCATGTGTCCACCTCTGGACCTATCACAATGGCTGGGAGAATGTGACGCTCTGATTCACTTGGGCCTGTGGCTAGAAAAAGGGGTGACTGGCTCTGATTGGCTTGGATCTATGTCACATGCACTATGGCTGGAAAAGGAGGTGGGGCGGCCTCATGAAAGCACATGGACTGAGAGCTGGGAAGGGTGCTTCACCCAGAGACAACAATTCTTTTTATTTATCTTTTATTTTCTTTTCTGTTTCTCTTCTGCTTCTGTGTACTGTTTCTGTCTCCTGTTTCTTCATCCACTGCTTTTAATAGTAATCACAGCTACCCAAAACAGGGGCGTATGCATCAGGCATTAATCCTCAAAATGACTCTGTGAAGAAAGGACTTACTAACTTATTTATGTATAAGCAAATTGAGACACAGAGAGGGTACACAGCATGTCCAAAGTCATGTAGTTGGTACATGGCAAGGAGGTACCAGCAGGATTTGAAACCCAGGTTTGCGTGGCTTTCATGCCCACAGGCAGCCATGGCTGGACTATTCCTGCTTCTCCTCCCCTACGCTTGGGGAGAAGCACATGTAAAACTCCCCCAGGAGACAGGATCTGATTGGGTTGGCTGGAGAATTCTCCAGTCCACCATGGAGAATTCTTGAGCCAAGACTCCTCATTGGCCCCCTTAGTTGAACTTGGATGGCTGCCTGGGACCTAGACCCTGATCTCTGGTCCAGACTCTTGTGGTCAGAGGGCAGCTTACATGACCCAAAGCCAAGGAACTTGAGTGGAAGAAACTGCCTGTGGTCATTTTCTTAGGACAGTGACACAGGCTCAAGAATTCCCCAATTTGGCCCAATTCAAGGACTGGACGACTTGATGTTTTCAGACCACAGAACATTAAAGCTGGTCTGGCACCCCCATGTTAAAACTGAGACCCAAAAGAGGGAGCCTCACACAGCAAGTTTGCGACGGGAGGTCTCCGCATGTAGACTGTAGGGTTCTTTTCGCTATAAAGAACTGGCCTCCAGCCCCAGACCAGTAGAGAGAATTAGAAATGCCACCCTCAAACACTTGCCAACAAAAAGAAGGAGTTTGTTAACTTTCTCCTTTCCTACCTGGGCTCACTCTGTCCACTTTCTCGGAGTTTTTAAGAAAAGGCTGTTAAAAAAAAAATCCAGTCTCATTCTGATGTTTTATTAATGGAGACGGCTGCTGTTTCAACAATTTTAATTAGGGCTGAATGTTACTGTATTCAAACCCCAGGGAGTGTCAAGGAAAGGGAGCCACTAAGCAAATCTAAGGATCAAATGAATAGATTAATTAAATATCACCGCGTAGGCAGCTCAAGGCATGCGGACCTGCAGCCCCTCCCTCCTGCCCGACATGTGGATGAGAAGGGGAGAGAAGCGAGGCAGGAACTGGTGGTGGGCTCCCGTAGGCGAGTGGCTCAAGGCGTATGTGTCAGTTTCAGTGTGACACCGGCCACCAGTTTTGTTTTGTTTTCAGCCAAGGATTTGGTTTCCTTTGTTAAAGGCAAAACAAGCACGGAAATCCCCAATTGGGTCACTGCTTCCCCAACTTCCCGCTAAGACAAAAAAAGTTGCAGCTCTTATTTCTAATGGATTCATTTTATTTAGCATTCACTTTATGCCAGGTTCTCTACTCAATGCTTTATGAAAATAGACTCATATAATCATCGCAGCAACTCTACGAGATAGGTAGTAGTATATCCCCATTTTATACAGGAGGAAATTGAGGCAGAAGGGGATGAAATAATTTGCCCAAGGTTTCATGACTGCTGGGTGGCAAAACTAGAATCCAAGCCCTGGCTTCCAGTTCAGTCCGTGTTACTAACCACTGCCTTCTCTGCCTCTTGGCATTGGTCACTGACTCTTCCTCTTGTAAGTCTAGGGCTGTAAGGTCCAGGCTTGATCTGTATCCTTAAGCCTCAACCTCCAGTGGGCCCCTCATGTCATCTGGCCAGCAATTGGACCTCAGCAGGACCAGAATCATAAATCCAGATGAACTTCCTACCTTGTATGGTTAAGAGGTCAGTCTGGTTCTTGATCACCCACCATGGAATCCAGGTTCTTTCACTTGCTAGCTGTGCGACCCTGGGCAAGTCACTTAACTTCCCTGGGCCTTAGTTTCTTTATCTGTAAAATAGAGGCAATGATAATAATAATAAAGAATAAATGAGTTACTATATGAAAATCCTTGAAACAGTATCTGGTATGTGGAAAGCACTATTTAAGAGTTTGATTTAGAATTATTGTTATGTTGTTTTATTTTTTATTTATTTTTTTGAGACGGAGTTTCACTCTGTCATCGAGGCTGGAGTGCAGTGGCAATATCTTGTTTTAATGCAAACTCCATCTCCTGGGTTCAAGCGATTCTCCTGCCTCAACCTCTCGAGTAGCTGGGATTACAGGCATGCATCACCACATTCAGCTAATTTTTGTATTTTTAGTAGAGATGACGTTTCGCCATGTTGGCCAAGCTGGTCTCGAACTCCTGACTTCAAGTGATCCGCCCCCCCCTTGGCCTCCCAAAATGCTGGGATTACAGGTGTGAGCCACCACATGCAGGCTATTGTTGTTATTTTTATGATATTATTATTACATTCTCCTTTCCAAAAGGCTTGAGATTCTTTCAGTCCCTGACCTGACGTTGATTTCTGTTTGCATGCCTGATTTACCCCTCAAACCTCAAGCTTGAGAGCTCAAACCTCAAGCTTCTGTCTCCAAACTTTGCCCTCTCAACTCTGTCTTGATGTAAACTTGCCCTTTTGCATCCTTGCTTCTTGGAAAGCACCTTTCCTGCTCTAGCCCAGCTCCTAACACCAAACACCTCACTGGAACCAAACACCTGTCCCCTCAGCCTCAGAATCAGCCCTGTCTGTGGCTCCAGTTGCTCTTACATGGATGAGGATCTTCTGGGTACCTAAAAGGGCTCTGTTTTTCATAATCATGAGAGTGATAATGATAAAAATAAAGCAAGCTCCATTTCTAACACCACTGGCAATCAGTCAACCGAACAAGAAATGTTAGCTGGAAACTTTAAAGATCCAGAAGTGATGGGGATATGCAGTTATAAGACAACCCTGCACTTCAGGATTAAAAAACACCATTTTGGCTGGGCACAGTGGCTCATGCCTATAATCCTAGCACTTTGGGAGGCCGAAGAGGGTGGATCACGAGGTCAAGAGATCGAGACCATCCTGGCCAACATGGTGAAACCCCGTCTCTATTAAAAATACAAAAATTAGCTGTACGTGGTGGCGTGCCTGTAGTCCCAGCTACTTGGGAGACTGAGGCAGGAGAATCACTTGAGATCGCACCACAGCACTCCAGCCTGGCGACAGAGCGAGACGCCATCTCAAAAAACAGAAACAAACAAACAAACAAAAACCATTTTAACCATTTTAAAGTGTACAACTCAATGGCATTAAGTGCACTCACAATGTTTTGAAATCATCATTACCATCTAGTTCTAGAACTTTTGGATCACTTCAGACAGAAACTCCATATAAATAAGCAGTCATTCCGACTCCCCCTTTTCTTAGCCCCCAACATCCGTTAATAGTTGTCTGCCTCTATGGAGTTTAAGAAATTTAAATCTACTTGCAGAAACCAACAAAAGTTTGCTAACAGAAAGAGGCAGTGTGTACCAAATGCAAGAGCATAGCTTGCTGGTTAGTTTTGTGAACCCTAAAGCCAAACTGCCTGGGTTTAAATCCTGGCATTTCTGTTTATTACGGTGTGACCTTGGGCAGATTAATCTGCCTATCTGGGCCTCAGTCTCTATATATATTGATATGGTTTGGCTGTGTCCTCACCCAAATCTCATCTTGAATTGTAGTTGCCATGTTCCCATAGTCCCAAATGATTAACCACTGCCTTCTCTACCTCTTGGCGCTGGTAACTGACTCCTTCCCCTTGAGAGTCCAGGGCCATAAGGTCCAGGCTTGATCTGAATCCTTCAGCCTCAACCTCCAGTAGGCCCCTCATGTCATCGGACCAGCAATTGGCCCTCAACAACGTGTGGTAGGAGGGACCCAGTGGGAAGTAATTGAATTATGAGGGCGGTTATCCCCATGTTGTTATCATAACAGTGAGTGAGTTCTCATGAGATCTGAAGATTTTATAAGGGCTTTTTCCTTTTTGGTCGGCACTTCTCCTTCCTGCCACTCTGTGAAGAAGGTGGCTTTCTTCTCCTTTGCCTTCCGCCGTGATTGTAAGTTTCCTGGGGCCTTTGAAGCCATGTGGAACTGCAAGTCAACTAAACATCTTTTTTTTTTTTAATAAATTACCCAGTCTTGAGTATTTCTTCATAGCAGTATGAGAATAGAATAAAACACATATAAAATAAAAAATGAGAGTTACAGAGTTCTATCCCTCATAGGCTAGTTGGGAAGTATGTAAAGAGCTGAGAATCACACCTGGCTGTAGTAAGTGCTATGTAAGGATTTGCTGTTGTTACAGGCATGGATAATAAGTCCTGTGGCTTGGCTTATTGTAATTTTTTAAAGGGCAAGAACCATTTCTATCATGCCTAGCTGAGAATCCCCAGCATCTAGCATGATACCTGGCATTCAGTAGGTGCCTGGTAAATGTTTGTTGAATGACTGAATAGTAGTTTAGGAAAGATGGGAGATTACTGTGGGACACGACAGATTATTTGGGAACCCTACACTCAATGTCAAAAACATTCTGCAGCTATTTGGCAAACCTTATTAAGAACCACCTGAGAGCTGGATGTTGTGTGACCCACTACAGACAGAATGGAAAACCAAGTCTGTCACCAACGTAGATATGATGAAAATGATTATAATTTATCAAAACACCCAATGTTTGTCGAGCACTTAACAGGTGCCTGGCACTGTGTTGAAAACCTTACATGCACTAATTCATTTAATTTTATTTACGACTCAACCTATGAGACAAAACCACTAGCACAATACAATAATAGCAATGAAAAAGCTATTTTTTAAAACAGAGCAAAATGTCAACAAGTGCAAATGAGTCCTCTGACAATTAAGTCCATATGGGAGGTGGGGATGATGAGAACAGTTAGGTGAGGACAATCATGGACTTCTGATGAAACATCTGTATTTGTGATCCGGCCAGCCTGTTAATCATCTGGATATTTGCAGCCTGAGCTGTCGGTTGCTTTCGGTTTGCATTTTTCTTTTCTCATCCTTTAAAATTCACTTTCTACTCTGTTGTAGGACAGATCTTATCCCGCATGCTACCTTTTCTTGGCAATACAGGGGGATGGCAAAGAGAATGTTTGCAGATGCCTCAGCAAACCAGGTCCCTGGTCCCTGAGAGTAGGTGCTCTTGTCTGTGTCTTCAGGGCAGTGCTCACAGCTGGTTAATTGGATCCAGGACAGGGTTATGGAGGCAGGCGTCAAAGCACAATGACCTAAATCAAACCCAAGATTAATTAAAAAGTGTCCAAGTGGATTGAATATTTCATGACCTGAAGGCTGAAGTCAGGTCTCTTTGGGATAGAAATCAGACGAGAATGTGTGGTGGGGGTAGGGGTGGATTGGAAATAGAAGAAAAGTAAGGGTGGAGGAGGAGGGAGAAGAATGGGTGGAGGAGGAGGAGAGAGGAGGGAGAGAAAGGGCAGGCAGGAGGGAGGAAGGGAAGAATGACAATGAATATATGACTTCACGGAAATCAAACTAACTTCTCACCTTCATCATTAGATGTTCTCAGAGGGTGATGTACCTTTCATGGGGTTATTTTGAAAAGCTGATCTTTTCAATTATTCCGTGAGGGTAGGTAGAGTTCATTGCTGGTTCACAACTTCCCACACAAGGACCCTGGAGCCCAGAAAGGAACAACCTCCCCCAGCCCCCGAAGCTTGCTGGGATTCAGACGCAAACCCCAGTCTTCCACTTCATTGCAGAATTGGCAGGGAGCCAGGAGACACAGGACATTTCCCACCTTCCGAGCAACAGGTTCCCAGAATCTCAGGAGGCATTTCTTCCAGAAAGACATTTTTTTTTTTCCTGTTCCATTTCTCTACCAAGGAATTAGTTGGAAACGTGTGGATTTCCTTGGGAGACTGGGAAATTCTCTAGTCCCCCGAGTCTATCCTTGGGCTTCAGCTATATTATCTCCTGTTTCCGTGTCCCTGTGTCCATATGGATGGGTCTGATCACTGCTGTGTCCATCTGTCTTTCTGGGTATCTGTCATGTGTGGCCTTGTTCTTTGCCTATCTCAATACCTACTGTCAGCCCACCCCTCTCTCTGTCATTTCCCTCTGTATTTTCCCATCTCTCTGGCAGGTCTGCTCTGTTCATGGCCCACCCATGTTCACCACCTCTTTGCTTTTCTTTCTCACTGACTTCCCTCTCTCTTCTCCTCCTCTATCCTTATTTGCTGAAGTTCATGCACATTTTAAGCATCTTTGTGCCTTTCTTTGCCCTTCTCCTTCCTCTGACTTTTCTCCCCTCCCTTCTCCTGCTCCTGCCTCTTTCCTCTTTCCTTTCTCTCTTTCCTATTCCATTATGGATGTTTTGTTGGTGGCTCCAGTCAATTCCAATTGATAAGTATCTCTAGATTCCCTGCTGTAAGCCAGCAGGTGAGCTGAGGGCCCCCTGGGAATACAGACCCAGCGGGTCACTCTCTGCAAGTGGCTCTTAGTCAGGTTTTAGCAACTTGATATAAACTTTTATTTTCCAATCAGCTTCAACTTGCAGGTGGCCTTGAGTGTGGCCACTGCCAGAAGGAATGGTAGGGATCACTGAGCCACAAAGTGAGAGGGGAGGCAGACAGCTGGTTGCCTCCATGGGCAGAGTGGTGCAGATGACTGTACTCGGCAGGTAGTGCTACAAAGAGGGTGGCACCTGCTCTTACCCCCCTGGGAAGTGGCCCTTAGCTGTTTAGTGGCTCTGCCATTCACCCTCATGGGTACAGTCCCACCACCTGTCTGTCCTTTCCAGGCTCTTTTCAGGGACTGCTCCGTTACATAATCAGTGTGCTCTGGAAGCCATAATTCCACAATTGGTGACCTCTCCAATGAAACACAAGACTGAGAAAGCCTCACGGCTCTAATTATTTTGCCAACACTTTCTTCTGCATATCAATTTCCCTCCCCTGCACAATTCATATTCTATACATCTGGATGGCAAGGAGGATGCCTGGGGAAATTACATGGCTTTGCACATGAGATTTGTTAGAAGTTGGAAGAGAGACTATCTTATTTCACTTGATAATCTCTTATTTATGGGTTTGTTCTTTTCTTAATGTTAACGAGACTTACTATCTCCGTCTTGCTGTGACAGCTTTATCAACATCTCTGTGGCTGCGTTTCCATCTAGGTGGTGGAACTGTGTTCTAATTGCATTGGCATAAATAACAGGAAAACCCACTGATTGGGAATGTCTGCAAGCCCAAAGGCCTGGATTTTACACAATCTGCCTTTTCTTGTGGGCAGTGAATTTGCTAGATAGTCTAAGATCTAGAGCCTACCATTCTGTCCACTGCTGACAAGGTGGGACTTTATCAAACTCTTTTAATTTCTCTGGGTTCAGATTCTCTAGGTAATAGCTCCTTCTTTTGAGGCAGCAGGTGCTGTCGGAGAGGTACAGGTTATGGAGTCACAATGACCTTGTTGGCTTCCTGGCTTTGTGGATTAATTGCTATGAACTTCCTCATCAGTAGGAGAAAACAAAATTTTTTAAAGAGCAATAGCATTTTTTAAGTCCTTGCAAATGCTCTATGTGTAGCATTTCATTAATTCTCATAAACACAAACATAGCTTTATTTTCTTAATAAATCTCAGAAGGAGAAATGGATTCATGGACATATACTCATGTGTTCACTTTAATTCAGTAACGCATACTTTTGAAATATTTTATGATTGCATATTATAGTTCACAGTTAATGGTTGAAAACTCAAGCTGGGAAGGACTATGAAATTTATCCTAAGTTGTGTCCGTGAAGGTAAAGAGCCAGACAGGGCTACTATAAAGGGCCATACATGTTGTGCACTTCTCAACTCCCAGGAGGATTCTTAACCTAAGACAGGGCTCAGCAAACTACAGCCCATGGGACAAATCCAACCTGCTTCTTTCCTTTTTTTTTTTTTTTTTTTTTTTTTTTGAGACGGAGTCTTGCTCTGTCACCCAGGCTGGAGTGCAGTGCCATGATCTCTGCTCACTACAACCTCCGCCTCCCGAATTCAAATGATTCTCCTGCCTCAGTCTCCTGAGTAGCTGGGACTACAGGCGTGTGCCACCATGCCCAACTAATTTTTTGTATTTTTAGTAGAGACGAGGTCTCACCGTGTTAGCCAGGATGGTCTTGATCTCCTGACCTCGTGATCCCTCCGCCTCGGCCTCCCAAAGTGCTGGGATTACAGGCCTGAGCCACTGCACTCAGCCCCAGCCTGTTTCTGTAATAAGGTTTTATTGGAACAACTTCATTCATTACTTTTTTGTCTATGGTTGCTTTTATGCAGCAGAGTTGAGTAGTTGCAACAGAGATAGTATAGCCCACAAAGATGGAAATATTGACCATCTAGCTCTTTCCAGAAAAAAAGTTCGCTACTCCTGATCTAGACGACAGTTTGAACTCTCTTAAGTTGTTCAACATGGCAGCCGTGGAGCCATGAATTGAATATGTACCTAGTTGAGCTCTGAGTGACTGACTGATTTCTACCCTACAGGTTAGCTATGAGAATTAATGAGATAGGAATCTCTTTCACAAATGTTTACACATGGGACCAAAGATACAGGGACAAGAATGGTCATTGCAGCATTATTTCTACTGGGAAAAATCTAGAAAGAATCCAAAAGTCCATCTCTAATGGATATGACTAAATAAACGAGGCTACAGTTATACAATGACAGATCATGTAGCTGTTAAAATGAATGAGGCAGACCCAAGTGTGCTGAAAGCTGTCTGTAGCAATCCACACAATCATACGTCTATATAATAATGTAAGCTCCATATCTACTGTATTTTGTTACTCTAAAATGCCACTTATTGCAGGATGCACCATTATTTTATATGTCTATAAGAAGAAGAAAGTGGACGGTTTATAATGCCTTTAACTGTAAAATGCAGCGTTATTTCGAGATTTTAAATTTTTAAAAAGTTGCATCCTAGAATAGGTGAAAACATAGTTTGCTAGCATATTAATTTAAGAATATGTGTATTTCTGACAATGTTCAGAAAATATATATCAGTATGGATATATATTAAAGAATATAGAGATTGTTGCCAAGGAACAAGCGGAACTGGGCTTAGGGATGAAGGGGAGCTTTCACTTTTTAATTTTTGTGCCTCTGAATTGTTTGAAAATTTTGCGGGGGGCATGTATTACTTATATAATTTTTAAAACATTTTTAAAATAAAAATTACTTAGATAATAACTATGACATGACTTACCGAGTACCTGGCACACAATTAGAGGATATCTAGTTTCATTCTCTTCTAGCCTCTCTGCTTGGCCACCAAGAAGTCATTAAAAGAAGAGAGACAAAAATATTGGGAACATTTCCTAAACAAAAGGGGTATAACACATTTAAAGTGTCATTGGCTTCTTATTAAAGGTTTCTGTTTGGTCAACTTTTAAATTTTCCATTTTCTGTTTTTCCCCAGTGAAAATTCCTTCGTTAGTACAGACTGTAATGAACTCTACAAATACCATACTCTGTGAGAACGTTTTGGGTTCTAAGCTTCTTTTAACAGGGTATTGATCAGAATTTTTCCACGTGTCTTTACTGCATACAGAAAATGGAAACAAGTGACTTATTAGCCATAACCACAGGAAATGCTTTATTAATATTATTTCAATATGAAAGAAACATTTACACACGGTCACTTTTTTTCCCATATGCATTCTTCATACAGTGGAAGGAGAATGAGGACAGACCTGCTCAGAATAGCAAATAACCCCCAAGTCATCTGCAAAGTGAAAATTTAGCTTGGAAATTCCCCATGTTACAAACAGAATAGGAACATTTGCGCAAGTTGCATGCTTGCATTGCTTTTCCCTATTTTGAATCACAAATTGGTGATTTGCCATGACATCATACATTTAAAAAGACAAAAATTCTCACAGCTACCCTGCGTGGTAGGAAAATGCTGCTCAACTGGACTCATGTTCAAGTCCTGGCTCCCATGCTGCCATGTTGAACCACTCCAGGAAATTCAAACTCGTCTAGGTCAAGAGTCAGAAAACTTCTTTTATGTTTATACATGGAAAGGGGACATTTATATTAAAAGAATTGGGGCTATATATTTCAAAGCTGTAAGAGGCTTTGGGGACCATGTAGTCCAGCCCACTGCCCTGTGCAGGAATCCTGCATCACAATCTTCATGGCTGTGCTCAGCCTTGGCCTGCACATATATACGTCAGAGGACTCTCTGTTTAACCAAGCAATGAAAATGTAGAGCCATAATGTCCATAATAACAGTAAGCCTTGGGTGTCAGAGGAAAGGGATAGCTAATACCATCTGTACTTCCTGGAAATGGCTGACACTGTTGGCTGCTCCATCAGTTACAAGGGCTTTTAGCTGCACGTAATGTAATACTTAAATAATAATGACTAAATAAGAAAAAGAGTTATCTAATGTAACTAAAAAATATAGCATAAAACAATCCCAGGGCTACTTCAGTGGCTCAAGGATGTAATTAAGGAGTCAGGTTTGTTTCATCTTCTTACTCCACCTTATCAGCTTGTTGGTCTTTCATACTTAGGAAGAGAGACAGCATGCTCTTATGTCACTATCCTTTTAACAAGAAGGAAAAGCCCCCAGAGAACTTCCCCTTACATGCAAAGGTCTAGAAATCGATCACGTGGCAACCCCTAGCTGCAAGGGAAGCTGGAAAGTGAATATCTCGCTTGTTTAGTCTCCATAGTGGAAAACAGGAAAAGGTGAAGGCGTATTGAAAATGACTCCAACTGTGCCAGCAGTTCCTATTAATTCCTCACTTCTTTCTTTATAACAGAACTTTTTTGTTGTTGTTGTTTAAGAATGTGATTCAGGGTAGGATGAATCATTTCCAGTCCCAAGGGATGAATTATGATTGGACTAAGAAATTTAATTCCTCTTGACAGCTTGGGAATGGGGTGCAGTTCTGGTCAATGAGATATCAGATGTCTCTCAGAAGTCTGGAGAGTTTCTGAGTGACTTATCCTCTATCTTAGGAAGGATGCCCACTTCTTCTTTTTCAGAATTTGAACAATTTTGTTTGAAGTTCTGACGCTTGGAGTTACTATTGCCTTGTTCAACTTTGAAAGGATAAATGTGAAGGAAAACTGGAAAGATAAAAACAGCGCATATCCATCTGAACTCTGGAATTTCCTACCTCTGTACCTTTTGTTATGCATTACTATTATCTTTGGTTTACAAAAAAAAAAAAAGCAGATCCTGAGGCAAAGAACAAATAATCCCCTTGTTAAAGGGTGCAATATTAGGGAACATATATGACAGACAGAGAGAATGAAGCAGGGAAGGCGGAAAGAGCCAGTATGAGAAAACATTATTAAGTTTACTGTTCCTTAGTGTGACTGTCCTCCAAGAATGGATATAAACTGAATCTTGGGTCAGTGCATTATAGGAGAAAGGAGGATGATTTATCCATTAACTTCCATCTCCCATTAAGCAAAGATTTGCCTATGGTTTGTTAATTGCCTAAATTTCTGGGTTTTCCATGGATGGGTAGCAACTCAGTTCCCATACTGTCCAACAGCTTGGTGTTACCAGGGAAACCCTGGGAGGGAGATGAGAAACATGTGATGCGGGTGGAGCGATAAATTGAGGTACAGTCAGATTATGCCTAATTCTGATGGAATCTCAGTGGTGGCTAGAATGAGTTGGATGATACAGTGTCTGATACAGTCTACCCATTGCATCACCAGATCCTCTCTTTACCTCTACTTTGGAAAACAAGATGCCCTTATTTCTTCCTTGAGAAGAAGAGTACAAGTCTGATCCAATTACAGAGTCCCTATCAAGATGGTCATTGGCAAAACTCTCTGAGATGACTCAAGGCAAGAAGCCTAGTGAAACAAACTGAACTAGGTTAGGAGCTCATAATTCGTATCCATCCTCTTCAACCTCTGCTACTATGCTAGGTTTCTGTCATACCGACCAGCACTTGAGCATGTCTGGCTGAATGCAGGGAACCTGGAATTTCATGCCTGAGAAGACTGAGCCCTTGTTACCTTGCCCTTGTTGGGGCCACAGTTCCTGAAACTAATAGATTTCTGTGCTCACAGGGCATGGAAACACCAAAAGATTCCCCAGTGAATTCTTCCTGCCCCAGCTTTGCAGTGGCATCCGTAGTCTTTTATGTACTCAGAATCGACTAACCTCATCAGTGCTGTAACTAACTCCTTTCCTTGGCTGCTGATCCAGCGGCATGAAGAAGCTAACACACTGAGAAGATCAGAAGTGGCACATAAGAAATATCTAATTATATATATATAAAACAGATGTTGGCAAGGCTACGCAGAAAAGAGAACACTTATATACTGTTGGTGGGAATGCAAATGAGTTCAGCCACTTCAGCAATTAGAAGATTTCTCAAAGAACTTACAACAGAATTACCATTCTACTCAGCAATCCCATTAGTGGGCGTGTATCCAAAGGAAAATAAATTGTTCTACCAAAGAGATACATGCATGTGTATATTCATCACAGCACTATTCACAATAGCAAAGACATGGAATCAACCTATGTGCCCATTAATGTTGGACTGGATAAAGAAAATGTGGTACCTTTATACCATGGAATATTATGCAGCCATAAAAAGGAATGAAATCATGTCCTTTGCAGCAACATGGATGCAGCTGGAGGCCATCGTCCTAAGCAAATTAATGCAGAGGCAGAAAACAAAATATGGCATGTTCTCACTTATAAGTAGAAGGTAAGCATTGGATGCTCCTGGACATAAAGATGGCAACAATAGACACTGGGGGAAGGGCGGGAGGGGACAAGGGCTGAAACACTACCTATTGGGTACTATGCTCAGTATCTGAGTGATGGGACCACTCATACCCCAAACCTCTGCACTGTGTAATGTACCCATGTAACCAACCTGCACGTGTATCCCCTGAATCTAAAATAAAAAATTGAAATTATAAAAAGTTTCTATTACAATAGAAAATACCTATTTTTATGCCATTTTGAGTTGGATTTTATTTTTACTAGCAATCTAAAGCATCCTCACTAATATGTCAGAAGAAGTAACTGCTAAGGCTAAGATCTGACAGACTAGCAGAAATTAAAATGGACAAAGATGATGGGCAAGCGTGTTTCAGGCAAAAGGAAAAACATGTACAAAAGTCTGTAAGAGAATAAAAATGTGAAGCATTTGGGGAATTTAAAATGGTTCAGAATGGCCAAAATTAAGACTATTAAAAAAATTTCTTGTTAAGGCTTTCTATAAAATGCTGCAAACGTGCACAGGAGAGGTTAGTGCCTTTGAGAAACCATCATTAAAAGAAACATTGTGTCACTCAAAGAATGGCTGGAGTTGCCTTGCCTTTGAAGAATGAAATAACATCTGCTTATATCCCCAACTGTATCTCATGCTATTGAACTAAGACTTCCTCACGATTTTCTTAAATCCTATGGTGGCTTATGTTCATATCTACAGCTCTCATTTCCATTACTGTTAAGTGTATTTGTCTCTTGTTTTCTGTGATGTGCTCTTCTCTCTTCTCTCCATCATTCAAAACATCCAACAGCCTGGCATGGTGGCTCATGCTTATAATCCCAGCACCTTGGGAGGCCGAGGTGGGCGGATCACTTGAGGCCAGGAGCTTTAGACAGCCTGGCCAACATGGCGAAACCTGTTCTCTACTAAAAATACAAAAATTTACTGGACATGGTGGTGCACACCTGTAGTCCCAGCTCCTTGGGAGGCTGAGGCATGAGAATCGCTTGAACCTGGGACGCGGAGGTTGCAGTGAACTGAGATTGTGCCACTGCACTCCAGCCTGGGTGACAGAGTGAGACTCTGTCTCCAAAAAGAAAAAAAAAAAAAGAAGCAACAAAGCTACTTTATCTTGTCTCTCCAAATGCCAGTCAGCCAAGTCAAGGTCTATTGAATATATTTATTTTTGTGGGTAGAGGTAATAAAAGAGGTTAAATTGTAGCACATACAATGGCTTCAGATGAACTAGTAGGTATTTTTATTCTAAGATTCTTCTGCCAGACCTGCCAGGATATGGGGATGAAAGGCATTGACTAACATTACTCCTCAAATTTCCTCACCTATAGTTATGATATTATCCCTCACCTCCAAGAATCTCCACACATCCTCACTACCTCACTTACCAAGCAGCTTCCAAATTCTTCCTGCATTGTTATGCAGAGATATTCAGTTTTCCATCTATGTCTCCTGAGCCTTCCAAACATTCAGGATCATCCTTCCACAACCAAAATTGCTCCTCAAGGTGGCTTTGCTAAACAAATACATCCCACTTCCCTAAGAATCTCAACTTTTAATTTAAGAATTGTTTTCTCTACACTTCATTTGGGAAAGAAGGTGAGAAGTTTCTCAGAGGAGCTGGTTATCTTGAGCTATGTCTTGAAGATTAAGTTGCAGTTGACCAGACAGAGAGGTGAAGAGAGAATATTCTTGAACATAGACTTTGGTGCATGAGAGTGGTGAATATCCATCCCCTCTGTCTCACTCCTCCTCCCTCGGAACATCTTTTAACCTTCACCAAATCATTTGAACCAGTGGATGAAAGCAGGAACCCTGTGGACCTAGTCTGAAAGGTTACCAGCCCAGAGGCCACCAGCCACTGTCTCTAATAACACAGAGGAAAGTTCCTTCAAGCTGTGTATGTACCCACTCTAGGAGGTCAGTAAAGTGAGATGCATTGAACATTTCTTTTCACTTCTGGCCAGCCTCCTACAATGTAGAGGTTAAGTGTGCAGGCTTTGGAGCTAAGCTGTTTAAATATTTACTCACCCCATTTAGTCACCATGGGATCTTGGGCCAGTCACTAAACTCCTCTGTGCCTAGGTTTCCTAATCAGTAACATGTGGATAATGGCAACACATATGGTTGTTCTGAAGATTAAATAAGTCACATGTATGTCAACTGCTTAGAACCATGTTTGGCACAAGCTAAGCCCTTATTAAATACTAGCTCTTGATATAAATCCTTACCTAGGTTCATTGACAATGCTGGTGGCTCGTGGTATCTCATGTGTCACCCATGAAAATCAACTCTGGCTCAGGCCACTTCTTTTATGGCACAAGTTTTTATAATGGAACATGGTTTTGATGCCATCAATTCAGTTAATGGACATGGCTTACTTAACTCAAACATCGATTGCATACAATGGAAATAAAACTGGGAACAAAAATGTGGCTATGAGAAGAAAAGTTACCTCACACATTGCAGAGGAACACCCAGCTGCCTTAGGGAGCTGTTGTCTGGCTGCTAGGGACAAGTTTTTTTTTTTTTTTTTTGACATGGAGTCTCGCTCTGTCGCCCAGGCTGGAGTGCAGTGGCGCGATCTCTGCTCACTGCAAGCTCCGCCTCCCGGGTTCACGCCATTCTCCTGCCTCAGCCTCCCGAGTAGCTGGGACTACAGGCGCCCGCCACCACGCCTGGCTGATTTCTTTTTGTATTTTTAGTAGAGACGGGGTTTCACCTTGTTAGCCAGGATGGTCTCGATCTCCTGACCTTGTGATCCATCCGCCTCGGCCTCCCAAAGTGCTGGGATTACAGGCGAGAGCCACCGCACCCGGCCATGTTGTTTTGCTTCCCTTTGGTTGCCGCTAATTGTGCTGCTCAAGGAAGCTTCGACATATACTGATGCCTGGGTCTTACCTCCATGAATTCTGATGCAACTGGTTTGCACTGTAGCCTGGACTTTGGAATTTTTAAAAAAGTCTCCAGGTGATTCTAATTGCAGCCAAAGTTAAGAACCACTGTTTTTTCTTTTCTTTCTTTCTTTCTTTTTTTTATTTTTTTAATACCCACATCCAGATCACACTCCAAACAAATTAAATCAGAATCACTCTGGTTGAGGCCTGAGCATCAGCATGTTAAAGAGCTCTCCTGGAGATTTAATGTGCAGCCAGGGTTGACAGCCACCACTCTCAACGCTCGTTTATTTGGATCTAATCCTAAGTGCTGTTAAGGATTTGCTCAGTGAGGTCTAGGTTCATTTTTGTTAATTTTATAGCTTGCAATGACAAAATAAACACATATACTTTAAAAAAAGAAAACCTTGTGATTGAAATTTTTGCCAAAACCACTCACAATTTTGGCTTTGCAAATCTGATATTCTTCAGTTCCCTGAAATAATTTTATTTGTTTGTTTATTTTTTTGAGACAGGGTCTCACTCTGTCACCCAGGCTGGAGTGCAGTGGCACAATCTTGGCTCACTGCAACCTCTGCCTCCCCTGAAACTATTGTATGTAATTATAATGTGATTTTTAATAATGTGAGTTGTCTTAAGATCACAAAGCTCACGTTGGTAAGAGTGGACTGCTGTAATTTTTTTTTTCAGAACTTACTGTTTTCCTAGCAAAATTATTTCTGGAATTGCATTTGAAGAACCACTTTTCTTTAACTCTTTGCTTACATATTTTTGCTTGGCCAGGCCAGAGAAGGGAGGGTCCTGATTAGTTTAAGTCATTTAGCTTATCCTATCCTTATCCTATTCTTGTGGGTGTAGGGATTGGTTCTAAGATGAGTGCACGGACACTTTCTGGCCAATGAAAACTGAACTCAAGTTCAACTGTTGGGGAAGAGAAGCTTTTATCTCAGTGTGATGTGGAGCTGAGAAGGTGTGAGATCTGGGGCTGTTGAAAGACAACAGTCTGTGGGAGAGTGAAACTACACACACAGGAGGGCTGGAGAGTTGTTGTTTGTCCTATCTTGATGACTTGGAAAAATTCTGGAACCAACAAGGCCAGACAGCTCTCCAATTTTTCTCTTACCTGAGTCAATGAATTCTCCTTCTGTAAAAGCCATGTCAATTTGAACTGGAGCTTTTACTTAATTACTATGAAGAGTCTAACAGATAGAGCAGAACAGAGGAGAGTATTGAAATAGCACAGTTGAGCTTTTCAAAGTAATTTCTTTCCTACTTCTTCATGTGGTCCTTGCAGCAAAGAGTCAGTGTGGCAGAGCACTGGACAGTATGCTTCCTGAGGACAGGACATGAGGATGCTTTGGTCGATGTCTTCCTCACCTGGCAGGCACTCAGTTCATAACTGTTGAGAGGATGAGTGAACTCATTTTTATGATATGAATTCAGCCTTTCTCAGGACCTCCCCACCCCTTTATCTTAAATGATTCACAAGCCATTCCTTGAATCAATCTGCCGTTTCCTGCTATTTCTGAGCTTTTGCCTGAGTTATTCCTTCCACCTAGAATGCTTTCTCTGCTTCCTCTGCCTCCCATATTCTCATCCATCCTTAAAACCCAGGATAAATGCATCTCCTTTATGAAGCTTACTTTGATTTCCACCGGTCTGATAGAATGGCTTTTCTCCCTCTCTAAACTCCTGTGGGGAAGGAGATAAAGACTCAGACAGACCTGGGTTGGAATCTCTCCGTTGTGTCACGTCCAGGCTGTGTGACCTTGGGCAAGTCATTTAACTACTCTAAGCCCAACTATATAATGTTGGGATAAAAAATACTCCCAACTTCTTATGCATATTGTGGAGAACAGATGAAATACAGAGTACAAATTTTCTGTGGGTCGTAGCACAAAGAAGATAGCAATTCTTAGAGGTACTACTGTTACCCCTGTTTCACAGGCGAGGCATTCTGTGATTAAATAACCCATGCCTAAGGTCAAAGGACTCTTCATTCACTTGTTCCTTCACAAGTCAATATTTATCGAGCCCCTACTATGTGCCAAGCACTGTGGGTGCTAGGAGACAGTGGTGAACAAGACAGATGAAATTCCTGCACTCATATTCATGAAGGAAAGTGGTTCTGACGTAAAGAGATAAGAGATATGTGTGATGAATGTTACACGGGGGAAGTTTAGGGTATTATGGGGAGGGAATATCAAGATGTTGGAACTTGGCCATAAGACTTCCCTGAGTTATGATAATTAAATTGATATGAGAAGAACATAAGCCTTCTTCACCCTGTCACATAGAAGTCAGGTTTGGCCAGGTGTGGTGGCTCATGCCTGTAATCCCAGAATTTTGGGAGGCTGAGGCAGAAGGATTGCTTGTGCCCAGGCGTTTGAGACCAGCCTGGGCAACATAGCGAGACCCCTGTCTCTACAAAAATAAAAATAAAAATGTCAGCCTAGAGGGGTGGTACACGTGTGTTGTCTTAGCTACCAGGGATGCCAAGGTGGGAGGTTCACTTGAGCCCAGAAATTTGAGGCTGCAGTGAGCTAGAATCACCCCACTGCACTCTAGCATGGAGACATCTGGGGCTTCTGGCTTGGGCAGCCTGGCACCCTCTTTGCAGATCTCCAGGGGCATGTAGCCCCCTTCCCATCAAGCTGGGGACTGGGGGAAGAGGATGATTTTCTTCATGACTCTGGCTGGTCTATCCTAGCCCTCCTTATTAGTGCCGCCAGTCATTCTATCATTCTCCTTCACGTGTCTCTCCTCTCCAGCCAGACTTCCGATGATATTTCATTGTTCTCTGAAATTACCTCCATGAAATTTTAAATAAAAATGAGAAATGGGCTCTTACAGCTTCTACAATGGCTCCATGCAATTTTTCCTTCCCCCCGCCCCGGCCCACAATCAACAAAGTAAACACAGCCCCTGCTCACGGACCAGTTTTCCCTAGAGGCTTTTGATAGAGGATGCGAGATGGAGGCTTGCACACAGGCAGCACACAGACTGTCGGCAGACAGCAGTTAAAACTCTGGGAATTTCACATTAAAATCCATATTTCTGACTTCTGAAAAAAGATCAGAAATGGCAGCACCATCCCCTCATCTTCTCACAGCAATATTTGGCTTTAGCTGAGGGGCAGCTGTCTCCTGTAGATGAGGAATGCAACCTGCCATTCACCACAGACCCCACTTCTCCCTATTGATCCCCAGCCCAGTCTGCTTAAGTCATTTTCCAAGTTTGCTTGGTCTCTGAAGGCACTCAAGCTTGCACTGAATTTTAATTTGGATTTAAAGTGGATCTGGCACATTGTAAGTGGTGGATTGAGTAGCTATTATTAATAGTAGTAATGGTAATAATATTCAAAGAGTACAGTTCCAAGGCTGGATAAACAGGATATAGGACTTTCTTGCATAGCAGTCACATAAGAATACTGATAACCAAGCATTCATAACAACACCCTCCCTCCTTTCTAATCAGCACTCCTACATTAGAACGTTTCTTAGTAAATTGCACAAAATTCCTATCCATAATAGAAACAGTGCATGTTGCAGCTAGGTGATTATTATTATTTACTATCACCCGTAATTATACATAATTTCAATAATTGCCCAAACACAGACTACATGAATAAATATTCCTTAGGAAAACACAAATTAATGAAAAGAGAATCCAAGCTGGCAGTGAGATCTGTAGGATCCTGAGGGCACTTTCTCTTTTAAGTGAGGCCGAAGTGACAAGCACAGAGGGGATCACCGGGAACACGGGCTTGCCAGGCATTTGGATCTTCTTGGGAATGGATTCAGGACAGTGAGTATCTCTGGCTCAGTCTGTAACAATTTCTTTCTCCATCAATGACAAAGAATAATAGTTTAGCTGACCTGAATTTGCATTCTACTAAACTGGTGAGTGTCCTTCTGTTCCAGTGATCTTTCTTTCTCTCCTTTCTTCATTCAACAGTGATTGAGTAGCTGTCATGTACTGTGGACATTGTCCTGGGTGCTAGTGATACTGCAGGGTGCAAGACAGCCACGGAAACTGACTCGTTGGAGTTTATAGCATAGCATCCTTCTCCTCTTGGCTCTTGGAGTATGCGATCCAGTCTGTTATTCCACAAGTACTTGCTGATCACCTACCCTATGCCAGTCAGGGATCCAGATGTTGAGTAGTCTGCAGTAATCAAGCCAGATAAAGTCTTCCTCTCTTGGAGTTCACATATTAGAGGGAGAAGACTCATAAATACACAATTAAAGCAAGAGAATTACAGCCAGTGACAAGTGCTATGATGAAAACCTGGATTTGGGGCTGGGTGCTGTGGTTCATGCCTGTAATCTCAGCACTTTGGGAGGCCAAGGCAGGCGGATTACCTGACGTCAGGAGTTCGAGACTAGCCCGGCCAACATGGTGAAACCTTGTCTGTACTAAAAATACAAAAGTTAGCTGGGCGTGGTGGTGTGTGCCTATAATCCCAGCTACTCAGGAGACTGAGGCAGGAGAATCACTTGAAACTGGGAGGTGGAGGTTGCAGTGAGCCAAGATTGTGCCACTGCACTCCAGACTTGGTGACAGAGTGAGCGAGACTCCATCTCCAAAAAAAAAAAAAAAAAAAAAGAAAGAAAAGGAAAAAAAACCTGGGTTTGAATCCAAGCTTTGCCAGTGTCATATGTTCTTGAACATTTCACTGCTTTACATCTCAGAGTCTTAGTTTTCTCATCTGTAACGTGGGGGCAAAGACAGCACCTGCCTGTCAGGATCGAAGAAAGGAGTAAATGAAATATGGCATATAAAATACTTAGACAATGCCCAGCACATATTAGGCACTCAATAAATACGTATTTTTAAAAGAGCGAGAGATCTGCATCCTACTGGTGCTTCCAAGGTCAACTCAAGGCTTACCTCCTCCTTGAAGCGTTCAGTTGCCTCCCCCACCTCCTTCATGTCCTCCACCACACACAGTGCCTTCGCTCTTCTAGAACCAAGCTGAGTACTGCTGATTTATTTTACCTGCTAATTATCTGTCTCGCCAAACCTGACTAAGCTCCTTTAAGTCTTTTGCAACCCCACTCCCATGCACCTAACACCCTACTGAGCCCTTGGTAGGCGCTCAATACAGGTTTATTGATTGACAACATGTACCTGAGTTGACTTCCTTTGTCTTGATGCCTAGTCACCTTCTGTAGATAAGGTAAAGGGGAGATGTGTGTGTTGTGGTGTTGGGATCAAATTAGGAACCCCCTCACTCCTACAGGGAGGTTGGCACTCATGTGAGTAAGGCTATTAGGACTATAGTCCCCAGATTTACAAAGGCTGAATGCAGTAGATAACCCCCTCCTTTCTTGCATGAAGGAGAAATAAAGGATAATCGCAGGGCTTTCTTCAGCTCCATTTGTGTGTGTGAGGAGCGTTACACTGGCAGTAATTACAGAAGAAAAGGAAATGGAATAAGTGCCAAAGGATGAATTAGTTGTACTTGACCTAATTAAAATCTTGTAGAAAGAATTCTTCTCTTACTTGCAAAGGTGATCTAACATAACCTTGAAGCCATTGTATTAACCACTGTACTTTTCATTTTAACGGGAACAAATGGCAGAAAGATCACTTGGGAAAGGCAACATTTCACTCGCCTTTCAGAAATTAAATGACCCTGATTTCTGAACCACTTCCTCTCAATGAAATTAAATTGCATTGAACCCGGTCAGTTAACAAGGGGAAGTTAATCAAGCCAGAGGAGGAGTTCACCCAACTGATTCTCTGGCAGGAGGACTTTGGGAAGCTTCTGGAAAAGGAAAAACAAACAAACAGAGGAAAGAGGATTGGACCTTTGGTCGAAGTGTGCTGAATTTGATTTTTTGCTTTGTTTGAACACACACACATACACACAGAGGGGGACAGAGAGAGAGAGAGATGGAGAGAAACATAGTTGCTCCAGCGGTCTGGATATAACAACCACACCATGATAATGATCAATTGTGTATTTCTGATTGTACTAAGCCCTTTGTACGGGTTATCTCATTCATTCTTACATCTATTCATACAAGCTGCTATTATTCCCCCCATTTTGCATATAAGAAAATTGAGGCTCAGAGATGTCAAGTACTGGCTGACATCACATATCTTAACCAAATGACAGAGCTGGAGCCAGAATCCAGGTTGGCCAGATTCTGAAACCACTGTGGTATATTTTCAACCAAATTAGATGGGTGCTTGCCCACAGTCTCATTCATCACAATTCTGTGGATCTTTTGTTCCAACTAGGCTATGTCACTGATAGGACTGTTTTTCTCAAAATGCCAGTGGCCCTTTAATCAATGTGGGAGGTGCCTTTGTGGCATATAGGGTTATGGTTTCATAATGGTGAAACTTTTGTAACTTGCACTTAGTGGCTGTTCATCATGACTATTGTTCAGTATAAATTGGTAGGTGCATGAGAAATGCCATAGGTAAGGGCTTAACAGATAATGTGACTCTAGTCCTCATGGACTGATAATAGATTTTCCATCCAAATACGGGGAATGGAGCTACCAGTTGAGGTAGCTAAAGAGAGAAAAAGTATAGTGTAGTCATTATGTGTGCACACCTCGGGTTCTGATTGCCTCAGCAATCCTGGGATGTACCACTCTGTAGTTTTGCAACTTTGAGTAAATTATGTGAGATCTCTGTGACTCTATTTCTTCATCTTCAGAATGGAGAGGATTACAGTACCTACCGTGTAAGTGTGTTGTGAAGATTAAATGACAGAATTATACAATTAGCATACAGTAAGTGCCTAGTGAATGTTCGTTCTTAAGATTCAAAATTTGGTCCCTGGTCATCGAAAAACCTGAGCTTCTGGAAGAAGACAGAAGTGGTCAGTTCCCTGGAAGCTGGTTACCAAGAGAGACCTGTTCAGAGATGAACTGGGTTTGAACAGATGGAGGAAAAGGAAACTAACAGCTAGGAAATGGAAGTGTCCATAGGATTTGCTGTGTTCTCAGCAAATGTCTCAGGTAGGTGTCCAGGGACAGAACCCTTGCTAGGTAAACCTAGGTAAGACAGAGGGAGTGAATGCAACTCAGGAGAATCCCTCCATATTTTCATCCTTCAGTCCATTTATTCTTCTGTCTTTCTATTCTTCTATCCTTCCACCCTTCCATTCATCCATCCACCCATCCTTTCCTTCTAGAGTCTGCCATCCTTCTAGACTTCCACTCATGCTTCTATCCTGTGTTTCTGTCCCTTTTGTAATTTCATCTGTTCACCCATCCATACCTTGTAATCACCTATTCTTTTATCCTTGGTATATCTTAGTGGTGAAAAAGGTAGAATGTGGACATGGAAAGTCTGGGTTGAAATCCTATGTCATTTACTACCTGTGTGGCTTTGGGCAAATGTTTTAACCTCTTCAAACTCCAGTTTCCCCATTTATAAATTGAGACTGTCTCCTGAAGGCAAAGGAGAATCACTGGAGAGTTCTGAGCAAGGGAGTAACACAAGTGTATTTGTGCTTTTTTCCCCCCCAACTTTCATTTTTTTAATACAAATAATCCCATAGCATTTATTCCCTTCTTGTAATAACATAAGGGTAATCAAAACAATATGAATAAATGTTTATATTGGACAAAGGACATCTCAAAACAAACTGTATCCTTCTCAACAGTTTCTCACTTCGTTGATCATTTCTAGTTGGAGACACTTTGTAGCAGAGGAATATTATCTCCTTTTAGTATGATCCGACCCAGTTGTTTTCTTGACTTTGTTTTAGAATGAATCTCTTCTGCGTCATCTAATACAAGATTCATATACTTATCAAAACCAATGATACAGCCTTCTATCTACATATTCACTTGCTCATAGAGCCACACCTGAATCCATGATCTATTTTGTAAGTATCTGAAGATGAGGTTGATGGGCAGTACCATAACCCTCTGCACTCTCTGGTCCTGGCCATGGTACGCCATGGTGGAATTTTACAAAGAGCACAGCTACACGCTGCCTCTGAGAGCAACTTCTGGAATTATTTTTCCCCATTTTCTCTGTCTGCTGTGGAGAGGATAGAGTGAAAGGGGCAAGACCAACAAGAGGAAGGTCTGTTGGAAGGTGTTGCAAATAATTGAGGCAAAAGATGATGTGACACAACCAAGTCATGAGAGCTGTCACCTATCGTGTGCTTAGGAGGTGTCAGGCTCAGTGCTACATGCTTTGCCTGAGTCATTTCACTGAATCCTCCTAATGACCCTAAGAGTTAGATACTATTTTTTATTTCCATTTCACAGATGGGGAGAAGGATGCTTACAGAGTTTAACGAACTTGCTAGGATCATGTAACTGCTAAGTAACTGAGCTTGGAATCAGCCATAAATCATTTGACTCTGACATGCACCCTGCAGCTCTAGGCTGCTCCCTGTGCAAGGATGGTGAGGATGTCCTTGTGAGGTTGTGGAATAGGGACCACTTGCAAGAGGTGCTGCTGATATCAAAGGAGTAAGAGGACTTGACCCCAGCTGATTGTGGGAAGCATGAATGCTGGTAAGCTGACTCTCTGGGAGGGGATGGGAAATTGGGAAGCCTTGGTTTGTAGTGTTTTCCAATTTAGGTGGTATAAGTACTTCCCCCATGGCTGATTTCAAGTTTCTAGCATGATACAACCAAATGGGAGTTGGGAAGAGACAGCAGGAAGTACAGAAGAGCTAAGGATGACTTTGGAGTCTTCAGCTTGTGGCTGAGTACAGGTAGGCGTGGTTAACAGTTACAGGGACTTTCTAATTTCCCTTAGGTCAGACGCAGCTTTAAGAATTCCCTGAAAACTGGAAAACCGTTTCCCCAGAAAATTTCTTATTGTCACAAAATTCTGAAAACACTTCAAGGTTTTCATGGTTATACCAGAGCCCTTATGCTTCATAAAAAAAATCCTAGTGATATTTAAAAAATAAGTCAACAATAAGGATACATTTAGCTCACACGTCTGTGGCTTGGCTGGGGATTGGCTGATCAGGCTAGGCTAGTTGCAGGGGCACCACTCCAGGTGTGGGTCATTCTCTGCCTGGGATCAGCAGGCTAGCTCAAGCTTGGGCACACAGCAATGGCAGAAACACAAGATGGTAAATGGAAACATTCAAGGCCTCTTAAACCCAGCCCTTGACTTTGGGTTTGGACGTGTGACTTTTTTGGCTAATGGAATTAGGTGAAAGCAGCGTGGTACAGAAACACAAGATAGTAAGTGGAAACATTCAAGGCTTGTAGCTGGTACCATGCTGCTTCCACCTAATTCCACTAGCTAAAGGAAGTCACATGTTCAAATCTGATTGGAAGTCACATGTTCAAATCTGAAGTCAAAAGGTGGGGAAATCCATTCTGTCCTTTTAGTGAAAAGGACTGAAAGTCACATGGCAAAGAACATGGATGCAAGGAGGTGTGGGGGAAATTGAGGCCAGTGAAACAATCTTTCCCAGGGATGTCTGTCCAGGTGAGCAGAACATACCCTTTCCCTGAGGGAAATAGGCCTCAGGATTTTCAGCCCAAGCTTTGCCTTTAACCTTTACCCAACCTCTTTTGATCCTTTACCTTGGTGAGGACCTACAGGCTTGGGCCTCCTTCCTTTCCTCCTCTGCAATTGGGAAGACTGGCTTTGTCCCACCATTTAGAGACACAAGCATTACATCATCTCTCCTTTGCCACTTTGACAAGCCAAGCGACTTTCTCCCTACCAGTTTTTTGAGAAAGCAAGCAAACCCTTCAAAAAGGTGCTGCAAATGCAACTTTCCCTGATACATCTTAAAATTAGTGCCTTTTTTATTTTTACAAGTAGGTCTTGTTTATACCACACACATGACAACAACAAAAAAGAAAGATAATTAGACATATACACTGCAATCAAGCATAGTGGGTTCGTTGGAATCATTAAACTTAATTACTTTCACTTGTTATTCCTGGGGCCATAATATCAGTATTAAATGCCAATGGAATCTGCAGTATGTTTGATTTAGCTAAAACAAGGACTTGGTAATTTACTGCCTCTTTGAGAGATTTTTATCAAAGTGAGGAATACGCTGAGTACCTCCACTTGCTTCTCATGGGGACTGCTGCAAAACTCCTTTGCTGAGAGACTGGAGTGTTGTCTTTATGCAACCTGTCTCAGTGCTCTGAGAGAGGCTCTTCTTAAGATTCCTGCCTGTCTCCGGGCAGAATTAACCACAAGTGCTAACCACAGGCACTAAGCCCTTACATTGGGCATATCTTCCTTAATCCTCACAATTACCTCAGTTTTGCAGAAAAGGAAACTGAGGTCCCCAGAGGTTAAGTAACTTGCCTGAGGTCACACAGCATGTAAGAGGCAGGTCCAGGATCTTTGCCAAAGGAGAAGTTTTCTGAGTCCAGCATGGATGCTATCCCTCTGTTTGCAGTTCCCCAAATCTTGGTGTTAGCTTCTCCTTTCGACCTTTCTTTCATTTCTTTTTGATTAGTCTTATGAATGAACTCTCTCAACCTCAAATTCTGATAAAAGCCAAGATTTGTTAATGTTTTCATTGTGCCTGCCATTGTACTGGGGTTCTAAATAATTCATCTCACATAATCCTCCCAATAACCCTATGCTATAGCACATGTTCATTATATGTGGTTGTTATTATTACTATGATTACATATCGACATATCTATGTGTCATCCAGCCTGGGCAACAGAGCGAGACTCCAAGCCAAAAAAATATATATATATATACACATATATATGTGTGTGTGTGTGTGTGTGTGTGTGTGTGTGTGTGTGTGTGACTGATGTTAGCACCTGTGTTAGGCAGTTAGGAGTGTGTTCCTCTGCAGGTAAAAGCTGATCACAGCAGTTTCACCCAATCTTTATTTGCTTATTTATTTATTTATTTTCTTACATCATGTCAAATATAGAGTGGCAGCATGAGCTGTTATGGCTGTTCATGATGACATTATAAATGCAGCCTCCTTCCATTTTCAGCTCATTCATCTTTAGAGGTTGGCTTTTTTTTTTTTTTTTATGGTTGCAAAAAGGCTGCTTTACCTCCAGGCATTGCATGTGTCTTCAAGACAGGAAAAAGGAGAAAGGTGGAGGGCAGGAGGCAAACTCCTCTTCTGTACTATTATTTGTGCAAGGTCTCCCTCCCTGAAGTCTATTACCAACATCTGACTTTGTAGAAGTGCCTTGTGGCCACTCATTGCTCAAGGGAGTCTGGGAAGGACATTTTATTTCAGCTGCATACGTGAGTGCCATGAACAAAAAGAAGGCTCTTACGGTAAAGAAAGAGGAGAATGAATATGGCAGAAAGAACTAGCCTTGTCTGGGAGAGCATCTGCGGAGGACCACATCAACAAGCCTTGCTAATTGAAGGCAGGTCAAAGGATTTGAGGTATTTCCCCTTGAAAAGCTTCATTTCACTTTGTATTATTTCCTTTAACACCCACACAACCTTTTGAGGAAATTGGTCCACTTTCATTCTTAGGTGCTCTCAAAGAACATTTCCCCAGCCAGTTTCAGCCAGAACGAGGAACAGGAAGAGGTAGGGGCTGTCTCTGCCCAGGAAAGACCTGAACAGGGCTCATGTCTTCCCCAGCTAACAGGGATGGCAGGCTGGGGAGAGCCATTTGGACTGGGAATTGGGATGGAGGATGGGTGGAGATTTAATTATGCAATTATCTAGGCTTGGAGTCAAACCTCTCAACATGCTCCTAATTAATTGATCAGATGCACCACCTGCTGACCCTCTCTCCTCTACAGGCTCCCAGAATGCACCAGGATGGAGGAGGTAGCACAGAGTCTGCTCATGCTTGGGGAATTGGGGAGTTCCCCATTAAATGAGTGTGCAGTCAATTAACATATGAGCCCCGGGACCCTCTGAGCATGGCTAGTAATGATCAATTAGAGCTAGTAGATGAGGGCTGTGAGGAAGAGGGAGCTGTCTTAGCTTGTTGATTATGTGTGTTAGAAGGGCAGTGGGTAGACAGTGGTAATTTCCAATAGCCATTTCCAGCACAGATAAATTCTATGTTCCAGGGAGGAATGGAGTAGGAAAACAGCAGTAGCAAGTGTCCTGTCGTGCCAACTCAATAATGATAACTGACATGTGACTGTGAGGATTTTTTTTTAATTTTTAAAGAATGTTTAATTATAAGAATTATGTAAAATAATAATGTGTCATCACATTTCATGAGTGATTGCTGTGCATGGGAGGGACACTGTGCTCAGTGCTCTGCTTACATATCTCACCGAGTGCTTACGATAGCTTATAAGAAAGTTAACACCTTGTAGTTCAGATAAGGCTTGGAAAGGTGATGGGATTTGCTCAAGTCACACAACTAGGAAGTAGAAGAGCAAGAATTTGAACTTAGTTTTGTCTGGATCCAGAGCCTGTCCCTTTAAACACTAATCATTCTATCCCTAACTCATGTCATTTTAGGAAAATTGGATAATGCTAAAACGTATAAAGAAAGTAATCATCCATAATCCCAGTGCTGAGGGACAGTGCGTACAAGATATACTAATCTTTACCTTCCACAATCTTCTTAGCTTCTAGACCCATTTTCATCTCCTTTCATCCACCTCACTGCCTTTCACTTTTACCAGAGCTGTTCAAACCAAGGGTAAATAGCTGACTCATGGTGGGCCAGTTACATCTGTCTCTCTCCAATTTAAATTAGGGTCACAGAGACTGAGTCAGTTAGGTGGGGGAGGGTAGGGTTGCTGAACTGCAAAGGAGTGCGACCCATTGAGAGGGGTCCCAATGTGGAGTTGCCAGTGGAGTTTCCGTGATGGATATTGTGTAAGTGGATGTGTAAGCAAGGAAGCTGGTCTGCAATGAGAGGAAGAGGAAGCAGTTAGGATGAGAGGCAGATTTAACAGAACATGTGGTTCTGAAAAAGAGTGAGGTGAGAGAACACCCAAAAGATTATAGGTCTTTGAGATCAGCTTGTGCTCTCTACAATTGTGTCCATAGAACCAATCCTCTTTTAATTTAAGCTTCCTTCAGTGAGTTTCTCTTCTTGATAACCAAATGATCCCTGATCAAAGTACAACTACTGTTAACATACTGGAATGTTTTATTCTAGGCTTTTTTCCTTCTCCCCTCTTTCCTTCCTTTCATTCTTGTTTATAACCTTGGATGCAGAGAGCTGAATCTCTCATGCTTCTCATCACAGCACACCATTGCCACTGGTCTACGCAATGCCTTCTCATTTTATTTATCTCTACCCCATTCACTCCCAGTCCCTATTCCTAAACCCCTTCCCCATAGGCATCCACTCAAATGCTTTTGACATATATCCCTCATGCATGTTTACTTCTAAAATATGCAGTGCTGTTTTCTCCATGTATGTGATTTTGATATACTTACTTGGTGGTGTGTGATCAGTATCATTCATTTCCTTCCTTTTTTTGTAATTAACACAATATTTTAAAGTTCTATTTCACTTTTTTTTAACTTAATACTATCGAGACAGGTAGGATTGCCGGTTTCCTGTTTTGATGTGGTTTAGCAAAAAAGAACAAAAGCCCCTTACTCAAGCTGTAGCTTACCTAACTTTCATCAGCAACAAAAGACCCAAGAAAGGAGATCAAGACCATCCTGGCTAACATGGTGAAACCTCGTCTCTACTGAAAATACAAAAAAAAAAAAAAAAAAAAAAATTAGCCGGGCGTGGTGGCGAGCACCTGTAGTCCCAGCTACTTGGGAGTCTGAGGCAGAGAATGGCAGGAACCCGGGAGACGGAGCTTGCAGTGAGATGAGATTGTGCCACTGCACTCCAGCCTGGGTGACAGAGCGAGACTCCATCTCAAAAAAAAAAAGACCCAACAAGCTATGAACCACAAGATCCTGCTTTCGGGGCCTATGGACTTCCCTGGGGCCCGCATGTGCGGTTAGACTTAAACTTCAACTTGTAATTACCCCACCCTCATTTTAATGATAAAACTCACATGAAGGGGTGGAGATGTAAAATGCTAATGTCACATGTGATGTATGAAGAAGCATGTAAAGCCACTGTGCAGGTGCTAGAGAAAGCCTCCTACGCATGCCCTGACAAAACCTTCCCTACAGAAAGGCCCTATAAAACTCACCCATATACTACCCTCGGGGAAAAACTCACCCTTTCCCTTTTGCGGTACTGACTCCCCTTGTGCACAAGCTAAAATAAAGCTTTCTCTTTCTCTTTGCTGCTCTGTCTGGTGACCTCCCTTGATTTCTATCCTGGAAGACTGCAAGGACCCCTGCAGGATGCTGATGACACTATATAATGAGAGGAAATTTTGTTTATTTCAAGTCCAGATACCTAGCTTTCCAACACACACCTTTCTTTTAGAAACTCATATTGAAGAATAGCTTTAAAAATACCCAACGTTGTGAGGTGGTCTTTTCCTTGAGCCATAAAAGAGACTTCTCTTAACTTTTTCTTCCCAGTTTTACTGAAGAAGATGACGGATTGAATTGACAGGATTCTGAGTCTGAGATTGACTGAATTCTCCTTTGCTCTGCTGGCCAGAAGGAGAGCTGGCTATTTGGTGGGGATTTTAGGAGCTAAGTGACATGGCAGACTTTACCCAAGTATAGGAGTTCAGAGACAAGACTGGTGGATATGTTAATTATGACTCTTTTGATTGAAACAATAGAAACCTAAATGAAGTTAGCTTAAGCAAAAAAAAAAAAAAAAAAAAGAAAAAAAGACATTTACTGACTCATGTACCTTGATAGTCCATGGTGGAACAAGTGTCAAGAGTGGTGATATCCAAGGCTGAAAATGAACTGAAAGGGAATTGGGTACCTGTTTCTCTCCATCTCTTGGCTCTACTTTCCCTGTGTTGATTGCATTCTATAGTGAATTCTCCCCAAAGAGATGCAGGAAAGACCATGGGAAGCTTCAGGCTTACACTCTGTCTCCTTAGCAACCCCAGCAAACAGACAGCACTTCTTTCCCAATTCCAGCCACAGCCCCAAATTTGTTTCGATTAAGTTGGAATGGATCCCATGCCTTTCACTGAACCAGTCAGTATCATGGGCTTGCCTATGCCTGGGTCATGTGAATAGGCCTGGCTCCATCTGAGCATGTGGATGGAGAGCAAAAATGATACAAGGGTTCTATTACAAGGTAAAAAGGAAATGGATGATGGGCAGGCAATAACCAATAGATCTACACCAGCAGGGGCCAGGGACAATGCAAGAAAGTCCTTCAAGTGTCTATCTAGGGAGTTGGGAGAATAGAGACAAGACGTAACAGGTTCAAGCAGGTAAGCAGGGGGACCTCAACGTATATTAGTTACCATCCAGTACTGAGCCTGCCTGGGGAGTCCAAAGCCATCTTAAAGGTCAGGGTAAAAAGGAACCAGAAACTAGAGAATAAAGTGCAGTCTTTAGGATCAAACAGTGCTGGATTCAAATCCAATACCACTGCTTCCTCACTGTTGGACTCAGGAAATCTCCTTTATCTTGTAAGCTACATTTTCCCCAATTGTAAAGTGGAGATTTCTACGTAAATACAAAACAGAGGTATAAAAACATGTAGTGCCTGGCCCACATGGACCCTCAGCTATTATGGTGATTTGCCTTTCCAATCACACCATTTATCACAATGTGTCTAAACTGTATATTTATACATGTATGCCCCTCATTCTATTGTGAGTACTTTAAAAGCTGTAGATAATTCATCTCTTTCTTGTTCATACTTAAAACATAGTACATGTTCAAGAAATATGAATTAGATCAACAAATTTTGCTCATTGGAGGTCTGGCTCAGCATGAATTCAGTGAGTGGCTAATGATAGAAATGACACAGAGAACACAATTCCTTGAGAAATTCCATCTTAATCTTGACCAGAGTGTCATATCTTCACAGTAATCCAAATCTAAATCCTACCCTGAACACACCTAAATGCCAAGTCCCTGAGGGCATTAACCAGTCCTTGAGGTGTACATACAGACAGGTCAGCTAATAGTGAAACCAGGGAGGGTATAGATGTGAGTAACAGCATAAGCGGTACTTTATGAGCACACATATAGAGAGGAGGACTATGTAAATTTAGCATGGCAAGATTTTAATAAATGAGGCCACTGGGATGTGTGGGCTTTATATATCATGCCCCGTATTTATATTCCTGTCAACTTTCTTCACTGAAGCACTATATTTATTACAGTCCATTTCACCATTTCTCACGAGATAGATGCTGTATCATGTCAAACAAAAATAAGTGAGGTGGGGGTGGGTCTGAAATAATGAAAAGACTAGCAGAATATTTGGAGCAGAGGGCATGGAGGTGATTTGTGCTTGGCAAAACCATTCTCCTATTTCGCTCGAGCAAGTAAAAAAAATGTGAGGCTGGGAGTCCTGCTCTGTGTTGCTAGAAAAGTCACTCCAACCCCCACCTTCCAGTGTGGACCCAGAAAATGAGGGTGTAGTTTAATGTGTCAACTTGACCACTTTAAGGAATATCCAGATAACTAGTAGAACATTATTTCTGGGTGTGTCTGTGAGGTTACATTTGAATCAGTGGATAGAGTGAAGGAGATCACCCTTATTAATGTGGATAGGCCTTATCCCATCTGTGGAGGGCCCAATAAAACAAACAGGTAGAAGAAAGGCAAATTCACTCTCTCTTTTGGAGCTGGGGGATCCATCTTCTTTTGCTTTTGGACATCAGAGCTTTTGGTCCACAGGTTTTCAGACTCCAAGACTTACACCAGTGGGCTCCTAGGTTCTCAGGCCTTTGAAATTAGACTGAATTATACCATCAGCTTGCCTGGTTCTCCAGTTTGCAGATGGCAGATCGTGGAACTTCTTGGACTCCATAATTGTGTGAACCAATCCCATAATAAATTCTTGCTTATGTATCTGTCTATAAGATACATATTTATTATATATCCATTGGTTCTGTTTCTCTGGAGAGCCCTGACTAATGTGCCCTCTGATAAGCTGAGAAAATTAAGGGTGCTCTCACTCCCCAACATGCTTACAACATTTTGCACCCAATTTCAGGACATTCCTGAAGCCCGGCTGGTCCAGCTTGAATCAGGTTATTGTCCTCCATACCATCAACTGTGGCCAACAGGCAAAGTCAAATTATAACTTGGTTTCTCTGATTATGGCCATATTAAGACGGTGGAGATTGGAGTGATGGTGGAAAAGTTTTTAGGATTAAAAGAAAGGGCTTTTGCTGGGAGGATAATACCCTAGGCATCAAATGTAAAGTGGTTTTGGTCAATGTCATTCTTCACCTATTACTCTCTCTCTTTTCCTGGCTCTTAAAAACGTCTTCTTATCATGGCTTCCAAGGTGTGTTGTGATTTGACCTCCCCATCAACTTCTGCACCAATACAGATATTGCCTGTCCCACTGCTCAATTTGTTCTCTTAAGTTCTAAACGACCTGCAGGTCCCTAGACTTGTCATTGTCTCTCAAGCCTCTGGGCCTTCGTACATTATTGTCTCCCAGCCAAAAACACCTTTCTTCCTATCTTAACCTGCTGATTCTCAAAATAGCTAATGGATTGTCTCATTCAGAAAGCTTTCCCTGATCTTCCTCCCCCATCTCGACTTTCTCTACCAAGATGAGAAGTTGTTAGCTTTTCCTAAAGCATCTTGCATCTTGCTCATATTCTGTCTCTCCTCTCTCCTCTCTCTCTCATACACACACACACACACACACACACACACACACACACACCGTACCTCCTTTGCATTGTAATTGCCTGTCTACTTGTCTGTCCTTCCTATTAGACTGTGAGCTTTTTGAGGTCAAAGACTATCTTATATCTCTGTATCTTCGACACCTAACCCAGTACTCAACACATAAGAGCTCAATAATTGTTAGATGAAGGAAAGGTCTCCAGAGCTGAGCCCTTCACAGATCACAGGGGAAGGTTTGAAATGAGAATTCAGAAGTAGGCACCTAATGATGCAGGAATTATAGCCTTGTAATATTTAGAGGAAAATTTTCAACAAGAGCTTCTTTGGTTTCTAATTAGGGGAATTATGTTAATGAACCACCTTGCAAAATCCCTGATAATCATGTTCCAAATTTACCCCACTGGGTCTCATTTAGATGTAAAGGATAACAGAAACTCTCTGGTAATGAAGATAATTTCTGGCCTCAATTAGCACGTGCTGCCCTTATTGCACCCTGAGGATCTCCTATCAGCTGGACACAAAGAGCCAAGTCAGCAAACTGCAGCCTTGGGGCTTTTCCAAGTTCACTGTTACCTTCCATTGCACATTGGCTAAGTCTTCCCACTCAGCCTCACTATGTATTTAGCAATCATCTTTATGGTACTGACATTAAAGTCAAATATTGATTCTTTGACTCCATCTCAACAAATGTTCACTGAGTGATCCTATTGTCTGGGAAGATAGGAATAGAGTCATATAGAGTTGTCAGACATGGGCTTTGGCCTGCAAGGAGTTGGCACATGAAATATTAGCCAGAAATGAATGATGATAGGTACTGATGTTCAAATTTATTTATTCATTCTGTCTGTCTGTCATATAGGAGGCATCTATGTTAATCTGTTTAGTTTTAGTAAAATGTTCCTATTGTCTCCCAACCACGGTTGCTTAATTCAAAGTGGTCATTGTACCTTCTCGGGAAATGATGAAGAGGGCCAGTCTCTCTCTCCAAGTGTGGCATTGTAAGATGTATAACTCAGGAGCTGTCACACTGAGAAAGAAGTGACAGATAAAAAGAAGCTAAGATGAAGATGGAGGGAGAGTCTGTCCTAGTTCTCCTTGTTCTTGAGGCCAGAGTGTCTCTGCCCCTTATGAGGTCTGATTGTTAACCATGTTTTAGGGACTATGTGAAGCAATAAATTGCCTAACTTTGTTCAAGGTGGTGATAATTTTTTCCTACTATTCTTTCTTCTTTGCTTTAATATACACCCGAGTTTTAGCTGTCTACATGGCTGCCCAATATAAAGTTTATATTTCTTTTCTTTTTTGTTGTTGTTTTTTTGAGATGAAGTCTCACTCTGTCACCCAGGCTGGAGTGCAGTGGCGTGATCTTGGCTCACTGCAACCTCTGCTTCCCAGGTTCAAGCAAGAGACAGAGAGAGAGACAGAGAGACAGAGAGAGACAGAGAGGGTTTTTTGTTTTTGTTTTCTTTTGAGACGAAGTCGTGTTCTGTCGCCCAGGCTGGAGTGCAGTGGCACAATCTCAGCTCACTGCAACCTCCGCCTCTTGGGTTCAAGCGAATGTCCTGCCCAGCCTCCCAGGTAGCTGAGACTACAGGCGCACAGGCCACGCCCGGCTAATTTTTGTACTTTTAATACAGCCAGGGTTTCACCATGTTGGCCAGGTGGGTCTCAAACTCCTGACCTCAGGTGATCCGCCCACCTCAGCCTCTCAAAGTGCTGGGATTGTAGGCATGAGCCACCGAGCCCAGCAGAATATATGCATATTAATTAATTACAAAAAGCTTTGTAATTACAATTGTGATAAATGTGATGAAGGAGTGAGTGCTCTGAGAACAAATATCCAAAGAAGCTGACTAACTCTGGACATAAAGTTTCGTTCAGTGAGAAGGCATTTGTTAAGCAAAGACAGTGGGCTAGGAGAGGAAACAGCCTATTGCAAAAGGCCTCAAGAAGAGAAAGAACTTCTTCAACTTCAAGGCAGTTGAAGGAACAAAATCTAGGCATAAATATAAGGCTGGTGAGGGAGGGAAGAAAGTGGCCCAAGGTGATGTTGGAGGAGTTGGCAGAGTCCAGATGATGCGGGGCCACTTAAGTCAATGTTAGGTTTGGGCTTTATCATAAGAGCAGTGGGAAGCCATGGGAGGATACTGGGCATGATCATCTGTACATTTTAAAAATGCGACTCCAAATGTAGGGAAAAAAATAAATCGGGGTGGGGGGTGGTCAAGAGAGGATGTGGGGAAAACGGGAGATGCTGTGGCAGTGGGTCTGTCAAGAGATGGTCATGCCTTAGATTACGGTGGAAGTGGGGTACCTTAGCCTGAAGGGCTCAGGATTTTTTTCAGAGGTGTCAGATCCAAAGCTGTGCCTTTAATCCTTCTATGTTTGTCGTTGTCTGCCCCAACCCCCACCCCAGCATCCACTCGCTCCTCCCTTGCCCACCCCTGGTTTCAACAGCTTCCGCTCCCTGACCCAGCCAAGAGTCTCCAGGAAGCTAGACCCACCCCCCGTACAAGGAGCAAATTTGATTGGTCTGGGTCTGTTCTCACTCCCCAATCAAAAAACGGTTCCCAAGGAGCATGTGACCCCCCCCCCAATGTAGCCAATAGGATGTTATGGGAAATCTGCAAGGGACTTGTGGTAAAAGCTTAGGGCTCCTGAAGGAGAGTGAGAGGAAGTGATTTTTCTTATCCCCACACGTCTGTCATCTGAAAGTAAAGTAATACAAAACTGAGGATGACACCAGCCATAAGGATGACTGAGGGGAGAATAAAAAAGAACTTGGGTCCTTCATAGCAGCCCGCTTTCACTGGGACAAACTAGATGAGATGACACGTTTCCCAGTTGTTGAAGACAGTTTAAGTTCTGAATTATGTTAGCCACAGCTGAAGTAGTCATAACTGACACGTTCCCAAACATACACCAAGAAAAGCAACTGGGCACCCCCGGGGCTTTTCTTGGCCAAAGACCTGGATTCTTGCACCCAGGGCATTCGTTTTGCCTGCTCAGCTTGTCTGGAGGAGAGATGAAATAGAGAAAAGAGCTAAGAAAGATACAGATTTGATAAATATTTGGTCTCTTTCTTCTTCCCCTTCGGAAGCCTTGGATTTTCTCAAGGTCTCAGAATGCTCGGAGCTGAGCTGTGTTCAGAGACTTCTGGAGACTTAGGCAATCTCAGTGCTCCAGCCTCATGGGGATCCCCTTGTGGATCATTTGTTTATTATTAATTTAGCAACTGTTTTTGAGCATCCTTATGGGAAGTACAAATACATAGTCTTCCTGCTGATGTGTTTTGTTTCCTTACCTACAGCAGGCATCGCTAATCAATCGTTCTCTAAGTCCTGAGGATCCAGACTCAGTACTTTCAACCCCATCCTCCAGGCATTACCAATTGATCTGAGTTGAGTTTGGTGAAATCAACATGGCCCTCTTGACTACTACATGCCTAACCTTGTGCAAAGCACTTGCTTTAGTTTCCTGTGATTTCTGTAACAAATTGCCACAAACTGGGTGACTTAAAACAATGGAAATTTATTTTCTCACAGTGGTGGAGGCTAGAAGTCTGAAATGAAGGTGTCAGCAGGGCTTCATTCCCTCTGGAGGCTCCAGGGGTGAGACCATTCTTTGTTTCTTTCTGGTTATAGTATTTGCTGGCATTCCTTGACTTGTGACTACATCACATGATGTCCTCTTCTGTGTCTCTCTCCTCTGTGTGTCTACCTTATAAGGATACATGTGATTGTATTTAGAGCCCACCCAGATAATCCAGGATTAACTTCTCCTCTAAAGATCCTTAACTTCATCACATATTTTGCACATATGAAAAATTACCTCATTACATATGAGGTAATGTCCACAGATTCTGGGAATTAGGACATGAACATATCTTTTGGGGAGCCACTGTTCAGCCATTATAGCACTAGAGATACAAAGGTGAATAAGAAATGACCTGTTTGTAAAGAGTTTGTGGACTGATGGGCAACTGGCAACCACAAGACTGTGCTAAGAAAGAGGAAGATAAAAGTAATGTGGAAGCACCAAGGTACAACACTTATCCTATCCTTGGTGGGTGGCAGGTGGTCATGAAAGGCTTCCCGAAAGAGTCGGCAGCTTTGTTATAGTAGTTTACCCTTCATATTGTTTGCGTATTTATAAAGCTTAGTATTCTCTCTCTCTCTCTCTCTTTTTGAGACAGAGTTTCACTTCTGTTGCCCAGGCTGGAGTACAGTGGCATAATCTCAGCTCACTGCAACCTCCAACTCCTGGGTTCAAGTGATTCTCCTGCCTCAGCCTCCCAAGTAGCTGGGATTACAGGCGCCCACCACCATACCTGGCTAATTTTTGTATTTTTAGTAGAGATGGGGTTTCACCACATTGGCCAGGCTGGTCTTGAACTCCTGACCTTAGGAGATCCACCCACCTCAGCCTCCCAAAGTGCTGATTACAGGTGTGAGCCACCGAGCCTGGCCTATAAAGCTTAATATCCTCTAAGCAACCAATGAACATTTGACTTCCACTGTTGTGATTTGAAGATAATGTCCTAGTCCTTGGGGGCTATGATAATAATACCCTAGAATTGGTGGCTTATAAACAAATGAAATTTATTTCTCACAGTTCTCTGGAGGCTGGGAATTCCAAGATCAGGGCACCAGCTGATTTGGTGTCTGTTAAGGGCCTACTTTCTGGTTCATAGATGAAGATCCTCTCATTGTAACCTCACATGACAGAAGAGGCAAGGGAGTACTCTAAGGGGACTTTTAGAAGGGCACTAATCTTATTCAGTCATAATTTTAAAAAATGTGATTCCAGATGTCAATAAAGATTGGACTGGGGGAGAAGGGTCAAGAGAGTTTGTGGGGAAAACAGAAGAGACTATGGCTCTGCCCTTAGGACTTAATCTCTTCCCAGAGGCCCTACATACTAATACCATCTCCTTGGGGGTTAGGATTTCAACATACGAATTTTGGGGGGACATAAACATTCATACTATACAAGATATTATAGCAGCACTTAATGAGCAAATATAAATATACTCCCCTCCCACAATTAAAGGAGTAGGCTAGTTAGTGAGGCCAAGAGAATATGCTTGCTGTTCAGAAATGCTGAGCTTTGCAGAAGGCAGCTAAAGTCCTTGTTACAAACCCTTTCTGACATGAGTTTCATGTGCCTGGCTCTGTTTCTGCATAGCTATCTAAGCATCATTCCCTGCACAGAGGCTTGCTGATGCCTGCCTTGGTCCAAGTGCCATGGACTTGACGTCAGCTCCCTCATCACCTACAGAACATGTGGAGCAAGCAAAGGCAGAGGTGAGGTCTACACACCCCCAAAGATGTAGGAAAAAGATGAATTGGAAGAGAGCAAGAGAAAGTGACTCAAAACAGAAGAGGCGGTCAAAGGTGATAAAGCAATGAAAAGGAAGAAAGAAAAGAGAATTGGCATTCGATGGAAAGTTGCAAAGAGAAGTCTTGAATACTGTGGCCTCATTTGTCTTTTGGAGATGCTTACTTGAGGAGATATATCAGTCAGGACTCTTTGGGAAATAAAACAATCGCTTTTCAAACAGGGTGAAGCAGAAAGGGAGAATTTATTGGCCCCTGTAAATGAAAGGTCCAAGTTTTCCCTTCAGGCCTGCCTAGATTCAGGGATCTAAATAATGTCATTTAGATGTAAATCTAATCCTTCCCTTCCTCTCTGGGATATGATTTTCTTCTGTGTTGCTTTATTCTGGTGGGCCTCTGCAGATCCAAATTTATAATCTCTCAGTTTAGCAACCTCAATCAGAAGAAAAGCATTTCTTGCCCAGCATTTCAATCAAAAGCCTCAAGTCTGAAACTTATTGGTCCAATATGGGTTACGTGCCCAGATCTGAAACTTGAGGATGTCGTGGAGATGTAGTATTGTCCTTGGCCATATCTGGGGAAAGTGGATGTCAGCTAAAAGTGAACCTCTCCTCTTTATACCTCCCTCCACCCCCAAACCATCTAAAAGTGGTAGAACCATGGTTCTTCAAGGAAAAAAAATAAAGAACTATTTATTGCCAGGAAGGGAAAGAGGTACCAGTAATGCAAACAAGCAAACAAACCAACAAAAACAAACAAAAAACTGGTATCTAAACAAAAAGCAATAATAATTGCTAGTATTACTCTAAATCCAATTGAAATGATTATATTAGACTTCACAGGTGTTATTTCACTAAATACTCAGAATAGGTGAATGAAATAGACATAAATTGTGCCCATTTTATAGATGGGGAAATTGAGGCTAAGTGAAATGAAATTTTTTTCAAGGTCACATGGATTTATATCCGTATCAGTCTGACCTCAGGGCTTGTGTTCCTCCAGAGCACACCTCCTCTCTTGCCAATGACTTACATCTTCTATCTTTCTGTGCCTCAGTGTCCTCACTTGTAAAATGGACATCATAGTACCTTTCTCATTGGGTTATTGTGAGTGTTAGATGGTAAGTGCTAAATAAACATTAGCTATTCCTATTGGTGGTGGCTGGGCTCCTGAATGTGCCCCCCTGGGAAGCTATTCAGGGAAGCCAGTCTGATAAAGCACCCACAATTGTGTCTCACCCTGGTGGTTCCCAAGAGGAATGGGGGATGACTCTTGCAGGCAGATTCCAGGTCTTCTTGTCCTATGCAGGGCTTCCATTATTAAAGGATTCTGTGGAAGCGATCAGCTCATGGAATTCTGAGAACTCCACCTCTCTGTTCTAAAAGACCCATTGTCCAACTCAGAGGTGGGGCCACTTGGACACTAAGGAATGCCAAAGAGGCAAGCAGGCCCCCAGTTATCCAGGGAAGTACTGGATTCCATTCCTATTCTCCCAGGCTTCCTTTTCCTTCTTCCTCCTCCTTGCCCACCAGGGAGGCAGCTGGCTGTGCTAGAGATTGGCATATTCTCTTTGCATCTGGCAAGCTGAAACAGCACACTGATGATGGCCTGCAAATGTGAAATAGATGGGAACTGTTTTGCACTTCAATGGAATAACAGGTGTTATTTCTCCTTGGACGGTGGAGGATGGAGCTGACATTTCTCTTCTTTTGGGATGTAGGCGAGGTGCCTGTGACATTGGTGATTTCTGGGCACTGTTGTGTCCCTACTGTTTGCTTTGCACTTTATTTATGACATCTCATCTAATCCTCTCTACACACAACTCGCTGGGAAAGATATGGTTACCCCTAAGTTTATAGATGAAGAACTCAAGGTGCTGCAGAGAGGTGATATATCAGAGCAGGGACTTCAGCACAGATGCATCTGAGGCCGAGAACTTAGTGTTTCCCATCTCTCCACCTGGGCTTTGAGAAGCCATCCTGAAAGAGAGGACATTTGGCTTTCTCAGAGCCTCAGCTCTGGAACTAGACCAGAGGTTGGCAAACTCTATCTGTAATTGTCCAGATAGTAAATATTTTAGGTTTTGTGGGCCATAGGGTCTCTATTCCAACTACTCAACTCTGCTGATGCAGCATGAAAGTAGCCATAGATGTTAAGTCAACAAATGGTCATGGCAGTGTTTCAATAAACTTCATTTACAAAAACAGTCAGCCGCTGATATGCAATAATTAGTTGATCCTTGAAGTAAATCAGGGATCCCTGAGTTTGACTCCTGCCTTCTCCCATTACCAGCTATGTGACCTTATTTAACTCCCCTGGTGCTCAGTTTTCTTATCTGTAAAATGGGAATCATAATACCTCATAATACTCATCATAATTGTAATATCCCATGATATGATTGTGAGAATTAAATGATTTAATGCTTGAAGAGTCAGTGCTTATAACAGTGTCTGCGACAGTGCCAGTTGGCATGATGACGAGCATAATCAGCATCATTTCCAGCATCATTGAAAGGGCCTGGAGCTGTAAGATGGGGATAATGGTAAAACCTACTTCACGGAGTTGTTGTGAGAAAGAAGTGAGAAAACGTATGCAAAATGCCAACCTGCCAACCCCCACAGGTGACTCCCCACTCTTATCAGCTTGCCTCTGCTAAGTACTTCTACAAGCCTCCTCCTGGTAAAAAGACGACGAGAAAAGACCCAGTCATACGCCCTTACGCGGCCCAAGTTTTCAGTTGGACAGTCACTGAGCAGAAATTCAGGACTGCATAGAAGAGATGCCTTAAGCCTCAAGTTCAGGAAAGGCAGTCTCCTGGTGGTTTGGAGGGGCTTCCTATAGGAGTTGGGCTTAGGGGCCTCAGAGGGTACTGCAGTGACCATTTCCTATGGAGACAGTCACCACTAACTGAGTCTGATTACAACAGACAGGGAGGAAGCTTTGCCAGCCAGCACTGCCCTACCCCAGAAGGAACCATCCCTACTCCTTACTACAAATCCTCTCCTGGTTTTCCAGCAGATGACATATCCCCTGTGTGACATACCCCCACCCCAGCATCCACTCGCTCCTCCCTTGCCCACCCCTGCTTTCAGCAGCTTCCGCTCCCTGACCCAGCCAAGAGTCTCCAAGAAGCTGGACCCACCCCCAGTACAAGGAGCAAATCTGATTGGTCTGTGCCTGTTCTCACTCCCCAATCAAAAAATGGTTCACAAGGGGCATGTGACCCCAATGTAGCCAATAGGTTGTTAAGGGAAATAATATTTTGAGGAGTTAGTTAACATCATTGTAGGTTAGAAATATTGTAGGTACACCCAGGTGTATGGCTTCCTACTAGCCAGCCTCCTCGGAGTTTGATGGAAGAAGGCAGGTAGGAAGTGAATTTAGTGTTCTCTGTGACTGGCAGATGTCTGCACACGAGTCTAAACCACATTGGAGGAGGAAGATTCCAGGCAGAGCCTGAGCTTGGTCTCTAGAACCAGAGATTGGAGTTCAAGTCCTGGCTCAGCTGCTGGCCCTCTCTCTGGCTGACTTTGGGCAGCTCACTCCATTAGCACATCAGTTTCCTCACCTGTAATATATGCAGTCAAACAGGACTCTGGGAGACGGTACATGGAAGACTCCAGCAAGGTGCCTGCCACATAGGATGCTGTTATCATGATGAAGAAGATTGCTGGACCTAAAGGTGTGAGTCAGATGGACCTGTGTTTGGATTTCTTTTGAGCTTGGCCATGCCACTTAACCCACCTGAACCTCATAGCCCTCATCTGTAAAATAGGTACAATATTGAAGATAGTAAGATATCTAAGGTGCTTACTTCAAAATCTGGCACACTGTAAGTAAAATTTATAAATGACAGTCATTGCTATTTTTATTATTATTATGGCTGGGACTGAGGCAGGCCTCAGATGTAACCAGAGTGAATGGTCAGACGTGAGTCATCTAAGAAGACGGAAACGTCCCTACCTTAGATCTGACTGACAGGTGTAGGTGGACCATTGACCCAGGAGCAGGAGATTGGAGCTGTGCTCCACGTGCCTGATTTTTAGCCTAGGCTGTGAGTGTGACCATGTGGTTTGAGTCTGACCCTTGGCTTTTGGAACCTCCCTTCTTAGAAGGGCTTGTGAGGATATGGCAGAGGCCAGCCCATCAGGCTGCTTCTGCTGGAATTAGGAGTCTCTCTTGTCTTGAGCTCAGACAAGAGAAACAGTGTTGTGTCATGTTGGCATTAGGGCTGGGGTTGGGGTTTAGCTTTTGTGTTGCACGGGCTTCCCTGTGACTCTGTTTCTTCCTCTATTTAAAAGCAATGGTGCTTTCTGAGCGTGGTGGCTGATGTCTGTAATCCCAGCACTTTAGGAGGCCAATTGTTCGAGTCCAGGAGTTTGAGACCAGCCTGGGCAACAGGGGGAAACCCCATCTCTATAAAAAGTAAAATAAAAGTTAGCTAGGCGTGGCATTGTGCCCCTGTGGTCCCAGCTACTTGGGAAGCTGAGGTGGGAGAATCACCTGAGCCCTGGAGATTGAGGCTGCAGTGAGCCAAGATTTTGCCACTGCATTCCAGCCAGGGTGACAAAGTGAGACCCTGTCTCAAAAACCAAAACAAAACAATGGTGCCAGTACCTATTTGGTAGAGACTTTTTCTAGCACTTACCATATGCCAGGCACTGTTGCAAAAGCTTTAAACATATTGAATCATTTAATTCTTCAAACAGTCCTAGGAGATATGAAATATTATAACTTCCACATATTAGTTTCCTGTGAGAGATAAAACAAATTACCCACAAAGTTGGTCGCTTAAAACTACAGGGACCAGAGGTCTGAACTCCAGCACTGTGCTCCCTCCAGAGGCTCCAGGCCTGAATCCCTTCTATGCCTCTTCCGTCTTCTGGTGGCTGCTGGCATCCCTTGGCTTGTGGCTGCATCACCCTAGTCTCTGCTTCAATGATCACAATGCTTCCTCCTCTTCTCTCTGTGTCTGTGTCAAATATTTCTCTGCCTCTCTCTTGGAAGGACACTGATGATGGCCTTTAGGGCTTATTAAGATAATCCAGGATAATCTCCTCATCTCAAGATCCTTAATTTAACCACATCTGCAGAAACTTTACTATAGGAGATATAAACCATGAAGTGATTGAGGCAGGTCTTTATCAAGGTGTTTTTTTGTTTGTTTGTTTGTTTGCCAGGGTTGAGGATGTACCCGGGAAAATAATACAAATCACAAGAGCATCTGTGACCTGTGTTTTTTCCAAAGGGGGCTTTGGGAACTTCAGCCTTTCAAAGGGAAAGAGCAAGCCAGGGGGTAAAAAGGGAGGGAGGCAGTGAGGCAGAGAGTTACATTCTGGAGATGCTCTGATTAGCCTTAGTGAATCTACATTTTACATGTGCAAGAGAGTGGAGGAAAAAGTCAATTATGCATTGTCTCATACTCAGTAAATCTACATCTTACATAAGATGAGGTAAACATGTGAAAAGAGAGAGGAGAGGAAGTCAGGCTATGATACAGAGTTGTGAAATCACAGCTGTTTGGGAACAAAAGGAAGGCAGTTTTTGTGTGACTCAATTCCCAGACTTAACTTTCCCTTTGGCATAGTGAGTTTGGGGTCCTGGGGGTTGTATTTTGTTTCACAGAGGCAATATTCAAAGTTTCTAGGGATGAGATCCTGCTGCCTTTGGGAGCCACCACTCAAGCCCCGCCTCCCTGTTTTACAGATCATGTGGAAAGTAGGTGGCAGAGGGACCCCATTCAGAGTCTGCGCCCTTAACCACCGTGCTATGTTGCTTCCTCTGGGTTGCCACTGATGGGTGGTTTTAAGGATTTAATGAGGCAATGCAGGGAAAGCACAAAGAATGATGAGAAGAAGGCCGGGAGAGCCGGGGTTGGATAAGGGTCTGGGATAAAGCTCAGAGACGTTTGTTGTGCACAGTGACCTGGTAACGAAGAAAGGAGTGCTTTTGAGGCTTTGCCAGGAAATCCCCATGGTCAAGCCCAAGCCACATCTACATGATATGCACTGCTGTTGTGCACTTCCTTGCTCTCTGGCACTGTCAGAGCAAATAGATTTTTACTCATCAGAACGCCAAACCAGCAAAGTCGCAAGACGTAACTCACCCCTTCTGACATCTTGCCCTGGTTGGTCCCTGCTCTGGTCTCTGGGTCTCCTCAGCCTTTGACTAAGAGGAAATGACTTCAGTCATAGGTGCTAATGTATGTAAATGAGCCTGGTGCCTTGGCACAGGAAATCCCTTTTGCCCTCTTAATCCATTTCACCATATGCTCTGCAGCCTCTGTGACCTGGTGTCCTTAGCAGAGAGCAGTGTCCTTTCTGATGTGATTTTGTGGCAATATCTGTGATGAGTAAAGATGCATCCTGGGCAGCCTCGGGCTTCCTGAGGTCACACGCAAACCAAAGGCTTTGGGGTCCTCGGTCTCCAGGCCAGATGCTTTTCTCCCATTAATGCATAATATTTCAGAAGAGGGATTTTCTGTTCCTGCTCACTCCGAAGTGCTGTCCCTCAGCCTCCCAGGGAAGATCATGTGCTCCACACCAGTAGGGGCAGCAAATCCACACCTGGGATGTGGAGCTCCAAGAGACTGGCATTTGGGAATGTCTGGAACCATAACGACTCTCATGGCCTCATTGACTCCTACAAACAATGCGTATGAGCGGACAGACTGAAGTGGCACTGAGCTAGCTGGGGAATACAGATGTTCGAGTAAAAGGGCCCAGCTCAGCCCCAGTGAACATCCACTGGCCTAAATAAGAACATAGAACACTCAGTTATAGATTGTATGCCAACATGTTTCTGCACAATTATGGATCCCCCCTCCACTGGTCAATGCGAATGTGTGTCTTCTCTCAGTTATTTTATAGGGAATGTATGAATGGGAACATTTTATTTACAGAATTGATTGTGTTGAACATTGTTGGATACATCCTTAAAACCAACTTACACTACTTTTTTTGAGATGGAGTCTCGCTCTGTCGCCCAGGCTGGAGTGCAGTGGCGCGATCTCGGCTCACTGCAACCTCCGCCTCCCAGGTTCAAGTGATTCTCCTGCCTCAGCCTCCCGAGTAGCTGGGATTACAGGCCTCCACCACCATGCCCAGCTAATTTTTATATTTTTAGTAGAGACAGAGTTTCACTATGTTGGCCAGGCTGGTCTTGAACTCCTGCCTGCCTTGGCCTCTCAAAGTGCTGGGATTACAGGTGTGAGCCACTGCTCCCGGCCAGGTATTTTTTAAAATAAATTTTATTATGTATATTTAAAGTATGGTGGAAAGTAAACTCTCAATAAGTGATAGGTGTGTATAAAGGAGAAGAGCCAGCCAGGCACAGTGGCTGACTCCCTGTAATCCCAGCACTTTGGGAGGCCGAGGCGGGCGGATCACGAGGTGAAGAGATGGAGACCATTCTGGCCAACATGGTGAAACCCCATCTCTACAAAAAGTACAAAAATCAGCTGGGTGTGGTGGTGCTAATTTGTAGTCCCAGCTACTTGGGAGGCTGAGGCAGGAGAATTGCTTGAACCCGGGAGGCGGAGGTTACAGTGAGCCGAGATCGCTCCACTGCACTCCAGCCTGGTGACAGAGCGAGACTCCATCTCAAAAAGAAAAAAGGGAGAAGAGCCTACATAGGCGCTCCCTTCTGTGTGCATATCACAAGAGCTGAGGGGAGGCTGTGGGTTCTTGGAGCTGCTTGTGAATCACAGAGTAGGCATTTTCATCCAAGCAGCTACTTGCTGTGCTCTCTTGCTTGTTGAAGATGACTGCTGGTGTGTCCTGTGAGGCACTGGGTATGCAAAGCACATCCTGGCTTCAGAGTAGCCCCACCTCAATTAATAAGAAGACAGCTTACTAGGACTCTAGATGAATAGGAATGGTAGGCTTTAGCTAGGAAGCCTTTGTGCCTTTGCACCTTTTTGTCTACATCTTAGCTTCTAGACTTAGACCTGGGTGATGGTAACAGGGACTCAGAATGGTGGCGGGGGACCTGCAGGACCCTTACACATCACAGTGAGGTGAAAGGCAATGTGGTACGGTGTCAAGGACACAGGCCTTGGGTTCAGACTCAGGTGGGTTTAAATCCTAGTTCAGCCACCTACCAGCTGGGTGCACTTCGGCAAGTCATTCCGTTTCTCCGAACCTCCGCCTCGCAGAAGGAAAGAGAGCATCAGAGAAGTTAAGATATTTTTCTAAAGTCACACAGCTAGCAAGCCAAGCAGTTTAATTTATCCTCAGGACTGTCTGACTCCAAAGCTCAGCCCCTTGCTCCTATATCAGGCTGTCTGTTCCTGATGTTCTATTAAAACTATGGTTTTAAGAGCCAGGCGTGCATGCAGTGATCTCAGCGACTCAGGCGGCTGAGGTGAGAGGATGGCTTGAGGCCTGAAGTTTGAGACCAGCCTGGGTAATATGACAAGATCCGTCTCAAGAACCTTTTTTTTTTTTAAATTAGCCAGGTGTGGTGCCCCATGCCTGTAGTCCCAGCTATTCAGGAGGCTGAGGCCAGAGGATCACTTGAGCCCAGGAATTTGAGGCTGCAATGAGCTGTGGTCACACCACTGTACTCCAGCCTGAACCACAGAGTAAGACATGGTTCTAAAAAAATAAAAAATATCCAGCCTGGCACAGTAGCTCATGCCTGTAATCCTAGCACTTAGGAAGGCCGAGGAGGGCAGATAACCTGAGGTCAGGAGTTTGAGACCAGCCTGGCCAACATGGTGAAACTCAGTCTCTACTAAAAATACAAAAATTAGCCAGGAGTCATGGGCATGCCTGTAGTCACGGCTACTCAGGAGGCTGAGGCAGGAGAATTGCTTGAACCTGGGAGGCAGAGGTTGCAGTGAGTGGAGATCGCCCTTCTACAGTCCAGCCTGGGTGACACAGTAAGGCTATGTATACATATTTTTTATTTTATTTTATATATATATTTAAACTGTCATTTTAAAATGTAAGCTTTTTTATTATTATTCAGGTATGGTGAGGCCAACAGAACAGTAGTGACTGTCATTGAAAAGATGGTTTGTTACCCACAGTTCCCAAGAGGAGGGGGTGCTTCATTCTATGTGAGGAAGCTCCGCGGTTGTCAGGAGACAGCAGGAGCGGGAGGAAAAGAGGAGCAGGAGCGGGAGGAAAAGAGGGGCAGGAGCGGGAGGAAAAGAGGGGCAGGAGCGGGAGGAAAAGAGGGGCAGGAGCGGGAGGAAAAGAGGGGCAGGAGCGGGAGGAAAAGAGGGGCAGGAGCGGGAGGAAAAGAGGGGCAGGAGGCTTTATTGTGGTTTCTGCAGAAAGGAATGTGTGAGGCAGGGTAAGTGGATTTCTAGCAGACTCTAGGGTGTAGAGGCTGTCCCAGGTTGTCTGGTACCTGGCTCTAGGGGTGTTAGGACAGAGAAAAATTGGCCCGGGGTGTAAGAGCCTGGAAAAGAAGGCGTCTGAGGAGTATCGGCTCTGGGTTGGTTGGTTTGCATAGGAAAGGCATGACTGCAGGGGAATAGTTTATCTCTAGGAATTAGCTAGCCCTGGGAGGGGGAGTCTCTCTCATGTCAGCAAGACCACAAGATGTCAAAACATCATAGAATACAGAAAATAAAACACATAATTAATACAACTATCCTTGGTGAACTTTCCAAGCCATGCAGCCATTCATAAGGAACCCATGGGATTTCCAGATAAGCTTGCATAATTTATGCCTATTTGTAATATAACCAAATAACTACGATGTACAGTGAGATGGCTTTAGCTGCCAAATAATCATCTTGAAAAATTATTGCAAGTACAAAATAAACAAACACACACAAAAAACCCCAATAGCTTTCCTACAGATCAATAAAAATAAATATTAAAATAAAACAAGAATAAAATTCTGATCACAATAAAAATGTAAGCTATCTAGAAATAAACAATAAGAAATCTACATATGCTGTGCTACTGTATGAAATTCTAAACCTTTATTAAAGTATATAAGAGATCCTTATTGGGTACGTGCCAATTTATCCCAAATTAAATTAATATTATGCAATATTAATTAAAATATTAGCAATTTTTTAAATTACTGAATGAGATACTATAATTTATCTGGAAGAATTGACATCAGAAAATATTCAAGGATTTTTCTGAAAAAGAGCATACCTTACAAAGATGTGTTTACCTAACACAAATATAAAAGTAATTTTTGTAAGTGACATTTCAAATCAATGAGAAGAGTGAATTGTACATTAAAAGATATTGGATAAATGAACTAACAACCCAGAAAAAATTAAGTGAGAGCCCTACTTCATATTGTTTCAATACTTACATAAAAAGTAAATAAATAAATACAAAATTACTATAAAAATATATAAGTGAGTTTCATTCTCTTGGAATGAAGGGAAGGCCTTGGGAAGTTTGAAATCAAAGTCAGAAATCACCAAGGGAAAACACTGATAGATTTTATTATACAAAAATTAAAAATCTTCACACAATGGAAAACAAAGTTAAGGGACAAAAGGCGATTGAGAAGAATATTTGCAGCATATATTTCTTTATTTAAAATAACAACATAAGGCCGGGTGCAGTGGCTCACGCCTGTAATCGCCTGTAATCCCAACACTTTTGGATGCTGAGGCGTGCGGATCACCTGAGGGTGTGAGTTCAAGACCAGCCTGACCAACATGGAGAAACCCTGTCTCTAACTAAAAATACAAAATTAGACAGGTGTGGTGGTGCATGCCTGTAATCCCAGCTACTCAGGAGGCTGAGGCAGGAGAATCACTTGGACCCGGGAGGTGGAGGTTGTGGTGAGCCGAGATCGTGCCATTGCAGTCCAGCCTGGGCAACAAGTGTGAAACTCCATCTCCCTAAAAAAAAAATAAAAAATAAAAATAAAAATAAAAACCCCCAGCATATTGGAGTACTCCAGTGGAAAAATATGAGCATGATATCTAAATATGCGAATTCACAAAAGAGAAATATAAATGGGCAGATTATTTAGTCACCTAGGTTTTAAGTTTTAAGCCTCGTACCCATTAGTTTTCTTTCCTGATCCTCCCCCTCCTCCCCCTCTCCACCCTCCAATAGGCCCCAATGTGTGTTGTTTCTCTTTATGTGTCCATGTGTTCTCAGCATTTAGTTCCCACTTATAAGTGAGAACAGGCAATATTTGGTTTTCTGTTCCAGCATTAGTTTGCAAACCCCTATGACACAAGTTTACCTATGAAACAAACATGCACCTGCACCCCTGAACTTAAAAGTTAAAAACATCTAACCAGATTAATAAAAGAGAGAGAAAGCAAAAAAATATGTAGTCTAATATTAGTGAGATATATTGAATTGAGATAGCAATATAATAACCTTATTTTGCTATCAGATTGTCAAAAATTTAAAGATTACTAATATTCAGAACTGTTGAAGTTTTAAGGAAATAGACACTGTCACACACTGCTTGTGAAATCAAACTGGTGATTTGTTTTTGGTAATATGAGTCAGAAGCCTTTAAAAGGCTCATATCCTTTGACCCAGCAATTTGCCATTAAGAAATTTAAATAAAAGAAGCTGGGTGCGGTGGCTGACACCTGTAATCCCAGCACTTTGGGAGGCTGAAGTGCGTGGATCACTTGAGGTCAGGAGTTCAAGACCTGCCTGGCCAACATGGTGAAACCCTGTCTCTACTAAAAATACAAAAATTAGCTGGGCATGATGGTGGGCACCTGTAATCCCAGCTACTCAGGAGGCTGAGGCAGGAGAATCACTTGAACCTGGGAGGTGAAGTTTGCAGTGAGCTGAGACTGCTCCATTGCACTGCACCCTGGGCAACAGAGCAAGACTCCATCTCAAAAAAAAGAAAAAAAAAGAAAATGAAAGAAATACAAAAAGAAGAGCACCTGTGTGTAGAGTGCTAGTCACCACGTCTTTAAATTATTATTTAAAATAATAATGAACAAGTAGAAATAACCTAAATGTCCAGTGATAGGGAACTGATTATCTGTTGTACTTACATACAACAAAATTTTATGCAGCTCTTAAAAGTCGTCATGTGAGTTATACACATGCATTCACATACTCATACATAAGAAAGCCCTCCACCATATAATTAAAGTTAGAAAAAAAGGTTGCAAAAGAGGATGCATAATATGATCCCGTTTTAGTAAGAAATAATATAATCCTTTTTTAGAAGAAAGATCTAAAAGATTAGACACCAAGTTGTTAATGATCATTACTTCTGGGTGGTAGATGAATGGTGATTATCTTCTTCTGTATACTTTTATATATATTCTGAACTTATTGCAGAGGACATGTATTTTTTATAAGCAGAAAAATACTATAAATCTGTTAGAAAGTAATTTCTCAGCTGTTTTTCCCCTTAATAGGGGACATTCAGATGATTAGCAGCGGGAGGCACGGAGGATGAAGCTGGGTAAAAGAATTGTCAGTTTCCTGTCTTCAATTCTGGCTATCATAGGCTGAAAATCAGTAGAGAGATGTTTCTGCAGAACATCCACGGCTCTGACCTTCACTGTAAAATGAAATTAGAATGCCTCTTGAAAAGAGAATGTTTTCTCTCCAAGTTTGCTATAAATATTTACAGTGGAAAATATGGATTATGTCAAATGTGATTGAAGAAACCAACACAGAAAGTCCAGTTTCTGTGCAGACACAAGCATGGCAAGGAGGTAACTGATGGAGGAGGTGGTTATCAGAAGGCTCAGTTGATTTGAGATTACTTTGACAGATGGATGGTGCTGATGTTTTTGGATAAATGACAGAACTTATTGGATAGCCTGTACCTTATTATGCTCCCACCATCGGGATTCAAGCTTTGGGCTAAGGAGGGTATGTAGGATTTGTTACGTTTGAAATGCAATCAGAAAAAGAGGACATCTCACTGGCATAATTATGTTCTGGGGCCCTCTAAGAGGGTAATTCCCACTCATTAAGTGGCATTTGCTCACCTCAGCAAGCCACTCTTGGTGACCGTCTATCATGCAGGCATACTAGCACATCCATGGGGTCTCTGCTTCTCCTGTGGCACGCAGGCACAGAGATAAATAGTTCTCTATTTGTGCCAGCCCACCCCAGGTATGTTTGTAGATTAAACACTACCCAAACATCTGGCTCATCCAGGTTTCTGGGACTGTGCTGGGAAATAGGTTAAGAAAATTGAAGCATAGAGTATTGGTGGGAGAGGGTATGAAATTTGGAGAATTGCATCTGAAAAGCAAGCTTAGGGTCAAGTTTGAAAGGGATTTGAATACTTTCCTAATGAATTTGACTTATCCTTGTTTCATAGCTTTGTCAACTCTTTTTAAAAATTATTTTTAAGAGAGAGGGTCTCACTCTGTCTCCCAAGCTGGAATGCAGTGGTACAATCATAGCTCACCGTAGCCTCGAACTCCTGAGCTCAAGCTGTCAACTCTTGATCTAAGCAAAACTATAGATGGGAAATCTGTGATGTTAAAGCAACCTCATTTTTCAGATTACCTCCTTAACCAAACATTCCAGATCAGCTAACCAAAGTAATGGAAAGGTTTCAAATCATCTTAACTGGGAGGCTCTGGAATTGGAGTTTGTATGGATTAGGATGAGCTAGGCTATGTGTGGTAACAAACAACCCGACTCAGTACCTAAAATGATGGACTTATTTCTTGCTCACATTCCATGTCACTTTTGGGTCACTGTTCTCATTTAGAGATGCAGGTAAATGGAGCCTTCACCATCTGGAGGTGGGAAGAACATGAGTTGTGCACCAGGTATTAGAGACTTCCATGTGGGAGAGGCACAGCTCCCTTCCACCCATAATTCGCTGGCTGCGCAACATCACTTGGCTTTATGGAGGCAGAGAAGGGTGATCCTAGTTTGTGCCCAGGAATAAGAGAACCAAAGTGATGGTGAACAACACCAATGACCACTCCAGAAGCAGAGGAGTGTTTCTCTCTTCTTGGCTGTGTTATTTTAGGCAAGTCACTAAACCTTTCTGAGTTTTTTTTAAAAATATATTTTTTCAGTAAAAAAAAAAAAAAAAAAAAGGTAGAAAAGCCTAGAGCCTAGAATTCTATTTTTGTATCCCTTGCCCTCTTCCTCCCTCCCTAAATATAAAGGTAGGGTGTGACATGACTGAGTACAAAAGGGTCAGGTTCTTTCTTAGAGCACAGGCAGATATCCAGTGAGCCTGGGAGCAAGGGAGATGAAATTTAACCTCAGAGTCCATAAAAAATTTACAGAATTGCAAAGTGCCAAGCAAAAATACAAAAGAGTTCTCTGCACTCCGGGAAATTATTGAAGCCATAAAGATTCCTGCTCTTGCAGATGAGGCAGTTGGTGAGTGGAGCAGAGCAAATCAATAATGTCATACTTCTCGCCCGGATCAAAATACTCAAGGAAATAGCTGCAAAGTAAGAGGGGACAAGGTCCGTCTCGGTCAATCACTGCACTGGGTAATGCCATAGCAGAGCACAGTCTAATAGTCTGGCCTGGAATTTTAAAAGCCAGGAAAGTGTTTAATCAAAATTTGGAGCCATTGTAGATTCTAAAGGATAATTACTCAGCACTTTGGCAGAGGAGAGTCCTAGAGAAAGGATCTGATGGAGGTTGCGCATATTTAAATGAATGCTGGTTTTGTGAGAATTCTCAGGTAAGACCGGGCAAGAATAATTCCCTTTTAGAGGACCGAGAAGCTGGGTACCACAAGGTGATGCTCATAAAAGACTGTATGTGCCTTGCTTACTGATGCATCCTCTGCTTTAGCACAGTGCCAGGTACATCCGTTTGTCTGTCTGTCCATCCGTCCATCCATTCTTCTGACAAAAATTTCTTAAACACACACTATGTGACAAGCACAGTTTTAAGCACTGAGATACAGCAATAAACTAGACAGTCTAGGTCCCTGCTGTCATGGAGCTTGCATTATAACAGGGAAGATATAATAAGCAAGAAAATAAATTTCATCCTATCAGATAGTAGTAGATGTTAAGAAGACAATAAAGTGAGCAGTGAAGAGGAGACTTAGGATGCCCTCGGATGCTCAGGGCCTTTATGAGAGGACATATTCAGGCTGAGATCTCAAAGACAGATCCAGTCATGGCATCCAGAAGGAAGAGAACTACAGGCCGAAAAAACAAGAGCAAAGGCCCTGAGATGGGAACAAACTTGGCATGTTTGAGGGGCTTCAAGAAGACCAGTGTTGGGAGGGAGACAGTAGGAGCAGAGGGTAGGGAGTTAGGGAGGGACTAGAAGGTATAGAGCTTTATAGGCTATGATAAGTCACATAGTAGGTGCTCATCATCATTTATTGAATGACTTACTAACCAACTGACTGAAGCGACTGCATGTGGTGACTTACACTGGGTTGTACAGATATTTAATGGCTGTATTGAGACTAGAACTTCAATGCTGCATCCTCCAGTAAGATCATAATACTCCCTGATAGTTTGGGAGTAGTAGAAATGGTAGATTTTGGTGTGACAAATATAATATCTTACATTTGTTAAGCCCTTATATTTATGCAACTTCACGCATATGGTTGACCTGCCTACATCTCTGTTTACTGCTATTATCTTTTTTTGAAAAAACTGTTTTTTAGTTGACAAGGAAAAATTTTATATATTCATGGTATACAACATAATGTTTTGATATATGTATACATTGTGAAATGGCTAAATCAAGCTATTTAATATATGCATTATATCACGTACTGATCAATTTTTGTGGTGCGAATACTTGAAATCCACACTCTGAGCAATTTTCTAGTATACAATATATTAACTGTAGTCACCATGATGTACTTTTTTTTCTTTTTTCTTTTTCTTTTTTTTTTTTTTTTTTGAGATGGAGTGTCGCTCTGTCACCCAAGCTGGAGTGCCATGAGGCGATCTTAGCTCACTGCAACCTCCGCTTCCCAGGTTCAAGTGATTATCCCGCCTCAGCCTCCCAAGTAGCTAGGACTACAGGGTGTGCCACCACACCCAGCTAATTTTTGTATTTTTTTTTTTTTTCAGTAGAGACAGGATTTCACCGTGTTGGCCAGGCTGGTCTCAAAATCCTGACCTTAGGCGATCCACCCACCTCGGCCTGCCAAAGTACTGGGATTACAGGCATGAGTCACTGCACCCAGCCGTTTTTCTTTAATAGATGAGGAAACCAAAGCTCAGAGAGTTTGAGCCACTGACCTAAGTGATCACTAACAGAAAATGGTCAATGGATTGGTAATCCCCCGATACTTTGTTCATTGCTATATTCCCAGCTCTTAACATGGCCCCTGATAAATAACAACCGTTTAATATATTTTGTCAAATGAACAAATAAATCTGCATTTCAACAGAAATGAAATCATATTATACAATTTGCTTCTGAACCTACTTTTTCTGACTGTGAACATTTTTTATCATCAGTAAAAGCCTACATTGTTATCTTTAGGGATGGCATTGTATATCATCACATAGATATATCTCCATTTATTTTACCAGTTTCCCGTTATTGGGTATTTGGTTGTTTTCATTTTTTTTTTTCACTATTACAAACATTTCTTCCAATAGAAAATTCTTTTTTGTTTTGTTTTGTTTTGAGACAGGGTCTCACTCTGTTGCCCAGGCTGAAGTGTAATGGCGTGATCACGGCTCACTGCAACTTCCACCTACCTCCTGGGCTCAAGCAATCCTCCCACCTCAGTCTCTAGAGTAGCTGGGACCACAAGCGCATGCCACCATGCCCAGCTAATTTTTTTTTGGTATATTTTGTAGAAACGGGGTCTCATCTTACTGCCCAGGCTGGTCTCCAACTCCTTGGCTGAAGTGACTCACCCGTTTCGGCCTCCCAAAGTGTCGGGATTACAGGAGTGAGCTGCCGTGCCCAGCCTTGGCAGTTCTTGATCTGACATCTCTGCACATCTGTCTAATGATGTTCTTGAGCTAACCTCTCCTCTCCATAGAAATACTAAATGAAATAGGTATACATTTTAGAAACTTGGGAGATGTAAACCGAAACTGTTTTTTGGAAAGACTGGGTCTTTCTCAGCATGTTCCATTTGGATGCCACCCTTGAGGAACATAAATAAACTGCTGTGTGTTCACAGAACAGGATCAGGAGAGCATGGTTGTTACATGAGTAAGAAGAGAGGGAAAAGATCCCACTGAGGCTGAGAGAGAGGCAGGTAAGAGGAGCCCCAACAGCAGTCTTCACAGATGTAGAAAACTGAGTCTGATTGCAGAAGTCAAAGGACATAGCTGAAAACAAACTTTATGAAAAGTAGTCAGTGTCAAGTTTAAATAGTAGAGGCTTTCAGATAATGGGCTGGGAGAACTCAGCCAAAGAGGCATTCATGCAGAAGAAAAGTGCTCATGGAGCAGTCACCAGCTGGAAACATGTGTTGTCCAAGTCATTTCAGTGAATTTGACCTTTGTGGGGTTTTCACCATTTCTTTTTGTTTCTCTGGGAGGCAAACTGGGTATATAGAATAAGAGTAGTTTTTAGAGATCTATAGAGCTGGCTTTGAATCTAGACTCCATTGACTTGCTGTGTGACCTTGAGTGATTTTCAGATATTTTTGAACCTCAGTTTTCACATCTGTTAATTGGGAATAAAAACACCTGCCCCACTGGGTGGATAGAAAATTAGATGAGATCATTTTCATGTGTATAATCTAGATGAAAACAGGACAGCCCATCAGGTTGAGTTCTTTATCCCCGAATATCTCTCCTCAATGTTTCTGGGAGGCTCTTAGGTGACCCTTTTAAACTGGCAGGTTTTCCATTCCTGACTCATTATGTCTCTGCAGTGCTGTCTCCTTGCCAAGGCCCCTCCACTCTAATGGCTGAAGCTGTCCTCTGTTGATGACCCCCATGCTGCTATGGCCTCAGCAGGGGCCGCTATTTGCATTCATTTATTCTACAAATATTGACTGAGCACCTACTAATGTGCCAGGTACTGTCCAAGGTGCTGGACATTCAAGAGTGAGAAAAATTGGATATGGCTCTTGCCCTTGTGGTACTTATAATCTAATAGGGGAGAAGGATACTGATTAGACAGTCTCACAAATATATATGTAATGGCAAAGCATAAATATAATAATTAAGGAGTTATGAAAGAGTTTCAGGAAAAATTGAATGACTTTGGGAGGTGAGGGTTATGGAAATCTGGGAGGGTTTTCTTGAGGAAGTGACATTCTAGATGACAGCTCAGAGTAAGCAGGAGTAAGCAGACAAAGGTGGTGGGGAAGGCATTCCAGGCAGAGAAACGGTGTGTGCAAAGACCCCGAGGCACAGGGAATGGAACATATTTGAGGAACTAAAGGAAGACGAAAGTGGCATGTCTACTTCATTCTAAGTGCAGGGCAGGCACTTTGCCTTAATGCCCCACATGAGAACAGAGAGCAAGATGTAGCTTTTAGCAAGTTTTTACTGGTAATTTGGGACCAGTTTAAAAGGAAGCCAAACAAAACCATTTACAATGATTGGATAGGCCCAGATGTATCGTCAGATTCCCTTAACTGTCTGGCTTCATGTCTCTCAATTTCTCCATGGCTGGGCCTCAGTTTCCCCCTCCTCTCACCAGAAACACTTCAAGCATCTCTACTCTATTCTATGGAGTCCAGGCCAAACTGGCTCCCAGTCAAGAGGGAGGAGACAGTTTCGGATGGCCTCCATTTAAGGTCAATTTTTAGAATCCTTATCTCCTGCTTCAAGACTGAGCACTCTCCAGAAGGTTTGACTATGAGAACATCTCTCCTCTTCAAGGGAAACCCCATACCCACCCACAGAGGTATTGTTGCTCCCTCCCACACAGATAGAACAAGTCACATCCAATATTTTGTGTCATTTCATGTTAAGTAAAGCCACAAATGAGGCAATGACATCCCAGTCCAGGTAAGGCTGGGCTGCCCTCAGAGCATTTTATTTTCAATCTGTTCTTATCATAGGTTGAAAAATCTTAGGGTCTGGTCTCAGGATCAACTTGCATGACCCATATTGCTGGTGGTGCCCCAATATTCATTATCCTCTTCTTCTTTGTAATAGAAACCCTGATTTCTAACTGGATCCATGCCACCTGGATCAAAGACTATATTTCCCAGCCTTCTTTGCAGCTGGGAAAAGTCATATGACTAAGTTCTGGCTCATGGGAAATGTATAATTATGCAGTCTGTACTTGCACATACTTAAAGGAAAGAAGCATTTCTTTTCCCAGCTGGCTGGAAGGTAGAAATGCACCGTCTTGGACAGGGTGAATGAATGCAATGCCTAAGACAGCAGAACAACAATATAGGAAAAGCCTGAGATTTCTGAAATCATGGAACCTTCATTCCAGCCCTGGACAACTTACTTCTAGACTACTAAATGAGAGCAAAATAAAATTCAGTATTATTTAACCATTATTACTTGGGGGTTTCTGTTTTAGCAACCAAACTTGTATTCTAAATCATATAGTTTATCATTGTGTAAGACACATGGAACATAGTAGGTGCTCACTAAATTGTAGCTGTTGTTCATTTCTAGAGTTCTCCACCTAACAGTGGGAATGAAATTGTAGGCACTTATGGACTGTTCTTGCAGGGATAACCTTTACAAGAGGTGCCTTAATGGAGATGAAGCAATTTTGGATTAAGATAGATCTTTATGGAAAAAAATAAATGAAAATGACAGTAATACATTTGGTAAATCTGTGCAGATGCACAAGACATATTTTATGATGTAATGGGGATTTAAATGTGAATTTCAGCTCCAGAAAAAGGAAAGCATTGATTCTTTTGAAGGGGACTGGGGCTAGAAGAGAGGAAACTGTGACTCTCTGGAGACTTTCTAACCTGACGATAGCCAGCATCTTTTCTGCTGTATCTGATGTCATAGCCAAGGGCATGCCCTATTATTCTCCAGTGATTATAAGCTATAAAGCTATGTTTTGTCTCACCTTTGTTTATCAGCCTGGGCAATGGGCATGGTGAGAGCCTAGGTTTATCTTACAGGCCTATTGCTCCTTAGAGAAGAAAAGAGGAAGAGAAGTAAGGAGGAGTTTCAGATTCTTATTGGTTTAGCCAAGCACACAAAGATGGTATCAAGCCTCCAGAACAGCTGAGCCATCACCCCAGACCACAGCCATTGAGAGCACAATTGGCACCCTCAACTTCCAATAGAACTCTTGTATTCTAGGCAAAGCTTCTTAAGTACTACCCAGAATCCACTTCAATAGAGAATGTGAAGTTCAGCTACCCAGCAACATCCATCATTGATCTGCCCTGTGAGAAATCAGGTGGAAACCGTACACTGGACTTAGCAGAAAAAATAGATGCATGCACAGGTTTTGGATTCAGGAAGACCTGAGTTCGGATCTGAACTCTGAAACTTTCTTGCCAGGTGTGTGAACTCTGACAACTAAATTTAGCTGTTTGGAGGCCCAGTTCCTTCATTTATGATACGGGATTAACATATATTTTTATATCATAGTTGTAAGTTTTTATTATTAACCACCACCCTGGTTTGAAAGAGTCAAGACTTGAGATGAATTGGCCAGCTCATTGAAAATAAATTTGCAAGCTTGATAGAGGATGTGAAGTTCAACTATCCAGCAAAATTCATCATTGATCTGCCCTGTGAGAAATCAGATGGGAATGGTGCACTGGACCGAGCAGGAAAAAAAAAATGGTTTTGAGCCCTGACCCTATTGCTAACTTAATGTTTGATGTTAACTGTGTCCTTCCCATCCTCTGGACCTCTATTTCCTCATCTCTAAAATCCCTTCTGTGATCTCTGTTGTTCCAGCAAAATCTGGGCACCAATGTGATGACTCAGCCAAGGTCCCAGAGTGAATCAGCAAAGGCCAAGGAAGGACCAGTATCCCAATCTGGAGCTTTTTCCAGAGCTTTAAACAATGCCCTGCAAAAACCAGCTTAGCACTCATTTCATGCTGGGCATGATGGAATGTGCTGTGGTGGAGAGATGATGGTATGGAGATAAAACAAACAAACAACAACAACAACAAAACAAGGTCGCTGTGTGTGGTGGCTCACGTCTGTAATCCCAGCACTTTGGGAGGCTGAGGTAGGCAGATCACAAGGTCAGGAGTTCGAGACTAGCCTGACCAATGTGGTGAAATCCTGTCTCTACTAAAAATACAAAAATTAGCCAGGCATGGTGGCGCACACCTGTAATCCCAGCTACTCAGGAGGCCAAGGCAGAAGAATTGCTTGAACTCGGGAGGTGGAGGTTGCAGTGAGCCAAGATCACGCCACTGCACTCCAGTCTGGGCAACAGAGTGAGACTCTGTCTCAAAAACAAACAAACAAACAAACAAACAAAAAATGAAACAATGTCCCTGCCCATGAAGGGCTTACAATTGAGCTGATGAAACACAAACAGAAACCACATCATTTACCAGTTTCCCCAAAATCCTCTTCCTGCACATCTCATCACTCCATTTGTAGAAAGAAGCCCTATGAGCTCAGAACAGGCCTGTGGTTGAGCAGCTTCCACTCTGCCTCTCTGCTGATTCCTGCAGCTCTGCTCTTTCTCCTACTCTGGGCCTTGCACGTGCTGTTCCTACCACCCTCTTCTAATCTGCTTGCTTGGCTCATTCCTTTCAGAACTTAGTTCAGATCTCCCCACCTCCAGGAAGTCTTCCTTGATTCCCCAGAGTTGGGGTAGGTACTGCTTTTCAGTGCTCCCAGGGCCCCAGGATGCTCCTAGTGTAGCCCTTACTGGGAAGTGTTGTAGTTACTTGGTTTCTAATCCGTCTTCCACTCTGCACTGAAATTCCATGAGAAGAAAGAAGTTCAGTACCTGGGACATAGTTGGAGCTTCTTAAAATTGTTTATTCGCTACATTGCAGGGTTAAGCTTTGAAGAATGGGTAGGAATCAAATGGGAAGGGGGAAATGAACAGCATCCTTTAGGCATTGGGATGGAAACACATGCTTAAGTGTATGTGTGGGGTGGGGGTAACAAGTGACAGGGAATGTACAGTGTGGGGGCCGGAGCCATCTTTGGCTGAGCAGACCTTCTAGCCCACTGGCTTGATCTTAGTCCCCAGGGGTCTTCAGATTCTCCATGAGATGCACAATGGAGAAGCCTCCATCCCTGCCACATTTCCCTCAAGCATTTCCCAAGATTTGTTCTGGGTACTCACCTGTCCAGCAGCTGCTATTAGTGTTCAGACATTCTTGGGGGTCCATCTTCTAGGACAGGAGTCAGCGAACTTTTCTGCAATAGGACAGAGAGTAAATATTTTCAGGTTTGTAGGCCATGCAATTTCTGTAGTGAGTATGCCAATCTTATTAAAGCATGAAAGCAACTATAGACAATGTACAGACAAATGGGTGTGGCTATATTTCACTATAACTTTATTTACACAAACAGGCAGTGGGCCCTTTTCCACTATGCCTGAGTTTATACTAATGAGATGATTCAGAGTGGAGCCCCTAGATAGCTTCAGAATGGGGGCTGGGCACCAAAAAGACTACATGTGATTGTGTTGGGGGAGACTTTCATCCCTACTCACTGATGTCTGGGGGTGGGGAGGGGGACTGAAGATTGAGTTATAAAAACTCTTAATCAGTGAGATTCAGGGAACCTCTGGGTTGGTGGACACATTGATGTGCTGAGAGGGTGGTGCACTTGGGGAAGGCAGGCAAGCTCTATGCCACCCCATCATTCCCATACCTTGCCCTGTGCAATCTTTCATTTGCTTATTCCTGATACGTACCCTTTATAATAAACCAGCAAATGTAAATAAAGTGCCCTTCTGAGTTCTGTGTCATTCTAATGATTATTGAACCTGATGGAAGGTTGTGGGAACCCCTGAATTTGTAGTTGTCTGGGCAGCAGTGTAGGTAACTTGGACACCCGATTTGTGGCTGGTGTCTGCACTGGGGGCAGTCTTGAGGAACTAAGCTCTTGAGCTGTGGGGTCTGCACTAATTCTGAATAGTTAATAGTTAGTCAAAATAGAATTGAATTGTTAGACACCGAGTTGGTGTCAGAGAATTGGTTGGGTTGGAAAAAAAAAAACAAAAAACATGTGATGCCTTTGTAGGCCAGAATTTACCAACCTCTGCTTTATGGAAATGGTAGCATCATCTGAGAACAGGCAGCCCCTTCCCAAAGCCTCCAAATGTGCAGGAGTGGTTGCGGGCTTCTAGCTCATTCATGTTTGACAATTATTGAGCATCTACTATGTGGCAGGCACTGTGCAACCTGCTGGGCGTGTCATGGTAATCAAGATAGAAGAGATTCCTGTCCAGATGAAAGGCAAATTCTAGCAAACAAGGCCCGCAATAAGAAAATAAGAAAACAAAAGAACATTTCAGATCGTGATGGATTCCAGGAAGGGCATTTGTAGGGGATGTGATAGCACATAGTGTGTGCATGTGGGTGGGTTTGGGGATGCTGCTGTAGATACCTGTATTAATCTGTTTTCACACTGCTGATAAAGACATACCTAAGACTGGGCAATTTACAAAAGAAAGAGGTTTAATTGACTTACAGTTTCACATGTCTGGGGAGGCCTCACGATCATGGTGGAAGGCAAGGAGGAGCAAGTCACATCTTATATGGATGATGACAGGCAAAGAGAGCTTGTGCAGGGAAACTCCTATTTTTAAAACCATCAGATCTCATGAGACTTATTTACTATCACAAGATCAGCATGGGAAAAACCTGCCCCCATGATTCGATTACCTCCCACCGGGGCCCTCCCACAACACGTAGGAATTCAGGATGAGATTTGGATGGGGACACAGCCAAACTATATCAACACCTATGGGCAGGGAAGATGGTCTGTGAAGTTGACATTGAACGGAACCTCGAATAATGAGAAGGAGTGGGCCATAGGAGGAGCAGGAGGAAGAGAATTCTTGGAAGATGGAACAGCATATGCAAGATCACCCAAACTGGTAATAACCTGGCAGGTTCTAGGAGCTGAAAAGAGACCAGTGTGGGTGGAGTAAGTTTGTGAAATTTGTCTTTGGTTGAATGAGAGGACTCTCTACTCCATTGGCAGGACACAGCTATTTCCTTTAACAAGAAGGCATTGTGGGTGTATCTGTCATTTTCCCCTTTGGATTACATGAGAAAAATTATGATTGCTAATATTTGTTGGCTACTGTGCCATGTTAAGTGCTTTATTTTAATGATGTCTTTAAAGCCCAACAACAACTTTATGAAATATGGGCTATTATTTTTATTTCCATTTTGTAGTAGGGGAAACTAAGGCACAGAAGAATTTAATTAACTTGCCCCAAACACAGTTAGGCAGATCTGGGATTTGAACTGGCAGATTTGGGATTTGAACCCAGGAGTACAGATGACTATGCTCTCAGCTGCTAAACTATTCAACTATTTTCTTTGATTATGTTTCCCTCAGCCTCTTTGGGGGTAATGTATTTTCTCAAGTTCCCTGAAGTTGAGAGTCTGAGGAGGTTATACTAATAGTGGTAATACCTATTTCACTGACTGGCATCTCATCTGTGTAATGAAGGTCTTTGGGCTCTCCCTGCACTAGGCAAATTCTCACCCATAGAGTTTCACATAAACTCCCAGATAGTCCTCTCAGAGTGTGTATACTCCAAGTCCCTTTTCAGTGGCTATGTCTCACCAGCTCCCGCTGGAGCCATCTTGACAAATGCGTGAAGTCAAGGGTGGTGTCAATGGGTACTCCTCAAAGCTGGCAATCTGCAACACAGCAACAACATCAAAACGAGCCAGCACTTAGCAGATCCTTTCTCTATACCCATAAAAGCACCCTCCATGTAATAATTCATTTATCCCTCATAGTAAGCTTAGGAGGTAATCACTATTAATATACCCATTTTACAGATGAGAAAACCAAGGGGCAGACACATGAAGTAACTTGCCCCAAGTTGATTAGAAGAAGCAGAGCCAGGATTTGAATCCAGGTCATCTAGCCCAGAGCCTGCAGTCTGGTCCTACTGGATAATGCTGCATTCCCACTGTCATTCCTGAGCAGAAGCCACACTGCAGGCTGTGCCAAAATGACTCAAATGCTGCTCTCTGCCTGCATGTGCCCCACTTTGTCCCAGAGCCCCCAGAGCTGTATTGTCAGAGCCCCTCAAGTCTCACAGACACTCCTCAGCATCCCTCTCCTCAGGGCTCAGACACTAGCCGTGAAGCCTTTTTCTCAGATAGAACCCTTGTTACCTCAAACAAACGAACAATAAAAACTCCTGCAAAATCTGCCCACTTGACCGATCATTTTCTCGGTGTACTTTTTCTTTGCAGAGAGGCTGGAGCCTATCAGAGAGAATATTTATTTACCCAAATCTCTGAGAAGCCCTGCATTCAGTCTGCCTATTTTTTTTTCCTCCTTCAAATGGGCATTGTTCAATTGCAAACATCAGAAACTGGCTTTTGAAGCCAAAATTATATCCTAAGACCAATACTGATTTTATGCTACAAAAGATTTCTAGGAGAGCTGCAGTAAGCATTTCATTTTCTCATGGGTTAGGATAGGAAAAGGACCAAGAGAGTCCATCCCCTGAGGTTTTGACCTGAAGGTCAGATCTCTCATTGGGTGAAGGCTTTGAAATCAAAGCAAAGTGGAGTGTGGGTGGCAAGGCAGGAGGTGAAAGCCTGGAAGCTTTCTGCAAATACTACCTGTAGCCCAAGCAAGCACCAACTCCTGATAATCTTCATCACTGTAATGAAGTGTAAAACCTGAAGGAAGGATTTGTTAGGATGCACCCAGCAGGATCTGAGATCTTGGGTGCTGAAGGCCAGGTTTCAAGGCCTCTGCTATTGGGAAGGTGACAGGAGGCAGAGAACACTTAAAGAGGCCCAAAACTCCCCGGGGCCAGCAAATTTCCTCATGATTCTGTTCACTTCCTGATGGGCTACTCACCTTTTATGTGCATCTTTCAGTAGTAAAGAATGTGTTCCTCTTCTCACATCATCTTGCCACAATCAATTTCATCAACTGTGCCTTGCTCAAGCCTCTGCCAAGAAGAAACTTCTTTAGAATCCTTGGGTGAAAAATTAGGCTCAGTTGTTTGTCTGAAGGCTGGCAAATTTCACTGTCTCCCTGCAGACAATACATCAAACACAGCTACAAATGGACTTCAAACACAAGCGTAATGAATTGTCCACACACTTAGGACTTGGAGCTGAGCTTGCAGCTCAAACTGAGTTTCACAGGCATTTTCCTCTACAGCATTTGGAGCATTGCAGGCCTCAGTGGAGACATCAAAAGAAAGCTGTGCCTTAGGGCGTCAAAATCCTCATGCACATCTGGTATGACTCAGCAATTCCGCTCCTAGGTGTCTACCCTAGAGATTTGAGAACATATGTCCACACCAAAACTTGTACATAGAATCATGGCACAATTCTTCATAATAGCCAAAAAAAAAAAAAAAAAAAAAAACACTGGAAACAGTAGAAACACCCATCAAATGGCAAATGGATAAACAAAATGTGGTATATCCACACAATGGAATTCTACTCAGCAATTCAAAGGAACAAGCTACTGATACGTGCAATGACATGAATGAACCTCGAAATAAAACAAAACAAACAACAAACCATATGAAACATCATGGGAAAAGCAAGTTAGAAAAGACACAATGTATGGTTCTATTTATGTGAAATTTCTAGAAAAGGCAAAATTAAAGAGTCAGGAAGCTGATCAGAGGACATTGGGATTGGAGCTATGAATTAACAACAGTTAGGCAAGAAGAAATTTGGCAGGTGATAGAAGAGTTCTAAAACTGGATTGTGGTGATGGTTGCACAACTGTAGAAATTGCTAAAACTCACTAACCCATACAATTACAATAGGTACATTTTATAGTGTGTAAGTTATACCTTAATAAAAAGACATGACAACTAAAAAGCCTCTCAATTTCCTTCTCTCCTCCTTTCCCTTCCTTCCTTCCTTCATTCTTCTCTCCCTCCCTCTTTCCATTCTTCTCCAAACATTTACTAAACCTCACAAATGTACCCAGCCCTGTGCTTGGCACTGCAGTCATTCATTTCTCCATGCAGCAAATATTTATTGAGCACCTACTAAGTCCTAGGCACAGGCTTGGGGACTGGGGATACAGTCATGAATAAAGTCCCTGTCCTGATGGAGCATACATTTTAATGGAGCATACATTTTAATGGAGCAGAGAGACAGATATAAATATCATATTAGGAAGCCATGTGTGTTTTGAATAGAGAAGGACTAGAGAGTGATAGTGATGGTCATTTGGGATGGAGTGGGGAGGGCCTAAGGAGGTGGCACTTGTGAAGCAGCCTGAAGGAACTGAGAAAGCTGTGTAAGTATTTGGGAGAAGAGCAGACAGAGGGAATGGCCAGTGCAAAGCTCTGAGATGGGGACTTGCTCCGTGTGTCTGAGGAATGGCAGGGAGGCCAGTGTGGCTGGAGGAGAGGAAGCCTGAGGGCAGAGAGGGAGGCAGGGGCCACGTCGCAAGAGCCTTGTATGTCATTGTAAGGACTTTGGGCTTTATTGTAAGAATGATGAGAAAACACTGGAAGTTCACAGCAAGATGAGACCTAAGCTGACTTCTGTTTGAAAAGATCACTCTGAATGCAGAAAACACAGATCAAAGGGGATTGAGATGGTGCATGCAGGCTGTTAGAAGGCTGACGTCTGGGTGGGACAAGATGGTGGCTCGCACTAGACTGGTACTAATGGACGAAGGGAGATATGCTCAGAAATGACATCTGTTTTGGAGATAAGACCGACAGGATTTGGAAATAAAGAGCTGAGAAGCTCACAAGAATTAATAGCCTAGTGGAGGAAACAGAGATGTCAGGATAGTGGCTATAATGAACATTTATTAATTATTTGCTCCATGCCAGGCATTCTGCTAAACACAAGTTTTGATTCTTACGGTAACTATAAGGTAGAAGTTATCAATTTTTCCATCATTTTACAGATGGGAGAATTGAGGCCCCAAGAGATTAAACAATTTGGCCAGTGTCAGGCAGCTGGTAAGTAGTAGAGTTGGGATTTGAACCCAGGCAACCCAATTCCAGATGCTGCTCTCTTAACCACTCTGCCACACTAGCTATATGTATGCAATTAGCTATACTAATTGATATGGTAAAAGCATGCCCTCGTGTGTGGATGTGGGGTCTCGATGAAGAAGGCAGAGAGGGCTTCCTGGAGAGGGAGAACTTGAACTGTGACTTGCAGAGAGAACAAGCGTTCTGCAGGAGACAGGCAGGGGAACAGCATGTGCAAAGACATTGGGCATTAACAAGTTTGGCATGAAGCTAACACTGCATATTATCAACAAGACCGGAGTATAGAATATCTGAGAAATAAGTTTGGAGAGGGAGGTCAGGGGAAGACCCTGAAGGGCCTTGTGTGCCTGGCCAAGGAGTTTGGAATACATCCAAGAGGCCAGTGTTTCTCTAAATAGTAGATGCATGACCCAGGGGCTAAACAAACTGATTATAGGTGATACACAGGCAGGCACTATTATTTGGATAGTTATGGGTTACTAATCTATTTATCTTAACATGAATTTAAAAAATATATAATTAGTCCACCTAACCTGTGATTTCATAGATACTGCCTAGGATGAGAGAAATTTTTTTTTTTCAAAACAGTTGAAAGAAAGATGTTACAACATTCATGTTACAATTGGGAGATTATTCATGCTACATTGTTTGTGACATTCAAAAGATTGGTAACCACCTCAATGCCCATCAGTTGGGGACTGGTTGAAGAATGGGACAAGTGAATTCAAAGCAGCTTTAAAGAAAATGAAGAAGCTTTTTATATTCTAATATAGAACAAGCTCTAAGATATAATGTTAAGTTATAAAAGCAATTGGCGAACATTATATCTGTTATGTTCCCATTTGTGTTTGAAAAGAATGTGTGTCAGCCAGGCACTGGCTCACATCTATAATTTCAGCACTTTGGGAGGCAAAGGTGGGAGAATTGCTTGAGGCCAGGAATTTAAGACCAACCTGGGCAACATATCAAGAGTCTATTTCTACATTTTTTTTAAAATTAGTCGGGCATGGTGGTATGCACCTGTAGTCCTAGCTACTCAGGAGGCTGAGGTGGGAGGATTGCCTGAGCCCAGGAAGCCAGGGTGCAGTGAGCTATGATCGCGACTGCACTCCAGCCTGGGTAACAGAGAGAGACTCTGTCTCAAAAAAAAAAAAAAAAAAGTGTGTGTGTGAGTTTATGTTTGCTTACATATAAATAGACTTTCTCTGAATTGACAGGCAAGACATGGACATTGGTGGTTGTCTCTGGAAAGGGGACCTGGTGGACAGGGTGGATGGGAGAGGTTTTGCTATGTATTCCTTTTGCATTTGGAATCATATAAATGCATCAAAATAAAGTCCAATTGCTTAATATTAACAAGAGTACAGGTAATATAGGTGGTGACAATCATCGTGGTGGTGCATGCAAGTTGAGCATCTTAGACCCATGTGGCAGGCAGTGGGGTGTTGCGAAAGACCTCCACAGCGGAGGCATGCTTACTAATGGACTTGACTGAGGTTGTCTGGGTGCTTGGCATTATCTCTTTCTTTCCCCCACTTTTCATATCTATGCTCTCATTTCATTTTCGTTAGAATCCTATAGGATGAAACCCTTCTGTAAAAGTGGGCACTGTTGATTAGAATAAAGCCTATGATTATTTAAAAAATCAAATCAAAGTGGATTAAAGACTTAAATCTAAGACCTCAAACTATGAAACTCCTACAAGAAAACATTGGGGAAACTCTCCAGGACATTGCTCTGGGCAAAAATTTCTTGAGCGATACCCCATAAGCATACCCAACCAAAGCAAAAAAATGGACAAATGGGATCACATCAAGGTGAAACGTTCGGCACAGTGAAGGAAACAACAAAGTGAAGAGATGACCCACATTGAGAGAAAATATTTGCAAACTATCCATCTAAAAAGGGATTAATAACCAGACTATATCAGGAGCTCAAAGAACTCTATAGGAAAAAAATCTAATAATCTGATTTTTAAAAGTGCCAAAAGATTTGAATAGACATTTCTCAGAAGAAGACATACAAATGTCAAACAGGCATATGCAAATCTGCTCAACATCACTGATCACCATAGAAATGCAAATCAAACCTGCAATAAGATATGATCTCACTCCAGTTAAAATGGCTTATAACCAAAAGACAAGCAATAGCAAATGCTGGCGAGGATGTGGAGAAAAGGGAACCCTTGTACACTGATGGTGAGAATGTAAATTAGTACAACCACTATGGAGAACACTTTGGAGGTTCCTCAAAAGACTAAAAATAGAGCTACCATATGATCCAGCAACCCCACTGCTGGGTATATACCCAAAAGAAAGAAAATCAGTATGTCAAAGAGATATCTGCACTCCCATGTTTATTGCAGCACTATTCACAATAGCCAACATTTGGAAGCAACCCAAGTGTCCATCAACAGATGAACGGATAAAGAAAATGTGGTACATATACACAATGGAATACTATTCAGCCATAAAAAAGAATAAGATCCTGTCATTTGCAACAACATGGATGGAACCGGAGATCATTATGTGAAGTGAAATAAGCCAAGGACTGAAAGACAAACTTCGTATGTTCTCACTTATTTGTGGTATCTAAAAATCAAAACAAATGAACTCATGGACATAGAGAGTAGAAGGATGTAACCGGGGGGGAAGAATAGTGAACAGGGCAGGTGAGAGGGAAGGGAGAGGGTTAATGGGTACAAAAATAGAATGAATAAGACCTACTATTTGATAGCAAAATAGCGTGGCTATAGTCAATAATAACTTAATTGCACATTTAAAAATACCTACAAGAGTGTAATTGGATTGTTTGTAACTCAAAGGATAAATGCTTGAGGAGATGAATACCCCATTCTCCATGACGTGCTTACTACGCATTGCATGCATGCCTGTGTCAAAACATCTCATGTACCCCATAAGTACACATACTATGTACCTGCAAAAATTAAAATTGTTTTAAAAGTCTGTGATTCAAGCCTGAATAAGCTCCTCTGTGTCCACGTGATCAGATTAGCTGGCTGCAGTGACCATGAGCATTTCAGGGCAGGATCTGGATTCCAGGCTCAGCCCTGCCTCTACTTCCGGCACAACCTTAACAAAATCTTTTTCCCTGTCTTTCTTGAACCTCAGTTTCTTCTTCTGCAGAATTGAAATGATAATACCATGTCTGACTCCAGTGTTATTGTGCTGAGAATGGAATGAAGAAACATGTGTAAGGCATTTAGCACAGTTCACGGAAGAGATTAAGGACTCAACAAATCTCAGCACTTGTGGGTCATGGCAAGTCAAAACAATTTCCTCTTAAACAAGAAACATTTGGGCACTTGCTGTAGGTGCTGTGGGGTATGTGAGGGAACGTTTGTCCTTGAGGATTTTACACTTTGGTTAGAGAGCCCAGACATTCTCTTGAAAACAAAATAAAACATGAAACATACACGCAACAACAAAAAATACAATGCTATGTACCATTAGTGGAACAGGAAGTTATTTTGGGAGCTGTGTGGAAAATCAGAGCAAATCACAGAGTGACAACACCTTCCCCTCTCATATTTTCTTCAGTCTTTGTGATGTGTCAAGGAGAAAGTCTCAGTAAGTGCTGATATACCTTTAAAACCCTTGGAACTCTTGCCCATCTTCCTTTATAAAACAAAGGAGAGTCACTTATTTTAATAGTTACCTTTTATCTATGGCATATTTATGGCATTACTTATTGATGGCTTCCCTATAATGTTGAATAAAAGTTTCCTTTAAAACGCATTTCTATAAATAAAAATGGAAGAACACGATTAAGTCAACTTTAGTGTTGCTGTTATCTAGATATGAAACATCATGGAAGTGGAACTCAAATGCCAGGAGTTAAGTAGGTGCTGGAAGAACGAACCATGGAAATTCAGAGGATGGAGAGGTGAAAGTGGGCAGTGCAGGTCAGGAAGTGTTTCCTGGACGGGGCTAGGGTTGATGTGGGCCCTTGGGAGGGGTTAAATAGATACAGGAGAAAGAGAATTCCAGGCATTCCAGGCAGAGAAGCCAGAGTGAGCCAAGACTTGGCAGGCAGCTTCACATGCCCACCCTGGAACAGCGCTTCTGTTTCGTGTCTTCACGGAAGTGAAGTGTGCATGTGTCTTCAGGTCAGAGTTCAAATGTCACTTCCTGGAGAAGCCTGTCCTGACCTCAGTCTAGGTGTAGTCTCCAATCACATGTTCTTAGACCTCCCTTTGTGTTTAGTTCAGAATACTTATCACAGTTTGTAATTAGGTAGCTATTTGTGGGATAATCGGATTAATGTTTGGGCTCTATTACACTCTAAGCTTGTCCTGTACAGAAACTCTGACTATTTTTGTTAGTAGTAAATCCTTGGTGTCTAGTATAGCATTTGGCACAAGGTGGAGACTCAACCATTTGTCTAACCAATCAATCGATGAATCAGTCAATCCATTAATTCATTCATTAATGGTTGTGTTTTCCACCGAGGTTGTCCAAAGGGCAAGGAAGAGGGAACTGGCCCGCCCTGGGATGTGAGGCTTCCATCCACAACTCCCAACTACAAATATCAAATGTCTTTGAGGCTTTCCTTTTATTTTATCATTGTATATGCAGGTGGTATTCTGTGTCATAATATATCTGTTTGCTTTAGTCTAACAGTTGTGTTTTCTATTACTCATTGATGAAATAATTTAACTTTTTTCCCCCTAAAACATTTTCCAGTAAATTGACTTTCCAGGAAGATGCACCATCCTTTTTCTGTGGCTTCAACCACTCCCACTGCATGCCCCACTTTGAGAAGCATGTCCTTGGGGACCTTTGAAATTTTTCAGCTGATTTCATAGCCTGCAGTGCCAATCTACCCAGGGACAAGGCTGAGGTCATCTCTTGATTTTGCAGTCTCTTCTGCCATCCCACTTTTTTTCTAAATTTTATCCACACTTTCTCCTGCTCTTACCTGGTTCTTTCATCTTGCTCCTCTGATGCACTTTAAAAGTATAGGATCTTGGCCTGGCGCAGTGGCTCATGCCTGTAATCCCAGCACTTTGCTGAGGCGGGTGGATCACCTGAGGTCAGGAGTTCAAGACCAGCCTGACCAACATGAAGAAACCCCGTCTCTACTAAAAATACAAAATTACTGGGCGTGGTGGCGCATGCCTGTAATCCCAGCTACTCGGGAGGCTGAGGCAGGAGAATCACTTGAACCCAGGAGGCGGAGGCTGTGGTGAGCCGAGATCACGCCATTGTACTCCAACCTGGGCCACAAAAGCGAAACTCCATCTCATAAAAAAAAAAAAAAAAGAAAGAAAAAGAAAAAAGTATAGGATCTTATGGCTGAATCCTACAGCCCAGGGGCCCTCAAACTTGAAGGCACATCAGAATCACTTGGGGACCCGGCATGGTGGCTCGCACCTGTAATCTCAGCACTTTGGGAGGCTGAGACAGGTGGATCATCCGAGGTCAGCAGTTTGAGACCAGTCTGGCCAACATGGTAAAACCCCGTCTCTACTAAAAATACAAAAATTAGCTGGGTATGGTGGCACACATCTGTAGCTACTCGGGAGGCTGAGGCAAGAGAATCGCTTCAATCCTGGAGGTGGAGGTTGTAGTGAGCCGAGATCGCACCACTGCACTCCAGCCTGGGCAACAGAGCAAGACTGTCTGGAAAAAAAGAAGAATCGCGAGGGGAGCTTGTAAAAACAGATTACTGGGTCCATCTACCCTCTAAATCTCTAATTCTGTAGGTCCATGCAGAAGACTGGGTGGGGGCTAAGATGCTGAATTTCTCACAAGTGTCTAGGTGATGCCATGTTGCTGGTTCAGGGATCACTCAGCATCACAGTTGCCATCTCAGTTGGTGGCATAATCAAAGCACCTGGAGGACTTAAAAGAATCCAATGTATAGGCCTAGTCCCAGACCAATTAAATCAGAATCTCCAGAACACACATTTGTGTGTTGCATTTCCCTGAGAATTCTAATGGTCTAAATCCCAGAGAAGCTGTGACTTGTCTAGGGTCACACAGCAAAGTAAGGCAGAGCAAGACTGGAGCCGACATTCCAGGTTCTCAGAACAGCGTCTTCCCAAAACACCCTTGTGCACCTGAAATTACTAGGCTATCTTCCGTGTATAAGCTTACAGAATCCTCACTTTACGGATGAGGAAACTGAGGCTCAGGGAAATGAAATCCCTTGCCTAACGTGGCGAAGGCGGAACTGGCAACCAGGGCCACCTGCCTTCAAGTGCTGCTGTCTCTGAGGACAGGGTGGAAAAGGCCTGGGCTTGGGAAGCAGAAACACTTGGACTTACATTCTGGTTCTAAAACTTGGTGGAACTTGGTGACCAGGTAAACTTGGCTAAGTATACACTTTACGGACTTCTCTCTAAGTGTTAGTCCCCTCATCTGTAAAATGGGGCTAATGGTATGCCACCCTGTGGAAAGGAAATGCTCTGTTCTGTTCTTGCAGGACATCATGTCTAACCTCATCGCCTTGCACAGTCTCTTCGCCACAACCTCAGCGATGTCCTTCTTCTTTTTTTGAGACAGGATCTCACTCTGTCATCCGGGCTGGAGTGCAGTGGTGCGATCGTAGGTCACTGCAACCTCAAACTCCTGGGCTCAAGGCTCAAGGGATCCTCCTGCCTTGGCCTCCTAAGCAGCTGGGTCTACAGGTATGCACCGCCATGCCCAGCTAATTTTTTTATTTTTAGAGATGGTGTCTTGCTATGTTGCCCAGGCTGGTTTTAAACTCCTTGGCTCAAGCAGTCCTGATGTGTCCGGCTGCTTAGGCTCCTCAGAAACAACAACTTCTTCCTCTTCTTCTTCTTCTTCTTCTTCTTCTTCTTCTTCTTCTTCTTCTTATTATTATTATTATTATTATTATTATTTTGAGATGGAGTCATGCTTTATAGCCCAGACTGGAGTGCAGTAGCACGATCTTGGCTCACTGCAACCTCTGCCTCCTGGGTTCCAGGTTCAAGTGATTCTCATGCCTCTGCTTCCCAAGTAGTTGGGATTACAGGAACACGACACCAGAACCAGCTAATTCTTGTATTTTTTTTAGAGACAGGGTTTTGCCATGTTGGCCAGGCTGGTCTCAAACTCTTGACCTCTGGTGATCTGCCCGCCTCTGCCTCTGAAAGTGCTGGTTTCATAGGTGTGAGCCACCATGCCCGGCTGGACCCAGGGATTTTAAGAGAAATCCTATGTAGCCGCTTTGCACATCAGAGTTGTAAAACAGACTTCGCTTTAAGCTATTGTTCACATATCATCTCATTTAATCCGTGCAACCATCCTTTAACGTAGATGTCCCCACGCCCAGTTTTCCGATGGAGACACTAATACTTGGGGGGTTGAACAGCTAACAAGGGGCTGGACCCAAAGAAGAGCCCAAGATTTCTCTTAACAGGCAAGTTTGACACCATGTGCAGGCAAATTTCATTTTCAAAATAAGACCAAAATGTACTCTTTTTTGAAAAACTTATTCAATTTCAAACTAAAGCAGACAGCAGAAGGCTGGCATCCACAGCGCTGTTAGCAGAGCTCGTTGCCTTCTCCTTTGTGCCAGCCCTCTCCCCGAAGCCCCCTTCTTCCTCTCTGCAGGGCCAGCTTGCACCCACAGCCTCCCACACACTGTGCTGGCTCCAGGCTGGAAGCTCAGGAGCTGCTGCCAGGCATTTAGCAGCTTTGAGTTTCTTGGAATCTCTGGGGTGCTTGGGGCACCTGTGTGGTTCATTCTGGTCTCTCCCTCCTTTTTTCAGAGTGAGGATGCTTTCTTTCTCCTCTCTAGAAAAGCCCCACTCTCTGTTTCAACTTCTTGCTTTGATCTGAAATGCATGCGCCTTCCACCCCGCACTCCCCAAGGAGGCCAGAATTTAAGGGAAGTTGGGGTTGACTGCGTGGGGCATCTCTAGATTGTCAAGGTAGGACCTTTGGGTGAAATCCTGTGGCCCTTGCACTAGAGAAAGGAGAGGTTCATTACAGTGGAGCCAGGATTTCTTACTTTTTCTTTTTTTTTCTTTTTTTTTTTTTTTTTTTGAGACGGAGTCTCGCTCTGTCGCCAGGCTGCAGTGCAGCAGCAGGGTCTCGGCTCACTGTAAGCTCCACCTTCCAGGTTCATGCCATTCTCCTGCCTCAGCCTCCCGAGTAGCTGGGACTACAGGCTCATCCCACCACGCCCAGCTAATTTTTGAATTTTTAGTAGAGACAGGGTTTCACCATGTTGGCCAGGATGGTCTCTATCTTTTGACCTCGTGATCCGCCCGCCTCGGCCTCCCAAAGTGCTGGGATTACAGGCGTGAGCCACCGCACCTGCCCTCAGGACTTCTTGCTCACTGTTTTCCTTCTTCCCTTCTTTCCTTTCTTCCCTCCTTAGCTGAAATCAATGGCTCACGGCTCACATCTATTTACCCTTGACGTGTCTGCTTGAACTTGGACTCATTGAGAAATTCTCCTTCTGGGACTCCCACGGTGGAGGTGGACAAAATTGATTTTCCATTTCTCACCAGTCTGCTCCCCACTGCTCCCTCACCCAGACCTCTCACATCTCATGCCAAGATGGTCCCACACCTGGCCCTCCTTGGACAGGAGACTGCTCTACAACTATACTTGCAATGAAGATTTTGGAGTCAGAGAAACCTGAGTTAGAATACTAGCCTGGTTCCCAACCTTTGCTGTGACCTTGGCAATGTATTTAACCTCTCTGAGACTTTGTTCCTTTATCTGGAAATTGGGGATACTATACCTACCAGCATTATTGAGGATATCAGATGGGATATATTAGTAAATTGCCTGGCACCCAGTAGGTGCTCAGGGCTTGTTCCCATCTCTTCGTGATCAGGAAAACCCCTTCCCTATCAGAGCTCATGGTCAGATTCACTCAGGTATGACTAACGATAATTTATAATATTTACATAATGATTTCTGCTTTTAAATATATATATATATTTGTTATCTCATTTAATACCCACAATGTCCCCTTGTAATAATATTCTTCCAAACCCTACCTTTCAAAGGAGGAAACTAAGGCCCAGAGAAGTTGCATAGCTTGCTAGGATCAAAGAGTGAGTCAGTAGAGGGCTCAGCATTTCAACCCTGGTCTCAGAAGTCCAGAGCCTCTGGCCCGTCACCTGGGTATTATGTTAACGCATTGACCTGCCCCTAGGGTATTTGCGTTTTTATGCAAAGCTCAAAGAAATGACTCTCGAATAGAATTCTGGGCTTTTCGACTGGCCAGAGGGGACAGCTGTATTGAGGCAGGAAGAGATTCCATGGGGTCATGGCCCTGCAGTCATTCCAGAAGAGTGGCCCCCATCATAAGGCTACCAGGAAAAAAAAAAAAAATCATTGCTTTCAGAGCTGGAAGGAATCTCAGAGAAAATCTATTCCCTGCTGCAGTTTTTCACATCATGAAGAGGGGACATAGAAAGGAATGAACTCACGCCTTGCACCCCCTTTGCAGATCTCTGCATGACGGAGGGGAGGGAGGTGACACTTGGCTCCTGTACCCTTGAGCCCTAGTGACAACAGCTGGGAGGTTTCCTGGGGTCTCCTGGGATCCCTGTTCTCCCTCCTTGTCCCATTTCTTCCAAGTCAAAGGGTCTGGAGGTGGCAGAAGGCTCCCATCTTACCCCCCGCCAAGGCCCATGATCTGGGAGGATGGGGAGACCCCTGTCATCACTCCAGGAGGCTCTAGGGAGACAGGAATGACCCCTCCCCAGCCTCCCCCACCCTTACACACTCCTCACTTCAGGGGAGAGAGGAGGGGGAGGGAGCTGGCAGTGACTGAGAGCTTCATCCAGCGCCAAGCATCGATCTGGCTCTCCGTGTCACCATGGTAACAGCTCTTCCGCATGGAACTCAGCACCACGAGGCCTCATTCAGCCCCCTAGCTCCCTGCCCCCTACTGTCCCAGACACCTTTCCATCTGCTCTTGACAATTGTCCTATGCTGTCACCGCCGGTTCCCCTCTATCCTGCTCCCCGCTTTTCCCCTCCAGGTGTCCCTGCCTCCCTCCTCTCCCTGCACTTGACCCCAACCCCCCTTGCCCACTTCTTCCTGCCCCTGGCCAGCCATCAGGTCATCACCCCTCCAAGGCTTGGGGTCTCAAGCCAGCTCTGTCTTGGAATCCCACAGAGAAGCAGCAAATGGAAGAGGATAGGATTTCCTTCTGAGCCAAGAGGCTGGAGGCAGCTTCTTCCTTCCAGCAAGCCATTCTCTCCCCTGCTCCCCAGTCTGAACCCTCCCCTGCGGGAGGGATAAAAGTCACTGAACTGTTTTGTCTGCCTGAGAGAACCTGGAGAGAAAGGAGCTCAGACCCTAAGGTCAGATGGACCTGGGGGGGTTCTAGTTCCTGCCTTGCCACTGATGAGCCTTGCGACTTCCAGTAAATGGCAACTTCTGAGAATCAGTTTCCTCCAGTAAAAAAGAAAATACAAGCCTGAGCAACGTGGTGAAAACCCATCTCCACTAAAAATACAAAAATTAGCTGGGCATGGCGTTGGGTGCCTGTAGTCCCAGCTACTTGGGAGGCTGAGGCAGGAGAATCACTTGAACCCGGGAGGCAGAGGCTGCAGTGAACTGAGATTGGGTGACAGAGTAAGACCCTGTTTAAAAATAAATAAAAACTAAAATTAAAATTAAAAAAATAAAAAAGGCTGGGCATGGGGCTCACGCCTGTAATTCCAGCACTTTGGGAGGCCAAGGGAGGTGGATCACCTGAGGTCATGAGTTCGAGACCAGCCTGATCAACATGGTGAAACCCCATCTCTACTAAAAATACAAAATTTAACTGGGCATAGGGGCAGGTGCCTGTAGTCTCAACTACTCGGGAAGCTGAGGCAGGACAATCTCTTGAACCCAGGAGGCAGAGGTTGTGGTGAGCAGAGATCATGCCATTGAACTCCAGCCTGGGTGACAGAGTGTGACTCCATCTCAAAAACAAAACAAAACAAAACAAAACAAAAACCCAACAAATACAAGTATGGTAATAGCATCCACCTCACTGAGTAACTGTGAGGATAAAATGAGATGACAATAGTGGGTCCTATTTATTGAGCCCTCGTTGTGTTCCAGACACTGTGCTGAGTGTCTTGGTGCACAGCTCAGTCCTGTGAAGTCACCGCATGCATTGTGCCATTTGCAGCTGAGGAGCTGACTCTGAGAGAGGCTGCATGCTTGCCTGAGGCCGCCGGTACTGGAGCCATTCGGATGGTCTTTAATCCTAGGGAGACTGCTTCCAGGGTTCTTGGGTCCAAACTACATTTTCTTGTCTCCAGCATTGGGAAAGTGGTAAGTCAATTGCCTGGCACACAGTAGGTGGTGAATATAGATCACACCTACCCTGACAAGTAATTAATTAAATCATTATTGTGTGCCTAATATGTCCCAGGTGTTAGGAATAGAATGATAAATTATACACAATCCTCATCCTTGAAAATTGTAACGTACTTTAGCAGGAGACAGATCTGCTCACAGGTAAGAGTAGTGTGGTTTAGGGGGTAGATTCTGGAGCAGCTAGGGCTAAGTGCAAATATCACTTCCCCAACTTACCAGCTGGGAGATCTTAGGCACCTTACTGTGCCTTCACGAACCCTCATCTCCTCCTCATCTGTATACAACGGAGCATTCAATGCTATCTGCCTTATGAAGTGGTTCTGTGGAGTACAAAAGAAAATGGGCTGGGAGCAGCTGTTCATGCCTGTAGTCGCAGCACTTTGGGAGGCTGAGGCAGGAGGATCTCTTGAGGCCAATAGTTTGAGACCAGCCTGGGCAACACAGCAAGACTCTATCTCTAAAAAAAATAAAAATAAAAAACTTAGCTGGGTGTGGCAGTGGAGTGCCTGTAGTCCTAGCTATTAATACTTGGGAGACTGAAGCAGGAGGATTTCTTAAACCCCGGAGTTTGAGGCTGCAGTGAGCTATGATCACATCACTGCACTCCAGCCTCGGCAACAGACCCTGTCTCTAGAAAAAGAAAGAAAGAAAGAAAATGTACAGCACTATGCCCAGAAAAGATTAATACTTTGCAAAAAGGTAACGTCAGTATTTTTTATTATCAGTTCAGTTACACTGGAACCTGGAGGAGAAAGTGGTCAGTTTTGTTTGGAGGAATCAGGGAAGGCTTCATGAGGGTGGTAAGTTTCATACAGAATCGAAAAATGGCTGTTTGCCAGGCTGTCTGGGAGAGCCAGGTCATTTAAGGCAATCTCTAGGGCTGGAGCAAAGGCCTGAGACAGTCTGGTGTGTGCGTGAGGAAGGGCACACAGTGTGCATAGCAATAGCTAGCATTTATGGAGCATTTACTATGTGCCTGGCATTACTTTAGGTCAGTGGCTCTCTGTCCTGGCTGCATGTTAGAAAAATCTACAGAGGTTTGTGCTTGATCTGTTTGAATATGAATGCTAGGCTCCATCCCTAGAGAGTCTTATGTAATTGGTTTGGGCTAGCCCAGTCATCAGTACTTTTTAAAAGCCCCTCAGGTGATGCTAATACAGATCCAGAATTCAGTAGCTCCAGGCTGGGTGTTTTAGAAGTATTAACTCATTTAATCTCCATGACAACTCTATGAAGTCAGTGCCAAGGCTCAGACTCAAAGATCACACAGCAAGAAGTTATAAGGTTGAATCAAGGCAAATCAAACTCCAGAATGCTCTCTTTTAACCACTAGGCTGCAGATGGAGAGGAGGGTGTTTGGGGGCAAAAAAAAGACAGCAAAATGGAGAAGGTGCAAGTAATAGGTGTCAGATGGCAGCTGCTCTGATAGTCGGTTTTGTGTCCGCATCTTCTTTGTCTGGCACCAGGTCTGGGTGCAATAGTCTCACAAGCACCTCATGCATGTCCTTGTAGCCATCAGGACTTAAACCATCTTGTTCCTATCCCCAGCTTCACTGAGTTGGGCACTCAAATTTAAATGTATGTATGAGTCATCTGGGGATTGTATCAAAATGCAGATTCTGATTGAGTAGGTCCAGAATGGGGCCTGAGACTATGCATTTCCAAGAAACTCCTAGGTGAAGTCAGTGCTGCTAATCTGCAGACCACACTCAGTAGAAGTGAATAAAAATGCAAGTATAATGCACCTATTCTGTCTGTGGGAGCCCGTGCATTCTTTTTTTTTTTTTTTTTTTTTGAGACAAAGTCTCGCTCTGTCACCCAGGCTGGAGTGTGGTGGTGCCATCTCGGCTCACTGCAAGCTCCGCCTCCTGGGTTCATGCCATTCTCCTGCCTCAGCCTCCCGAGTAGCTGGGACTACAGGCACCTGCCACCACGCCCGGCTAATTTTTTTTGTATTTTTAGTAGAGACGGGGTTTCACCATGTTAGCCAGGATGGTCTCTATCTCCTGACCTCTTGATCCTCCTGCCTCAGCCTCCCAAAATGCTGGGATTGCAGTTGTGAGCCACTGCGCCCGGCCGTCTGTGCATTCTTGAACCTGGAGAGAGCTCCCTTCTTTCTGACCCAGGAGTGACTTCTGCACCTTCTGCATTTCGGAGAAGCCTCACCAGGCTGCAGAAATAACCTGCTTTATTTGTGCTTCCCTTAGCGGATACTACAGTATTATCTCAGTAGTGGTTTGCAAATTTTAGCTTGCATGGGAATCATCTGGAAAGCTTCTGAAAAATGGAGATTGCTGGACCCCATCCCAGAGTTTCTGATTCAGTAGGTCTGCATGAGGCTTGCAAATTTGCATGTCTACCGAGTTCCCAGGTAATGCTGATGCTGCTGTTCTGGGGACCACAATTTAAGAACACTTGTATCGGCTGGGCACGGTGGCTCACGCCTGTAATCCCAGCACTTTGGGAGGCCAAGGCACGTGGATCATGAGGTCAGGAGATCGAGACCATCCTGGCTAACACAGTGAAATCCTGTCTCTACTAAAAATACAAAAAATTAGCCGGTCATGGTGGTGGGCGCCTGTAGTCCCAGCTACTCGGGAGGCTGAGGCAGGAGAATGGCGTGAACCCGGGAGGCGGAGCTTGCAGTGAGCGGAGATTGCGCCACTGCACTCCAGCATGGGCGATAGAGTGAGACTCCATCTCAAAAAAAAAAAAGAACACTTGCATTACAGGAATGTCTCCAGGACAGCATTTCCTTAACCATGTCCATTTGGTTAGACACACTAGCTTTCTTGCCGTCCCAATGAAAGGTATGGAGTCCCTAGCTTCAAGTCCTGGCTGTGCCACTAATTCCATTAGTGAACATAACAGCTATGGATTGAGTTGGCTGCATATAAGCGGAAAACCCAAATAACAATGACTTATTCAAGAGATTTATTTTTGTTTCACGTGAGATAAAATGCAGAGGTAGGTGATCCAGGGTAATTGTGGTAGGTCCAAGATGTCAGCAATATTCCAGATTTTTAACTTTCTGGTCTACTGCCTTTAATTTGTGGCTTTCATCATCAAGACTGCCTCATAGGCATAGAATGGACAACTCTGACCTTTGTGCTTGAATTCTAGAAAAAGAAAGGGGGAAAAAGCAAAGGTTTAGACCAAGCTTGTCTAACCCATGGGCTGCATGCAGCCTGACAGCTTTGAATGTGGCCCATCACAAATTCATAAACTTTCTTAAAACATTATGAGATTTTTTTAGGATTGTTTTCTCTTAGCTCATTAGTTATTGTTAGTGTTAATGTATTTTACGTGTGGCCCAAGACAATTCTTCTTCCACTGTGGCCCAGGGAAGCCAAAAGATTGGACACTCTGGTTTAGACCTTCTTTTAAGGGGATTTTTCTGGAAGCCACACTTATATCTCCACTCTTACTTACATGTCATTAGCCAGAACTTAGTCCATGACCACCTTTCTCTCACAGGGAGGCTGGGAAATGTAGTTTTTCTAATTGAGCATATGACCACCACCAACAAAATTTGGGTTCTGATTATAAGTATCTATTCTTTACTACTAGTTAGAATGAAGAAGAGAATGGCTGTTGCTAATTCTAACTACTAGTAACAAGTAGTTCCTACCACAATGACCCTGGGCAAGTGTCTTCCACTTTTGGGCTCTATCTCTCCCAATGTAAAATAAAGTTGGTCTTAATGATCAAAGAGATCCTATCCAACTATAAGGCAGTTCGATTCCATGGTTCTGTCCCTAAATATGTTTATCAGTGATGCTCAGTGGAAAGGAAAACAACCTGGGTATTGTCCTCATGCAGTACCCCTAGTGTGCTCAGCCTGATGAGATGTCAGAACATATCCTGTACTTGTCTGTCTATTCATCCATCTACCTGTTAAAAATACATTTTTTTTGAGATGGAGTTTCACTTTTGTTGCCCAAGCTGGAGGGCAATGGCATGATCTCGGCTCACTGCAACTTCTGCCTCCTGGGTTCAAGCGATTCTCTTGTCTCAGCTTGTGGGTAGCTGGGATTACAGGCGCCCACTACCACGCCTGGCTATTTTTTTTTTGTATTTTTAGTAGAGACAGGGTTTCACCATGTTGGCCAGGCTGGTCTCAAACTCCTGACTTCAGGTGATCCACCTGCCTCCACCTCCCAAAGTGCTGGGAATATAGGCATGAGCCACCGCACCAGGCCCCTGTTAAAAATATTTCTGAGTACTACTACCTGATAAGTACTAAGGATACAGCTGTGAGTTTAAGCAGACATTGTCCCTGCTCTCCCTGTCCTCTTAGCAGTTTAGTAGGTAAGACAGATATAAACAAATAATGATGCAAATGTTCAACAAAGTGCTATAATGAATGTTGATGTACTACACAAGCGTTATAAAGAAAATGTATGTTGGGGGGTGTAATTTAGGTGGGGTGGAAAAGAAGATTTTCCCAAGAATTTATTTTGAAGCTGACACCTGAAGGAGGGGTCAGACATGCAAAGAGTCAGAGAAAGTGCACTCTAGGCAGAGAGAACAGCAAGTTCAGACACAGGCCCTGAGGCAGGAAAGAGCTGGGCTCATTCTAGGAAATGAAGGATGGCCAGGGTGTCCAGACATCATCAGTGAGGGGGAGGCTGATATGTAATGAGGCTGGAGTAGTCAGTGGATACCACAGCTTGCAGGGCCATGTAAGCTCTGGGAGGGAAATTTGATTTTATTCTAAGGGTAGTGGGAAGGCATTGGCGTGTTTCAGGCAGAGGTGGGGGCAAGGGTGACATGATGAGATGTGCATCTTCACAAAGATTTCTCTAGATGCTGAATAGGACCTGAACAGGTTTGGATGGGGGTGGTAGTGAGCAGTGGTCACATTGAGAGTTGTATGGGTTTCACCCATCCATTCACTCATCCATCAACCTATTCATCCACCCATCCATCTTTTCATCCATTTATCTTTTCACCCATCCACCCATCCATCCATCCACCCACTCATCCATCCATTGAACCATCCACCTATCCATCCATCCATCCATCCATCTGTCCGTCCATCTGTCCATCCATCCGTCCATCCATCCATCCATCCATCCATCCATCCATCCATCCATCCGTCTGTCCGTCCATCTGTCCATCTGTCCATCCATCCATCCATCCATCTATTCATCCGTCAATCTACCCATTCATTCATTCAACCATTCACCTATCCATCTATCCATCTACCCATTCATCCTTTCATCCATCCATCCAACCATCATCCACCTACCCATTCAACAAACATTCATAAAGCATCTTTAACTGCCAGCTTCTCCACTACATGTGTTGGGTGAATAAGATGGTTCATTTTCTCAAGGAGTTTACCAGTTAGAAAGGTAGAGAGACACACATAAACAAACCATCATGGTTGAGTGCAGGTCCTAACAGCAGTAAGCTCTAAGAAGGGTGGGAAGAGATTCTTAGCAGTGGTGAACTGTTTGCCTAGTGCCAATGGCAGGTGAAAAGCCACCATGTGATTCACCGCTCTGGCTGCCAAGAGTGAGGACTTTTCTGGGTCACAGGGAAATAAACACATTTTAGGGCAACAGCAAGACAAGGGGAAGTAACAGCCTTGGAATTTAGCTTGGGGTTAAACAAAAAAATCTTGGGAGATGCTAGGATGTAGACACATCCAGAATGGATGGAATTATCCCATGAATCTATTCTATGGTGTCCTCAGCATGAGTTTGAAGATTCCTTGTTGGCATCTCATTGATTTATTGGCTGGATTCTGGCAGCTGTTGGTGAGAGCAAGATTGACTGCTCCAGGCATGAAACAAACCATAGAGGAACAAGTTCAAACTCTTTTCAGCTGTATGCAAACAACTTAACCTCTCTGAGCCTTAGCTGCTTCAACTCTAAAATGGTAAATAGCATTGAGCTTGAGAAACCCTGGAATAAGATGGCTGAAGCCTAAGTTCAGTAACTGGTTCATTGTTAGTGGACCTGAGAAACTGACAGGATAGATGCAGCTAGGGTTGAAAAGGCACATAATATAATGGTTAACGGTGTGGACAGTGGAACCTTGCCTCCTAGATTCAAATCTTCCAATTTTCTCTTCTTTCTGTTCCACTTGCATCTGTAAACCATGTGCCCAGTCATGGCCCCACAGCTGGGCAACGCCATTATGTACTCCTTTGACCACGGCTCCAAGACCTTCAGAGCATCTTGTGAGGCTCTTCTCTCCAGCAGATGAAGGGTTATTATCCTCCCTTAGATTTGGTAACTGAGGCCCAAAGGAATCAAGAACTTTGGCCAAGCACGAGTCCCCATTTTACAAAGGGAGAAACAGCCTCAGAGAGTTTCAGTAATGAATGCAAGTCCACAATGCTAGTAAGTGAATGAGCTGGGATTTGAACCCAGACCTATCTAGCTCCAGAATCCTTCTTTCATGGAGTTCAAGTCTACCAGAAGGAGGGGAGGAATTGAAACAGATGATAGATAAGTAGATGAGTAAGTAAGTCTAACGATTATAAAAATAATTATAAGATCTGCGAAGAAAGTAAACTGGCTGGTGTGATAGAGAGGAAATGGGAGAAGAGCAATCTTTTTCAATCGGGAGATCAGGGAAAGACTCCCAGAAGGGAGGTAATAAACCCTAAAACCATTCTTGGTAATGCATGTAGTGCATGCAGTATGATATTTGGCACCTAGAAAGTTCCAATAATTGGTAGTCATTATTAAGGAAAGTGAAATGCTTTCTCAAAGATAATTGTAAAATCAAAGGGATAGTGTGTGTTTTGTCCTACTTCCAACATCTAGAGCCTTTCTCTCATGGAATAGGAGGGAGGAGAAAACTGAGGGCAGTGATAGGCTTGGCAAACAGGGGCCTTGGCCGGCTCAAAGCTTCAGCACCTGGGGCCAGCTGCCTCATTCAGTGCTTGGCAACGCCCCCGCAGAGTGGAGAATGCCAAGAGGGTAAGTGTCATCTCCGCTCTCCACGCAGTAGCTGTGTGACCTTGGGCAAGTCACATCTCCTGTCTGGGCATCTGTTTGTTCATCTGTAAAATGAAGGTTTCGGTCTAGATGGGTTTTTCAGATCCCTTCCAGCTCTAATTCTGTGTCATCTGAACTCTGACCAACGCCTCCCTCCTTCCGCGGACGTGTTCCCACAGTGCCCTCTATTGGCTGTTTAGTAGAGAGCAGGTACCACACATGCAGCTCCGGGGACCGGGAGAAATGGGAACTGCCAGCTGCCCTTCTTCTGTGAGGGATTTAGAACCCTTGGGGCACATCAGGATCCGCACACAGGATAAGAGTTAGGCAGTCTGACTTCCTAGAGTCACAGAATTTTGGAAAGGGAGACTTAAAGACTATTTATTGCAACAACAGCAGTATTAGCTAACATTTGTTTAGGGCTAACCATTTACTGAACATGGGCTTGATACTGTGCATAAAGTCATGAGTATAACAGGCACAGGGCCGTCCTGAGGGTAGTAACGTGTACACGGAGACCCAAAGAGTGAGGACTTGCCCATGTGAAGATCAGCTGGAAAGACTGTAACAGCCAAGAGAATAGCATGTGCAAAGGTCCTGGAGGAGAAAAAGACAAGGGTGTGTTTGGAACCAAAGGAAGTAGAGTCAATTGTTACTAGATACTGGAGGCTAAAGAATCTTGGAATGTGAAAACCATGATGACTGGTGGAGTTACAATCACTTTGTAAAACTGCTTAGCAGTATTTACCAAAGCTGAATATATACACTTCAGGAAGATGAGCTTATGCGCTCACCAAAAAGGCATAAATAAGAAAGCAGCATGCTTACCAGTAGCTGAAAGCTGGAAATAGCCCACATGTCCATCAACAGTAGAATGGATCAATAAATTAGGCTTTATTCTTCCAATAGAATCATGTCAGCAATCAGAATGAGATCCAAGTATAATTAAACTCAACAATATGGATCAGGTTCACAAAGAGAATGTTGCACATGTTAGTAAGAAACTGAGTTCAAATGATATATATTCCTTTTATATAAAGTTCAAAACCACCGTATGGTGCTAGAAGTCAGGATAGCGGTTGCCTTTGGGAGATGTAGGAACTGGAGGGGCAAGAGGGGGCTTCTGGGAGCAGCCACTGTTGTATTTCATGAACGGGGTGATGGTTACACAGGAGCGTTCATTTTGTTAAAATTCATCAAGCTGTACTTGTGATGTATGTGCATGATCTGTATATTATATGCCAATAAAATATAGTAAAAGCATTATGTGGTTACCAGGTCACATCCACTTGTTCATCACAGTCTCATTTACTGTCACCACCAGTAGGAGCAACACAGACAGGAATATTTTGAGACCAAGATTCTAAGTGCTACTTTTCCGCCTGAGGAGCTCCAAGTAGAGGGTAACTCTTGACAAGATAGGCCAGTTCCTCGGAGTCCTTGAAGAGTGGAGAATGACTGGACAAGGAGCTGGCTCACTGGGCTCTTTAGAAAGAGCCAGAAAGAATCAAGGAAGGGAAAGTTTTCACTCCCAAGGCATCTCAGAGTCTGAATCAGCTTCCTGCTTAGCATTTCAGTACCAGAGAGGCACTCTCCCAGGTTCTGAATTTGCTGGAGGGTTCTGAGGCCAAGTTTAGCAGTGGGGATTTGTCTTGAGACTGCCTCAGGCTGGGTAAAAGAGGGCGGTTTTAGGGCCAGAAGGTTTGACATCCATACCTTGTCAACAGCGAAGTCACAGGTCGTCAAGTATAACAGAGGAGGTATCATTATCTTAATTTACAGATGACCTGAGGGAAGTTAAGTGCAGTTCTTGAACTGCTCACATCAGCAGAAGTCAGGCTGAAATATGAATTTCTTGATTCCTGGTTCAGTGCACTCTGAGTGTCAGTTTCCTCGTGGACACAAAGAGGGAGTTGAATTAGATCATCTGTAAAGCTCCTCTGTGTGTCCCAGGTCCAGTGACTCTTCTGAGTTCTTGCTGAAGATAAAAGGACCTTAACAATTTCTCAGGAAGAATGGATGCAGTATCATTTACCCTTGCCTGCGTTAACTAGCAGCTGTCAGCACATGCATACACAAAGATGTGCACATATGGGCACATATGTACACACAGGCACATGTGCACACTCATGCACACATGCATACACACATACACACTATGCACGTTTGTATGCTGTCATGCACAGGCACACATATGTACACAAACATCTTGCCACAGTTCTGAGGTAGTTTTTTTTATTGTTGTTTTTCTTTTTTCTTTCTTTTTTTTTTTTCTGAGGCAGAGTCTTACTCTGTCGCCCAGGGTGGAATGCAGTGGCGCGATCTCAGCTCACTGCAACCTCCACCTCCTGGGTTCAAGCAATTCTCCTGCCTCAGCCTCTCTATACTAGCCGAGATTACAGGTGCCTGCCACCTTGCCTGGCTAATTTTTGTATTTTAGTACAGACGGGGTTTTACCATATTGGCCAGGCTGGTCTCGAGCTCCTGACCTCAAGCTGTCCACCCTCCTTGGCCTCCCAAAGTGCTGGGATTACAGATGTGAGCCACCGCACCCAGCCTGAGGTAGATTTTATATTTGTCATTGCCCAGCATCAAGCGTCAGGCAGGGAGGCAGAAAGAGCACCTGTATTACATTTAAGCGAATCCAAGTTTGAATCTTGCATTCTGTCACTTCCTAACTGTGCAACCTAGAGCAAGTTCCCTAATGTTTGTCTCTTCCTTCCTTATCTGTGATTTGAAGTGCTGACTCATCTGTAGGCACTAAATAAATGGCAGGCAGGTGTTATCTGTATGGTGTCAAGGAGTTCCTTAAACCTCTCTGAGCATGTTTCTTCCTCTGTAAAATGGAATAACAGCCCCAATATCAAAGGGAGAGGCTGAAGCAAAGTATATGACGTAAAGAGTTTATTTGAGCCAGGATAAGGAAGATTCAGACATCAGTCACCTTGGATATGAGCTCCACTTGGCCTTTATTACAGGCAGATTTTTAAAGGCAAAAAAGGAGGGGGACAAGGATTGGACTGATACAAAGTTCTGCCGCGGATTCTCATTGATTTACAGAAATAACATTGATTAGTGATTGGCTACCCATTGTTAAGCCTTAGAGTGTGGGATGTTGTGTCCAGTGAGGTGTTATTAGGTTAATTCATAGCTACTTGTGGCAATAGCAGGCAGTTTTGACAGATGAATACATAGCTCTAAAGAGGGAGAATAAGATGTGATTGCCGTTTGAATGCTTCTCTGGGCCTAATAATTTGAAAGAGCCCACATTCCTCGATAAAAGTTCTTTTCTTTCCTTGGGATTAAGTTAGATGATAAATTTACAATGTTTAGCATGCCGATTTATATGTATTAAGTATTCATAAAGTGTTATTCCATGTGCTGAGCGAGGGGAACACCCTCCCACGTGCTCCCATGAGCCCTATTTCTGGCAGATGTAAAGATTTTTTTTAAATGGCTTTTTTTGGCCACATCTAGGAAGTAAGAGGGAAAATAAAGAGAAGTGAGAAACAGCTTAGTCCATGAAAATGGTAATAATGGTAGTAATGATGGTGATGAGAATGCTGCAGTTTTCTTCTGTATGATTTTTTTTTTTTTGAGACAGAGTCTCACTCTTGTCACCCGGGCTGGAGTGCAATGGCACTATCTCAGCTCACTGCAACCTTCACCTCCCGGGTTCAAGTGATTCTCCTGCCTTAGCCTCCGGAGTAGCTGGGATTACAGCCACGCACCACCACTCCTGGTTAATTTTTATATTTATAGTAGAGATGGGGATTCACCATGTTGGCCAGGCTGGTCTCGAACTCCTGACCAGGTGTCAGGTGATCCACCTGCCTCAGACTCCCGAAGCATTGGGATTACAGGCATGAGCCAGTACGATGTGTTTTTTTGTTTGTTTGTTTGTTTTTTTATACTTTAAGTTCTAGGGTACATGTGCACAATGTGCAGGTTTGTTACATATGTATACATGCGCCATGTTGGTGTGCTGTACCCATTAACTCGTCATTTACATTAGGTGTATCTCCTAATGCTATCCCTCCCCCCTCCCCCCACCCCATGACAGGCCCCAGTGTGTGATGTTTCCCTTCCTGTGTCCAAATGTTCTCATTGTTCAATTCCCATCTATGAGTGAGAACATGCGGTGTTTGGTTTTTTGTCCTTGCGATAGTTTGCTGAGAATGATGGTTTCCAGCTTCATCCAT